>NW_018654717.1:5764366-6065947 GCF_000001405.40 Homo sapiens
CCCATGTATGTGATGTTTTGATATATGTATACAATGTGGGATGATTAGATCAAACTAATGAACACGTCCATCCCCTAATTTACTGACAATTTTCATGATGAGACATTTGAAATGTACCCACTTAGTTATTTTGAAAGATACATTATTATTGACTATAGTCACGCTGCTGTGCTATAGATTTCAAAACATATAATCCAGCAACTCAACTTCTGGATATAGGCCAAAAAAAAATCAAAATCAATATGTCGAAGGGATCCCTAAATTCCTATGTTCACTGCAGCTCTATTCACAATACCCAAGATATAGAATCAACCTAAGTGTCCATGAGTGGATGAAAGGATAAAGCAAATGTACTATATACACACAAAGGAATACTATTAACCCTTAAAAAAGAAAGAAATCCTGTCATTTTCAACAACATAGATGAACTTGAAAGACATTGTGTTAAGTGAAATAAGCCAGGCACAGAAAGACAGATACTGCATGATTTTATTGTATGTGGAATCTAAAGAAGTTGAACTCACAGAAATAGAGAGTAGGACAGTGGTTATCAGGGGCTGGGGTGAAGGAAAGGGAGGGGATAGGAGACACTGGTCAAAGGGTACAAAGTTTCCAATAGGAAGAATAGTTTTAAACAAGCTAAACTCCTCTGAAAGCTCAGTTCCTCATCTGTAGAGCACGGATACATCATTAACCTTCTAAGGATGTTGCTGTGAGAGTAAGAGATGATGTTCAGCACAATACCTAACGCACAGTCAGGTCTCCTTAAGCTTGAACCTGCATCGCCATGACCTCTACATCTCAGGACAGAAAGGCTCACAGCCAGTGTCTCAGTTCCCAATGAAAAGTGGATCCCAGACCAGGCTGGACAGCAGGATCCCTAGGGGATACCCCACCCTACTGAGTCAGAATCACCAGAGGTAGAACCTGGGTATGTATGTGTGTGTGTGTGTGTGTGTGTGTGTGTGTGTGTGTGTATGTACAAGAGACAGGGTCCTGCTCTGCAGTCCAGGCTGGAGTGCACTGTCACAATCATAGTTCACTGCAGCTTCAAATTACCCCTGGTCTCAATCCATCCTCCCGTCTCAGCCTTCAGAGTAGCTGAGACTACAGGCGCATGCCACCAAGCCCGGATACTTTTTTTTTTTTTCTTCCTTTTGGAGAGAGTCTCACTCTGTTGCCCAGGCTGGAGTGCAATGGTGCCATCTTGGCTCACTGCAACCTCTGTCTCCCGGGTTCAAGTGATTCTCATGCCTCAGCCTCCTGAGTAGCTAGGATTACAGGCATACACCACCACATCAGCGTAATTTTGCTCTTTCATTGTTGTTTCTTGTTTGTTTTTCACAAATAGGACTTTTTATTTGGTACTGTTTTAAGTCTGAACTTTAAACAGATTCTTGGACTGGTGGTTCCTATCCATCAGCTCATTCAACTTTAGCATGTGTCTCGTCCCTAGTGGGTTTTCCAGAACTACTACCTCCACCACGAAGCTCCATGCCTTTCAAACCCAGGGTTCTCCAGCATTTTTACTTTTCTAATGAAGACATCATGGAGAGGATAAATTGGCAAACCTTTTCTGTATCTTTTCCAATGTTGTCTGGAATCAATTTATTGACCACTTCTTTCAAGTCATTTGTCTGCACCTCTCAGGTCATGATTTCCATCATCTTCTTCTGGATTTGGCAGACTGTTGGTGCTAAGCATAAGAGGTCTTCAGTATCTGATTGTTGTGTTTTTTAGTAAAACCAACACAAAATAGATGAAAGAAGTAACCATCGGTAGTCCTGACATCAACATGAGCTTCAACCATCGTTGAACATTTTTCAACCATGGAACATATTTTGTCACAGGTAAGACCCATGCCATAGAAATTAGTCAGGCAGTTTTTGTCCTGAACATCTTCAGTAATCAGCTTGAATTTTCTAAATGCAACTTCATCATTCTGCAAATCAGCAAGACTCACTTCAAACAGAAGACCCTTGAGACCATCAGATGCAATTTGGGTTCCTTGGGTCCTGGCGACCAGGTCTTTCCAGTATTTCTTATATTGAACATAGCAGGTGCTTTCACATCATACTGATCTTTCTTAGAGAATGGACCAACTACTTTCTTCTTAACTCCCTTTTTGCCACCTTTCATAAGGCACTTGTTCTTAACAACCGCCATGGTGCTGCTCAGAGTACCAAAAGGCTAAATTTTATATTTTTGGTAGAGACGGGATTTCAGGATGTTGGCCAAGCTGCTCTTGAACTCCTGATGTCAGGTGATCTGCCCGCCTCTGCCTCCCAAAGTGCTGGGATTACAAGTGTGGACCACTGCACCCAGCTGTTATTTATTTTTTCTTTTTTTGTACAGACAGGGTCTTGCCATGTTGCCAAGGCTGGCCTGGAACTCCTGGCTTCAAGCAATCCTCCCACCACAGCCTCCCAAAGCACTGGGATTTCAGGTGTGAGCCACCATGCCCAGCCTGGAATCTATTTTTAAAGCCAATCAAGCGTTGAATAAAATTGCAACTTGGGCTGTTTTTTCTTTGCATTTTTTACATTTCAATGGTTTTCAATATATTCAGAGATATACACAAACATTACCAGTCAATTTTAGAACATTTCATGACCTCAAAAAGAAACCTCATACCCTTTAGCTAACACCCCCATCCTCCCATGCCCCTACCACCCCTAAGCAACCACTAATCGACTTCCTATTTCTGTAGATTTCCATCTGAATGAAATCATGTAGAATGTGATCTTTCATCTGTTTTGAAGGTTCATCCACGCTGTAGCGTATGTACTATCCTCCTTTTTGTGATCAAATAATATTCCACCATGTGGGTAGACAACAATAGGTGTATCTCTTCATCTGGTGATGGGCATTTGGATTAATTCTCTCTTTGGGTTATTAGGAGTGATGCTACTGTAATTATTCATGTACAAAATTTTGTGTGGACCTGTGCTTTCATTTTTGAATATGAAAATACTGCGCATCTCCAAGGAAGACATACAAGTGGTCAATAAGCACATGAAAAGATGCTCAATGAAATTCATCATCAGGGAAACAGAAATCAAAACCACAATTAGATACCACTTCATACCCATAAGCATGGCTAGAATCGAAGATAGAGAAAATTGGCCTGGTGCGGTGGCTCATGCCTGTAATCCCAGCACTTTGGGAGACCGAGGCAGGTGGATCACCTGAGGCCAAGAGTGTGAGACCAGCCTGGCCAACATGGTGAAACCCTGTCTGTACTAAAAAAATACAAAAATTAGCCAGGCATGGTGGCAGGTTCCTATAATCCCAGCTACTCGGGAGGCTGAGGCAGGAGAGTAACTTGAATCTGGAGGCAGAGGTTGCAGTGAGCTGAGATTGTGCCACTGCACTCCAGCCTGGGCGACAGAGCAAGACTCTGTCTCAAAAAAAAAAAAAAAAAAAAAAAAAAAAAACAGAAAATAACAAGTTTTGGTGAGGATGCAGAGAAACTAGAACCTTCATACACAGCTGGTAGGAATTAAAATGGTGTAGCCACTGTGAGAAACAGTTTAACAACTTCCCAAACAATTCTACATAGAGTTACCAAATGACCTAGCAATTGTACTCCTAGATATAGGCCCAACTTGGGCTCTTTCAATCTATGGAAAATGAACTGTGGGTACTTGGCAAGAACAAAGACGGAGAGAGGCAGAAATGCTGCCATGAGAGCACATTGATTGGTCTCTAGTACACATGGTTTCTACTGCAAATGGTCTCTAAATGACTTCATCAGTTGCTCAGAAAAAAAATCACCCTCTGCTCCAATCGTGGAGGAAGAAGTATGGATTGGACCTGGTGAGCCACGGTAAGACTGACTGCTAAACTTTATGAATGATGAGGGGATTTGCACGTATAATCTTAACTGTACATCAAATGTTAATTTTTTATTTTATCCACTGTCTTTGAAAACCTAACTCTTGACTAAGAACTGACTTTCCTGTACTTGTTGTTGACTCTAAGTAAATTTCCAATTCCACATAGTCCAAAGATGATGTGCTGAGAAATCTCTCAAAGGAAAAATGCTAAGAATACAGGCAGAGTTATGCGGCAAATTTTGCAGAATTAACACAAATTGCACTTGTGGGTATGAAGCACAAAACATTTTCATGGGTAAAGAAAAAAGTATTCTTCATTCTAGTAGACGCTGCAGGATGAGGCCGATCAAGGTGTCTGCCCAGCCAGACCTTGGGCTCTTACCTAGTTTGTGTTAGAGTCAACTCTGAGGGAGTCTGTATTTCAGTCATCTTTTTTTTTGACATGGAATCTTGCTCTGTCTCCCAGGCTGGAATGCAGCGGTGTGATCTCAGCTCACTGAAACATCTGCCTCCTGGGTTCAAGCGATTCTCCTGTCTCAGCTTCCCAAGTATATGGGACTACATGTGCATGCCACCATGCCTGGCTAATTTTTGTATTTTTAGTAAAGACGTTTCATCATGTTGGCCAGGCTGTGCTCAAACTCCTGCCCTCAAGTGATGCGCCTGCTTTGGCCTCCCAAAGTGCTGGGATTACAGGCATGAGCCACCATGTCCGATCTCAGTCATCTTTTTATCCTCCACACCTGGCAAGTTCTAGACACACTGTGGTTCCATACAAGTTTGTTGAATAAACAGGAGACAGAAAGTGGGAATTCTGGAAGTAGAGAAGATTCCAGAAATTGTGCATATTTCCCAGAGACTGTGGCCCAATTCCTCAGTCCTGCCAGAGTTTCTCTATCTCAACTCAAACCTTATGTATGGGCCCAGGTGCAGTGGCTAACACCTGTAATCCCAACACTTTAGGAGGCTGAGGTGCGCAGATCACTTGAGGCCAGGAGTTTGAGACCAGCCTGGCCAACATGGTGAAACCCCGTCTCTACTAAAAATACAAAAATTACCCAGGCATGGTGTTCTGCACCTGTAGTCCCAGCTACTCAGGTGGCTGAGGCACAAGCATTGCTTGAACCCAGGAGGCGGAGGTTGCAGTGAGTCACGATTATGCCACTGTACTCTAGCCTAGGCAATAAAGCAAGACTGTCACAAAAGAAAAAAAAAAAAACCCTTAAGTGTGGGCCTTGTTACAGAATTAATGTTTATATGGACAATATGTACATGGGTGTATGTTAAGAGCATGAGCCATCCACAAGATTTTAGCAAAGTCCATTTGGAAAGCTCAATGCTTTGGGCTTCCACTTGCTTTGCTGCCTCTGTCCTCAGAAGGAGGCTTCATCCTTCCATGTAACCAGCAAATCCTTTATGCAGAGATGTACACAACACACTCCTCTCCTTGGCTATGACACCTTGAAATGGTCCTCTTGGTGGCCCCTGGTGCTCATTTCAGAGTAGTTCAAATTAAGGTGATCAGCTTTCATGCCAATCACTCTACAAATTACTCCTATTATGACCAATTTTTCTAAATGCTTTATTGAATTATTACTTAAAGAAATGTGCACATAGAAGAGGTCAACACAGTACTTTTCTTACAAACTGAACATACTGGCCAGAAGCAGTGGCTCATGCCTGCCATCCCAGCACTTTGGGAGGCCGAGGTGAGCAGATTGTTTGAGCCCAGGAGCTTGAGACCAGCCTGGGCAGCATAGTGAGACACTCCTCTCTACAAAAAATAAATAAATAAAAAATTAGGCAACAGTGGTGGCACCTGCCTGTAGTCCCAGCTACTAGGGAGGGCTGAGGTGGGAGGACTGCTGGAGCCCAGGAGGCAGAGGCTGCAGTGAGCCATGACGGTGCCACTGTGCTCCAGCCTAGGTGACAGAGCAAGATCCTGCCTCAAAATCAACAACAACAACAAAAAAAAACTGAACATCTCCATATTACTGACACCCAATTCAAGAAACAAAATATTACAGCCCCTTCCAGGATATTCCTGGGGTCTCTTCCATCTCTACTAACCCCTGACTACAAACAGCCTCCACCTATTTCACCTGACATTGTACTTTATGAAAGCAGCAGTTCTCAGATGGGGCTATTTTGCCCCCTGGGGACATTAGGGAATATCTGGAGACACTGAGGGTTGTGTCTACTTGGGGGGAGTTGTGTTACTGCATCCAGTGAGTCCAGGGATCCAGGGATGCCGCTCAACATCCTGAAATGCACAGGGAACCCCCACACATAGAACAGAGAAATTGCTGAGCCAAAATGTCAGCAGTGTCACAGCTGACACCCTGATATACACACTATCACACAGTATCTGCTCTTTCGGGCTCAGGATCTTTTTCATTCTAATCATCTCATAGGAAACAGAAATGTCATTTAGAGGTAGGTAGAGTCCAAAACAAAGAAGAACCTGAGTTTTTTTTTTTTTTTTAATCAGCCTGGTGCCTTTAGAGCTAGGATTTAGTTTCTATTCTTTCTGTCTCATTTTCAAGTGATTTTTTCTTCAAATGGCATCTACTGGGCTCAAGAACTGGAGATCCCCACAAAGCTGAGATTCACATGGGAATTTTGTACACACCCACACAGGTATACACTTCCATTTACATGCAGACATCCACCCACAGATACACACATCCGGAGACCAAGACAGAACGCAAACTGCCCCATAAAAGCACGGTTCCCCAAACAGGAGAAACACACCATTCACTCCAGGGAGGTATCTATTTGTTTAATTCAGCCTCTGATAGTCAGGCTGTTGCCAAGACCAGCTCTGAAACTCTTCCCCTCTAGGAAAGAAAGATGGATTTTTTCTTTACTCAAGAATATAGATCTAAAAAAAAAAAAACACTTCTGCATCTCAAAGCAGGCTCTACCTCCTGAGCTACACGTATTGATCAGCTTTTTATTGTCAATTTTCTTTTAATTGAATTGGAGAAAAATATAAATTATGTTCTGACAGTTTGGAATCAGTTACACTAAATCCAATTCTCTGGGTTCTCATGATTAAGGTGTTTAATTTGGGGGACAACAAAGCAAAAGCATTGGTCGTGTTTTAATATAATTAGTACAGGATATATCTAAGGGGTTCAAGTATCACTGTAGCAAGAAGCTCATTCTGCAGTAAAAGGGGGATTCTGCCACTAGGATTGAGTGAGGGTGGTTCATGGCTGCACCGTTTCATCAATGTCTCTTCAAGAGTCCATGGAATGTGGAATGGGAAAGACTGAAATAGTGCAAGTCTTGGCTAAGCTTCTATTAAGGGGTGTTAGGAGCTGATAAAATAACCTGGTCTTTATAGACATCCCACACTGTAGTTCTCTAAGCTACAGATTCTCAGATTTTTCTATTTTATGAACGAGTAAAAATATTTTTTTAATTTGAGAACCAACATAAGGTTGCTATCTTTTTTTTCTTTTGGGTAAGAAGGAACTTTTTTAAACTACCAGTTACACACACACACACACACACACACACACACACACACAGAAATTCCACCATGATTGGTCAGAATAGGTGAGGTTTTGCTGCAATAACAAACAACTCCCAAATCTTGGTAACTTCAAACATCAGAAGTTGTTTTTCTCACTCATGCTTCATCTGCAGGGAGGTGTGGGGTGCTCTGTTTCCCATCAAACTTGCCCTAAGACTAAGGTTAATGGGGGTTGCAATACCTCGAGTATCACCAAGCAGGGAACAGAGGGAGAAGAATGTTAGAGAGTCTTGTACTAAGAATTAAATGCTCCAGGCTAGAAGTCTAACATTGCACCTCTGCCCCCAGCCTCTTGGCCAGTACTAGCCACATCCCCTCCCCCACCACAGGGCAATACATGAAGACAGGAGAATTGGATACATTACAAATTTCTACCCCATGGCATTTCATAAAAGAGAAAAAAATGCCAATACAAAAATGTTTTAATAGAATAGAATATATACATTTTTAGAATAAAGAACAATCCTCCAAAAAGGACAGCTGGTGGTCTCTCAACAATGGGCACATTTCTGTGACATTTTCTCTGTTTTTCCATTTTATCCTTGACCTATGAACATTTTATACAGATGGTCCAAAGAACACCATTTGGGGACCACTGCTGTAATCAGGTGATGAAAACGGCCCCAAGAACAGAGCACAGTCTCTTTAGCAAAGACCCAGCAGGGCCAGGGTGACCATGTTCTCACCATCAATGTGCAGACATCCACCTGCAGCATCCTCACATCCCAACATCAAACAGTGGCTCTTTATAGCTTGATTCTAATGCCCTTTGATCTTCATAATCATTGTAAAGCTCTCTGGCCCCAAGATCTAACATCGCCACTCTAGCTACATCCTGCAACTGTTCACCTCTCCTGCCTCCTCATCCCTCTAAACTTCTCTTCACAACCTCATGTTTCCTTCTTGCTTTACCTTCCTGCTCAGCCTGGACCTTACAGTCACCTTCTTCTTGTAATGTGCTCCTAAACTCTTTCTTCCCTTCCTTCAACCACACCCACCTGGAAAATCTCCATACCCCATTGACGACTTGCCTCGCAACTGCCCAAGGGCTGCTGAATGATACTGGAAAGAATCACAACATGGATCTGGTAGTTCCACTAAATAATCTCACCATCCAACTCTAGGGCAGACTTCACTTCTGTTCAGCAATATTTTTAAGCATCACAAATAAATTCCAAACCATATTTGCTATAACAATTGACTGTAAACCTCTTCCATATCTCAAAGCCCCCCAAACCCAGCCCTAGGGGTTTCAGAGCCCAGAGTTGAGTTCTCTCAACTCACTTCCATCTCACCCCTAGATCACTGTATCTTGATCCTCTTCCTCTGCCTTTCCCATGTTATAAGGAGAAGCATCCTTCTCCTTTCCCAAGCTACCTTCTCCACTTGTGCCTCATTTGAGACCTGCCTTTATCACCCGTTCCCTTGGAACTCCCATGACTCACCACCTTCACTTGTCGTTTCACTCATAAATATTTTGCACCGTGTATGTGCCAGGCGATTAACATATAATCATGCTTAAGTCTCCACATGCTAACAAGAAAAACCTTGATTATCCCTGCTATGCCCTCAAGTCATTACCCTCCCCGCTCCTTTCCTGTGTTCCCAAACTTTGTTGATCTTCATCAATCCCTCTGATGCAGATGGCTCCGAAGTTTGCATCCTATTAGGTTGGTGCAAAAGTAATTGCGGATTTTGTCATTAAAAGTAATGGCAAAAACAGCAATTATTTTTGTAGCAGCCTAGTATCTTTTCTCCTTCTACCAAACTTTGTCCCTGAGACATCTCATCACCTATAACTACCTCCTCCATGCAGTTGATTCCCAGATCTGTATTATTCTACTGAAAGTCCATTCCCCAATTTTCTCGGCTAGAATAACAGAAACCCAATTAGAATTCATGCTACCAGTTTCCCACCACCACCACCACCGTCGTCCTGCCATTGTTAGCAAAACCATCTCTTGAGTGGAGCTCAAAGATTTGTAATTTCCCACTCCCCAGAAAGATAACTTCAGAATCAGCTTAGAAGTAAAGATCCTCCAGATATGGCCTCAACTACCCTCCAACCCATGTCCCCAGTGCATCCCGTTGATGCCCCCTTCAGTGGAGTTAAAATGGAGTGAGTGTTTTTCTTTTCACATACTCCTGGTGTTCTTCCACAAATACAATTTTCACCTCTTGAATATTTTCAAGGATTCTCCATGCTACACACAGAGAAATCCAAACTCCCCATCAGGACCCCAGTCTTCCCAAACCCTCTTTGCACTTTTCTGCCTCCATGCTTTTCCTTGGGTCATCCTCTTCTCTAATATAACCTTGTGTATTATTCTAGGTTCTCCAGAGAAAGAGCAGAGAGATAGAGGTAGAGATATACACATAGAGAGAGACAGATTGATTTGTTGTAAGGGATGGCTCACCTGGTTATGGAAGCTAAGGAGTCCTGGAGTCTGCAGCCAGCAAGCTGGAGACCCAGGACAGCCAATGATATAGTTCCAACTCGAGTCCACATGTAAAGTCAGGAGAAGATTGATGTCCCAGCTCAAATATAATCAGGTAAAAAGAGCAAATTCTCTGTGATTCTACCTTTTTGTTTTGTTCAGGCCTTCAATGGATTGGATGAGGCTCACCCACATTGGGGAGGACAATCTGCTTTATTCAGTCTACCAATTAAATGTTATCCTCATCCAGAATACCTCAGAGACACACCCAGAATAATGTGTAGCCAAATATCTGGGCACCCCACAACCCAGTCAAATTGATACATAACACTAACCATCATGTCTTGCTTCTACTCTCTCGCCATTTCTGCATGGCCAAATCTTTCCCTTATTTCAAGGCTTAGTTCAAATGTTACCTCTTAACTAAGCCTTCCCTGCTAACCCCAAATATTAATAGAATTGGTTTCTCCCTTCTCTGATGTCTCAAAATATATTGTGTTTCTCTTTTATTGTATTTATTACAAACTCCCTTACAAATCAAGACAGTGATTCCCAGACAAATTATCACAAGAGTATAAAAGAAGTCTTCTTTGAGTGTGAAATATCTCATGGAATATAGCACATGGCCTCTTCATGAAGAAACTACTGGGAGAGAAGAAGACAAGCTGGAAGAGGCCAGGGAAAGGGGGTTAGTACAAAGCACAATGGGGCTGGGCTCATACAGTGGCTCACACCTGTAATCCCAGCACTTTGGGAGCCCAAGGCCGGTGGATCACGAGATCAGCAGATCGAGACCATCCTGGCTAACACGGTGAAACCCCGTCTCTACTAAAAATACAAAAAAGTTAGCCAGGCGTGGAGGTGGGCGCCTGTAGTCCCAGCTACTCGGGAGGCTGAGGAAGGAGAATGGTGTGAACCCGGGAGGCAGAGCTTGCAGTGAGCCGAGATTGCACCACAGCACTCAAGCCTGGGTGACAGAGCAAGACTCCATCTCAAAAAATAAAATAAAATAAAATAAAATAAAGCACAATGAAATGTCAGTGGATGGGTGCCTATAATTTCTAAGGGAAATAGAGTATAATCCAAGAATTTTATAGCCAGCTAAATTATTGCCCAATCAAAATAGGCAAAAGACACATGCTGAAGAACTTAAAGAATACAGTATTTCTGAGCTCTTTAAAAAAAAAAGTCTTCATAATAAAATTTAGTCAGCCAAGAAATTAAAAAATAAGCAACTTGTGAATTGAATGACCATGACAAAAGGCTAGTGATAGGACTATGATTGCAGAACAGAAAGAGAAGGTGGTCAACCTTAACAACATAAAACAACCTAGAAATAACTAGTTTCCAGAGGTAAAGAGAGGGACTGTAGGAAGTAGAAGTGCTAATGCCCTTTATTAAGTCAATTAATCAGGTCTAAAATTGAAACGTGATTTTAAATATATAACTTCTTGTTTATTTTCCTCCCTAACTACCTGAGGATCAACCACCAACATGAATGACACAGTGACTACCTGGACCAGGAAGTTCATGACCAATCGACCGTTCCAGAGGAAACAAATGGTCACCAATGTCCTTCACCCCGGAAAGGCAACAAAATGTACAAGACCACAATGGATGTCATCTTCATATTAATAGTTGGACTCAGAACCCATTTTGGTGGTGGTTAAACAATCGTCACCCACATTGGAGTGCAGTGGTACGATCTCAGCTCACCAAATCTCTGCCTCCCAGGCTTAAGCAATTCTCCTGCCTCAGCCTCCCCCGCAGCTAGGATTACAGGCACGCACCACTACTGCCTGGCTAATTTTTATGTTTTTAGTAGAGATGGGGTTTCACCTTGTTGGCCAGGCTGGTCTTGAACTCCTGACCTCAAATGATCCACCCGCCTTGGCCTCCCAAAGTGCTAAGATTACAGGCATGGGTCACTGTGCCCAGCCTTTTCTGTATTAAATTTTTTAAAACACAACATTTAAAATAATCAAGTCATTCTTTTTGAATCTACTTTGTATTATAGGTATCCAAATACTCACCTATTCTCTCTCACATGATGACAAACTCGTTGAAATGTCATTTCATTTTGTGGCTCCAGCCCCAGGGATTCTGAGTCTGATTCTAAAGGGCCTGCATGCAGAGCAAGCAAGCCGCCTGGATGATTCTCTTACAGGTGTTTTAAGGGCATCAGTTTGAGACACCCTGATGCAAAAGAACGAACCCTCAAGGAAGTTGGCTGTACATGTATTTTCCTTCCTAGCACAGGAAAAGACAGAAAGATTATCCAATCAGTACCACTCATAGCACCTGATTATATATGTATGAGGAATTCAGAAATGGTTTGATCAAGGTTGAAGACCTAAAAAGTAGCTTTTCTCTCAGACACCAAGTCCCCATCTCATGCGTGGTTGAGTTAGTAGAATCTGAGGATGATGCTTCTTCCTCCAGGATTGGTATCCTATGGTTTTTGTTGTTCAGTAAATGAAGTACCTCCATCCCCCAACATCCCCAAGCTCAATTCCAGTTTCCTCACATACACTTTTTTTTTTATTTTTTTTTTGAGACAGAGTCTCGCTCTGTCACCCAGGCTGGAATACTGTGCAGTGGTGCAACCTCAGCTCACTGCAACCTCCACCTCCCAGGTTCAAGTGATTCTCCTGCCTCGGGCTCCTGAGTAGCTGGCATTACAGGCATGCACCATCACGCCTGGCTAATTTTTGTATTTTTAGTAGAGATGAGGTTTCATCATGTCGTCCAGGCTTGTCTCAAACTCTTGGCCTCAAGTGATCCACCTACCTCAGCCTCCCAAGTGCTAAGATTACAGGTGTGAGCCACCGTGCCCAGCCCCCTCACTTACACTTTTACAGAAGATCTGATCATACCCACTCCGCAGAAGTCAGAATGGCCCCCACATGGTGTTAAACGGGAGTGAAAACTTGAGTTCAATCAACTGAGGGTGACACAGAAACATTTCCCCCAAAACGCTTTTGGCAGCTCTGCTGATCCATAACCTGGCTCCATTTCAGGGCAAGACCTCCACTTAAGCTGCACTGGCTTCCACTAGAGTAAATCACATTAACTCATGGCAAACACAACTGAAGGGCAAAAAGATTCTTTTTAAAAGGATTTTAGTCTCTCACTTACCAACACACCCTGGCCTCCCTAGAGCCGGACTCCATTCAGCACCTGTTCCACTGAGCACCCACTGAAAGCTCAGCTCATGAGCTGAGATGACCCAGACATCAAGGAGTTTACAATCCAGGGGAAGAACAGACCTGAATACAAGTGATGACAATACAAGACGGAGTCAAAGAGCCCAACTTGAAGTATCAGCAGAATAGCACCAAAGACTAGTTCCCAACCCAGCTCCCAGCGCCAGAGCCAGAGCCATGCTGGCTGCATGAGATCAGCTGGGAGCTTTTGCAAACCTAGGTCCTAGCTAAGCCCCTAATCATCAGACTGGCAGTCACTGGGAGTGAGCTCCAGGAACTCTTTTATTTAATAAGCACCCACACACACATGATTCTGATGTTCCTAAGGGTTGTAGAAACATGGAACTATAGAAAACACTTAAAAAAAAAAGGCACTAAAAGAAACCTATAAATATTCACTACAATCCCAGGCATCATGAGGACACTCCACGTGCACTATTTACAATACTTAGAATATCCTGCAAGGGAAGCATTCATTCATGACGATGGGCTTTATTGGGATCAGAGCCAGCCCTGGGAATATTTGAACCCGCGCTGAAAGTCACCCCTTCCTCCCCACAGGAGGGGGCTAACATTAAGGAGCAGGGACCAGATGGGAAATGGAGTGTCCTTTTATTATGAGACCACAGTGAGAGACTTTTTTTTTTTCCAGAGTCTTGTTCTTGCCACCCAGGCTGGCGTCCAGTGGTGCAATCTCAGCTCACTGCAACTTCTGCCTCCCGGGTTCAAGTGATTCTCCTGCCTCAGCCTCCTGAATAGCTGGGACTATAGGCACCCGCCACCACACCTGACTAATTTTCGTATTTTTAATAGAGACAGGGTTTCACCATGTTGGTCAGGATGGTCTTGATCTCTTGACCTCATGATCCGCCTACCTTGGCCTCCCAAAGTGCTGGGATTACAGATGTGAGCCACCACGCCTAGCCTCAGACTTTCAAGTAAAGCCACAATGGACCACAGAGCTTAGACATCAGGGCTAACATGGAATCTCTGTCATTAAATCTTGAGATCTTACTATCTTTTGTCAAAGAAAAAAATAATCACAAATGACATTTTGAGGACAAGGCATCTGAATGTAAACTTGATCTTAGAGGATATTAAGGAATTACTGGTAATTTGATTAGGTATGACAATGATCATATAAAAAGTGCCCTCATGTTTTTAGAGGGAAAGTAAATTACGTAGGGATGAATATCAGGATGCAATTACATAACTACTGTCAACTATTTTGTAAATACTTCAGAAAAACAAATGAAGTAAATATTGCAAATGTTAATAGTTTTTAAATCTATGTGATGGGTATATGATAGCTCATTAAACTGGTGTCTCTACTTTTATGTTTATTGAAAAGTTTTTGTAATAATAATAAAAAAAAAACTTTGGCCAGGCACAGCAGCTCATGCCTGTAATCTCAGCACTTTGGGAGGCCGAGGTGGATGGAGGACTGCTTGAGCCCAGCAGTTTGAGACCAGCCTAGGCAACATGGTGAAACCTCATCTCTACAAAAAATAGACAAATTAGTCAGGCATGGTGGTGTGCATCTGCAGTCCCAGCTACTCAGGAGGCTGAGGTGGGAGGATCACCTGAGCCCAGAAGGTCAAGGCTGCAGTGAGCCAAGGTCACGCCACTGCACTTCAGCCTGGGCGACAGACCCTGTCTCAAACAAACAAGCAAACAAAAACCCTCTTGATCCCATTTCCCAAAAAACGATTTTTTTGAGATCTTATCATCTCCTGGCTTGGTGCAGAGTACAGGAAATCGAGACAAAGTACAACACACAAGGAATAAGGAGGGAGGGAAGCGTGGGGGAGGCTGACATCGTGGACTCTCCCAGCTCAGTCGACCCATGCGCCTTCCTTCATGGAAGAAAGGAATGGAAGATGAATCATGCCTTCAGCACAGAGAGACCTTCCTCACTAGTAAATGCGCCTCCAGAAATGTCCAAGAACTCAGTGCCAGAGCCAGGCTGGCTGCATGAGAATCACCTGCGAGCTTTTGCAAACATAGGCCCCTACTGGCTCCAAATGTATTCGTCTCTTGGAGAGGAGGAGAGAGGCAGAACAAGGAACAGGATGGGAAGAAACCAGCCTTGTGCACAGGAGGATGCTGGGATTCCTCCTGCAAGTTTAGCGCAATGCAGCCTATTTTACAAGGTCACAGAAGCTCAGAGAGGTAAACCTGCCCAGGTTCTCATAGCTTGTAAGTGACAAAACAAAACCCGCCCAAGTCTCTGTCTCTAGAGATATTTCCACTTGCTTTAACTCTGGAGCTGTCTTAGTTGTAAAGACAGATTCCACTCCTCACTCACTTTTGTTTGCAGATATTGCCTAAGGTCCCTTGTGAATATTTAGGTCACGGCTTTTTTTTTTTTTTTTTTTGAGTTTTTTTTTTGTTTGTTTGTTTGTTTTTAAAAAAGCAATCTTGTAGAAAGAACCCAAAGTGGCTCCCCATTTTAAGACTCTGCAAACAGGGAGACCAGAGTCTGGAGTCCCGGTCTGATTTCCACACTTTCCTTAGATTTCCCTGTGTGTAAAATCCAACAACAATCTTTGACAAATTGCCTCCCCCAGGGGAGAGATGGAGGAAGTGTTAACTTTGCTTTTTTTTTTCTTTTTTCAGACAGAGCCTCACTCTGTTGCCCAGGATGGAGTGCAGTGGTGCAATTTTGGCTCACTGCAACCTCTGCCTCCTGAGCTCAAATGATTCTTGTGCCTCAGCCTCCCGAATAGGTGGGACTACAGACAGATGCCACCACACCTGGCTAATTTTTGTACTTTTAGTAGAGATGGGGTTTCGCATATTGGCCAGGCTGGTTTCGAAATCCTGGCCTCAAATGATCCACCCCGCTCAGCCTCTCAAAGTGCTAGAACTACTATAGTCATGAGCCACCATGCCCAGCCACTTTGCTATTTTTTTAATAGACAGCTTCGAGGTCCAGTATGATTTCACAGATTAGGAAACATCACAGGCAAAGAAGAACACTTTGCATTCAAATAGTAGAATGTTTTTGTTTTCAAGGAGCTCTCACCTGCCATCTAATCTTGTCTTCCTAGCAGTCCTGGGAGAGAAGCAGATGTGGTTTCCAATCCCACTTTCCAAAAGAGGAGACTGAGGCAGAGGCTTTGCAGATACACAGAGGACATGTGAGGACAGGTGAAGGTCATGATCATTGTCAGCGCCCTCCCCCAACTTGACATTCCCAGACCTAGTGGACTTCCAAACAGAGGAGACAGAAGAACTGATCAATCAATTCTGCCATGGGTGCCAGGACCCAATTTTTCCCTGGCTAACTCGGTCACATCCTGTCTGGGATCTCCAACTACTACCCATCCCACAAGTCTCAGCTAAAACAGGAATTCAATGAGGAACATTTTTCTGAGGCTCCAGGATTGGGCCAGGCCCTCTCCATGGCTGTCTGACCTTCCCCTAATGCAGAACTTAGCGTCTGTATGTCACTATTGGTTCAAACATGTGCCTTTCATATGCTCTCCACGTTATCTGCAGCATCTGCCAAGAATAATAATGAATGGTAAAACCTAATCTCTATTGAGTGCCGATGATGCACTTTTAATGTGACATCTTATTTAATCCTCACTATATCTGCAAGAGTAGAAGCTATTAATAGCCAATTTTCAGATAAGAAAGTCAAAGCACAGTTTCTATAACTTACCCAAGCAGCTAGCTAGGAGGCAGCTCAGTTTGAGCCCAGGGAATCATATTCCAGAGATCATGTTCTCAATTACTAGAGCAGGTACCTCCCCAGAATCTAGCAGGTGGTTAACGAGTCTTTGTGGAATAAATGAACAGAAGGACAACAGATGGATGGATACATAGGTGGATGGGTGGATAATGGGTGGGCGGGCAGGTGGACGAATGAATGGATGGTTGAGTCAGTGAAGGGATGGCTGAGTGGGTGGAGAAATGGATGAGTGGGTGAGGGGTTGGAGGGATAAATGGATGGATGGGTGGGTGGATAGATGGTTAGATGAGTAAACGGGTGGATAGATGCATGGGTGAGTGGATGGATAGAGGGTGGTGGTGGATGGGTAGGTGGATGATAGCTGGGTGTATAAGAGAGTGGGTTGGATGGATAGATTGGTGGGTGGGTAGATAGATGGGTGGGTGGTTGGATGTATGCATGTCTGGATGGATGGATGGATGGACGGATGGAAGGAAGGAAGGGTGGATGGGTGGATGGATGGATGGACAGATGAACAGATAGACTTGGGCATTTATTCGGGGTCCTCCAAAGAATTGAGTTATTTCCCTAGGGTGTCTCATCACCTGCAGGTAGGTGGGCAAGGGGGCTTGCCTCTGTAATACTCATGATTATGGGTAGTGCTCAGCCTTAGTCACCACTCTCAGAACACTTTATTGACTAGGAAAGTCAAAACTGGCATTGATAACTAACGGAAATTGCAGCTAAAACTAACAGAAGATGTTGAGCTGATGACAGCTGGGCAACCAATAATCAATAACTTGGCTGTGTCATGTTACTGCCATGCTGGGCAGGTAGAACCAGGGGTTCCTTAATCCCTCCTTCACATTAAGGATGCTTATCAAGACTTCCCCAACCATGGAGACAGGGATATTATCAAATACTTGCAGTTCACCCCAAAAGGCTCACCCTCTTCGTTCCACCTGCACATGACCTTCAGCTCAAAGACATTTCCAGTCCTCCAGGTCAGCCCTTCTTCCAGCCTTTGAATTAACCCTGATGACTGCCTGCCCATTAAGTGTCTTCACCATTCATCACATAGCCTTTTCCAAGGCTTTCCTTCAATCCAGCCCTCACTAAACGCTGGAACTGTTGTTGACAAAATCCAGAACAAGCTGGGTGGGGGATGCAGTTGGGAAGCAGGCTGTAGTAATGGGGAAAAATTCTAAGCAATCTCGAACACAGAAAATAAACTGAACAGGTAAGAGAGAGGCAGTCAAGAGAAGAAGTGTGAATTTTGCATAACTGAAGCTGAAGAAGATCGGGGGGCATGGCAGACCACAAGATAAATATGATAAAGACTCCTTTTTAAAAAAGTATAAACATCCACCCTTTCCTACTGACAACTGTGCTTCAAATATTGCTAAGGTCTTTACTAAAGGTGAGTCAGAAAAACTGGGTATTTTATGCAATACAGTAAGAAGGCCCATAGGCAAGTATGTTCCTGACACCACC
Source organism: Homo sapiens (assembly GCF_000001405.40). Classification (NCBI taxonomy): domain Eukaryota; kingdom Metazoa; phylum Chordata; class Mammalia; order Primates; family Hominidae; genus Homo; species Homo sapiens. The sequence continues at coordinate 5,782,567 of NW_018654717.1, forward strand.
TTCTAGGATAAGCCCTGAGATTCTGGTTACTCCTATTCTAAACTTGTCTCTCACTCCTGCTGTTGGAGAGCTACCATGAGAGAAGAACCATAGTGAAGTGGTTAAGAGTGTGCACCCAGCGACTGGCCAGATGACCACAAACCATCACTATCTAATACTGAGCAAGTTACATAATGTTTCCGAGCCTCAACTTTCTCATCTGTAAAATGGGTATGTTGTCATTCATTAATCAAATTCTAGGTGAGCATATACTAAACACCAGAGGCACAAATGAGAATCAGAACAGGCACGTCCCTGGCCCTTATGGTGACCACAGTCTTGAAGGGGAAGGATGACACGCAGAGAAATAGGAAGCCATAGCTGAGCTAGTTTCTACCACAGAGAGGCAGCTGGTGTCATGAAAGCAGATAACAGGGGGTTACTGGGACTGAGTCAGTGTGGCCAGAAGTCCCTGAGGATGTAGTGACTCCAGTGTCAGATGAGACCGTGACCAGGTGAAGAAGCAGGGAGAGGGAAAATTTTTCAGGCAGAAAGAGCAGGATGTGCAAAGACCCTATGGCAGAAAGAAAACAAAGGAAGTGCAAGAGTCTGAAAGAGGCCAGAGAGAACAAGTGAAAATATGGATAATCACAGCACCGACCTCATACAGGACTTGCAAGAAATCGAGACCCTGTCTGTAACAGATTCAGCAATGACTAAATAGAAACTATCTCCTAAAAGCACACGATGAGGTTCCTTGGTGGTATTTCCCACATGGGGCTGCCATGCATTCAGAGGCCAAGTTCAACCTGTCTGTAGACAACCTCCAAGCCAGCTGGACACACATACACCCTCAGGCTCAGGATACCCAGGACAGAGTCCTGGATGCTTGAAGTCATGATAAGTATGCAGAATGACACAGAATTCCAGCCAGGCGTGGTGGCTCATGCCTGTAATCCCAGCACTTTGGGAGGCCGAGGTGGATCACCTGAGGTCAGGAGTTCAAGACCAACCTGACCAACATGGTGAAACTCCCTCTCTACTAAAAATACAAAAAAAAATTTAGCTGGGTGTGGTTGTGGGTGCCTGTAGTCCCAGCTACTCAGGAGGCTGAGGCAGGAGAATCGTTTGAACCAAGGAGGCAGAGACTGCAGTGAACTGAGATTGCACCATTGCACTCCAGCCTGCGCAACAAAAGTGAAACTCCGTCTCAAAAAAGAAAAAAAAATGACACCGAATTTGCTAAAGGGGGAGAAAGGGCTTTCTTCCAAAGCTGGGCCTGGTTTCTACAGAGAGTCTTTCACATGAAAATTAAGCAGCTCTTTGCAAGCACCTCAGAGGAGAACCCCTCACCCTGATGAATCAGGCACAGGGGCGGATCCAAGACAACTGGCTGCGTGCATGTGAACAAGCCTATGGTGGAAAGGCAGTGCTTTATTGTTTGGGGTGGTTTAATCACCAGGAGGGAGAAGCTTCTAAAGCAGCATTCAGAGGTGGCTGTTGCCTGGGTTTTCTGGAAGGGGGAGGTGGTGAGGATGAGGGCTTCCCTTTCATCTGCAGGCCCCTTGCAGAAGGAGCTGGGGAAAGCTTTGCAACCATCTGCACACTTTGCCATCTTGTCTGGCTGGGATGCCGAGCTCCAGATGGGGGCAGATGGGATAGCTCTTGCCACCGTATTTGGAGAGAGATGTCAGGGAAGTCAGCCCCCGTGGAGAAGACAGGAGCAGGCAAGTGCTGGACAGTGCTGCCCAGGTCCCTGGGGCTGAAGTGTCCAACCCCACAGCCTCTAGGTGCCACTAAAGCAGCCCAAGAGGATCTTCTCTGTCCATCTCCATCCTGGCACCTACAGACACTTGGAGAGAGTCCTTCACATGGGAACTCACAAATGCACACTGATAACCCCCACACGGAACTCTCATACGTAGCAAGTGAAAAGAGAGGATGCCAGTTTAACTTGAATTTCAGATAAACAACAAATCATTTTTTAGGGTAAGCAGGTCCCAAATATTGCATGGGATATATTTGCACCAAAAAAAAAAAAAAAAAAAAAAGGTTAATGAGAAATTCAGGTTTAATTGGACCTCCTGTATTTTACCTGGCAAGCCTAACCCTGCATAAACACAACCTCGAGCTTGAAACTCACAGAGAAGACATGGCCGTGCTCACACACGTGCACAAACCCATATGCCTTACAGAGTCAACGGCTGTGATGAGGGTCCAGACCCTTGCACACTTTTCTGTCTTCTGTCTGGGCTCAGAGTAAACAGGGGGTCACCTGGAATCCACGTCTAAGCTGGGCTTGGAGGTGTCCTAATGAAGCAGGATGCTGTCCTGCAATTCCCCAGCTCAGCTAGGACTGTAGCCAGGCCTAGCTTCCAGTCTCGGGCCTAGAACAAACAGCACAGCCCCAGACCTTGGCAAGAAGGTTTCATCTCAAAGGCCACTGGTGCAGGAACTATTAGAAGCCCCACTTCTTTCCTCTGTTTCTGCTGCCATTGCCCCAGTCTCTGACCCTGACACTCAATCACTCTATTATCACAGCAGGTACTAGGGGTGGCTCTGGGCTCGGCACTAAAGACATTGACCCTGGTAAAGCCACAGTCTAGCAATGACAGTCAACCACCTATCAGCAACAGCCCTGCCCCACACGTGCTGACTGCGCACAAGGCCGGCGCTGTGAACGTGCTCTCAACAGTGATCTCACTGAAACCTCATGGCAGCTCTAGGATGCAGACAGTAGCATCACATTATCCCCATTTTACTTTTGAGGAAACTGAGGCCTGAAGAAGGCAAATGCAGGCCTCGAGATTTGCAGTAACATTGCCAGGAATGTTTGAGAAAGCAAACTTCTCCAGAGTGAGGCAGTCTGCCAGAGCTCAGAAGCCAGAGTCCCTGTTAGCAGGGGCTGGGGGGACTGTGGGGTGGAGGCAGACAAGCGGGTAGGGGCTGGAACCCCCAGGACACCAGGGTGCAAACTGGTGTGAGTAAAAGAAAGAGGGGCTGTCATGCCATCATCTGCAGAAGATGATGTCTACAGAGGACAGTACCATGTGAGCCCTTGGGGAGCTGGATGACCGGATGGAGTTTTGCACAGGATGCAAATTGAGCACAGATCCCCCTCTGACCTAGACAGCCCACCTCCAGGAACATCTCACAGAAATGCAGGCACAGAACACCAAGTGATGTGTGTGAGGAAATTCATCAGAACACCGTCTGTGATTGGGAAAAGGCGGAAACCATCCAAAGACGTCTCGGTGCAGGGCTGGTTAAACGAAGCGTGGTGCATCCACACGTCAGAATAACTGCAGGGAGAAGAAGGTGGTACCCAGGTTCCAACGTGAGACAATGTCAAAGACATGCTGCCTGAAAAACAGGCTTTCCAAAGAATAAATATAGCATTATTGCATTTTTACTTTTTTAAAAAGATTACAATAAACACTTATGTGCAAATACATGTGCTTGTGTGCACAGAGGAAAAAGCTGTGGACAGAAACAGAAAACCAAACACGGTGTGTTCTCACTCATAAGTGGGAGTTGAACAATGAGAACACATGGACACAGGGAGGGGAACATCACACACCGGGGGCCATCGGGGGTGGGGGACAAGGCGAGGGAGAGCGTTAGGTCAAATACCTAATGCATGCAGGGCTTAAAACCTAGATGACGGGTTGATAGGTGCAGCAAACCACCATGGCACATGTATATCTATGTAACAAACCTGCACATTCTGCACATGTATCTCAGAACGTAGAATAAAAAATAAAAAGAAATCAAAGAAAAAGGTGGGGAGAGGTATACCCCAACCCTTCCCAGTGTTACCTCTGAGATGCAAGATCAAGAAAAGCAAATCAAGAGGTAGTTTTGCTTTCTGTTTTCTATATAATTTTTTTTTTTTTTTTTTTTTTTGGAGACATAGTCTCACTCTATTGCCCAGTCTGGAGTCCAGGGACACAATCTCGGCTCACTGCAACCTCCTCCTCACCGCAACCTCCTCCTCACTACAACCTCCTCCTCAGTGCAACCTCCTTCTCACTGCGACCTCCTCACTGCGACCTCCTCCTCACTGCAACCTCCTCCTCACTGCAACCTCCTACTCATTGCAACCTGCTCCTCACTACAACCTCCTCCTCACTGCAACCTCCTCCTCACTGCGACCTCCTCCTCACTGCAACCTCCTCCTTACTGCGACCTCCTCCTCACTGCAACCTCCTCCTCACTGCAACCTGCTCCTCACTACAACCTCCTCCTCACTGCAACCTCCTCCTCATTGCAACCTGCTCCTCACTGCAACCTGCTCCTTCTGGGTTCAAGGGATTCTCTTGCTTCAGCCTCCCAAATAACTAGGATTACAGGCATGCACCACCAAGCCCGACTAACTTTTGTATTTTTTGTAGAGACAGGGTTTCACTATTTTGGCCACCTGGTCTCAAACTCCTGGCCTGCCCACCTTAGCCTCCAAAAGTCCTGGGATTACAGGTGTGAGCCACCACGCCTGGCCTGCATTGCTTGAATTCTCAGACCACATGGACCCTCTCATCTGGCCCAATTGCAAGAGTCCAAGGCAGGAAAGGCAGAAGGCAGGGGCTTACCCCTCCATCAGGACAACATAGAACGGAGTCAAAAAAGGAAAACATGAATGGATCAGTCAAGAGGGCCGTGCACATGCCCTCCCAGGCACCTACACCTTGCAACTTAAGCCGACAGCCTTTCAAGCCACAGAGTCTTCCTCCCCAGAGACTAGCAAGGACACAAGCCCTGGCCAGGCCCTTCCAGGAAGATGTTCTGAGGGACAAGGTGGGGGGCAGAGTCAGGGGTGGCAGGAGGAAAGGGGGACACGAAGCCAAGGAAACCAGGGCACCCCATGCTTCCTGAAGGCAACTAGAAAGGGCGCCACACAGAGCCCCTGTGTACCTGTTTCTACAACAGCCTGAACACAAGGAAAAGTAAAACAAGGAAAATACACAAAGCCCAGCCTCACCTGGAGCAGGTTAAATAAAGGTGTGTGAATTTTCCTCATGTCCTTTGGAATTGGAAATCCAAGCTTCCTCTTCTGTGCCTTTAAGGTCCTGGCCGCTGCCCCACAGCTCCCTTCTCTTCCCTCCTCCTCCTGTCCTATTTTTTTTTTTTTTTTTTTTTTTTTTGAGATGGAATCTTGCTCTGTTGCCCAGGCTGGAGTACAGTGGCACAATCTCAGCTCACTGCAACCTCCACCTTCCGGGTTCAAGCAATTCTCGTGGCTCAGCTTCCCGAGTAGCTGGGATTATAGGTGTCACCATGTCCGGCTAATTATTGTATTTTTAGTAGAGACAGGTTTTCACCATATTGGCCAGTCTGGTCTCAAACTCCTGGCCTCAGGTGATCCGCCCACCTCGGCCTCCCAAAGTGCTGGGATTACAGATGTGAGCCACCATGCCGGACCCTCTTGTCCTAACTCTGCCATCTCTTTGCAGTCTCCCCTGAGCAGCTTTTCCTGGGCCCGCACTGCCCCCCTCCAGAGCTGCACTCTCAAACCACCCCCCAATGCCCCCTGGCCCTGGCTCCTGCCCCGGGGCTCTGATCCTCAGCTGGTGAGGTCTAGAGGGTCAGAGGGAGCCAGACTCCTTAGAGAAGCTAAGGCGGGAGACCTGTGCTGGGCTGTGGTTAAACTGCCCCCTTCCAGCTGGGGCCGAATAGAAAGTGAAAGACTGCCTCCAGAATACAGGGCCCTCAGAGGCCCTGGGGATCTGTGCTGGCAGCCAGGAGGACTGTCACCTCAGTGCAGTTGCCTGCAAGGAGGGCTGTGCAGGAAGCTGCATGTTGCTCAGAGAACAAAAAAAGGAAATTAAATGCACCATCTCCTTATTAGCATGAGCTTTTGAGGCAGACACTTAAATATGCATGCCTAGACATTGTAAAACTTGGGGGAAATGTTAATTTCAATAACGCCACTTCTTGTGCTTGCAGAAACCATTCTTTTATCTCCCTTCCTAGTCATTTGCGGGCTCCATCCCTCAGAGTGGCAGCGCCAAGACAGCCGGCCTCACTGGGTTTTGTAAGCTGTGCAAGGTGAGATCCCAAGCCCTGGCCTGGAGACCCATCTTAGGAAAATGTTAGAACAGGGCAACAAGTTGCCATTTCCTCCCTCCTTTCTCTTCCCCATACAAAAATCAGAAAGCACCCTTGCCCAGTGCCCAGCCACAGTGAGGAAGAAACCCCACACAAAATCCTGGGTTGTGCCCCTGATACCAAAGACCTGCAAAATTGGGCCTCAACTGCTGCAACCTCAGCCCAGACTTGTGTACATTTCAAGGGTGGCTGGACTCATGGCGGCCTGGGACGTCAGAGTGGTACGAAGTCCTCTTAACCTAAGACTGTCAGGGTACAAGGATCAGCATTTTTTTCCTTTCTCTCCAGGGCCAGATGGTAAATAGTTGAGCTTTGCAGGCCATAGGTCTCTGTCCCAAATATTCAACTCTCCATTGTAGCAGGAAAGCAGCCACAGACAATAGGTACTGAAATGGGTGTGGCTGTGTTCCAATAAAACTTTATTTGTGTGAACAGGCAGGGGGCTGGTTCTGGCCTGTGGGCTATAGCCTGCCTCCTCTGCTACAGGCTGATCTCCAAGGACCCATCCATCTTGTAGACCAGCAGCTGGCACACAGGAGCTGCTCAGATACTTGAAGGAGGAATGGAGAAGGCAAACAGCCCCCAGTGTGCAGATGTGAGGGTCTCCCAGCGGCACCATCCTTCGCCATCTCATGCCGAGGGACAAAGCCAGAGCAGGGCTCTCCACCAAGGCTGGGTTCTCCTCCAAGGAAATGTGATAACAGGACAGAAAGCATCGTGGAAGGATAGGGGCTTTGGAGTCCCACAAACCACAGTTTGCAGGACCAGGAGCATCCTGCACTTCCTTGCACACATCCTGGGTGGGTACTGGAGCATCTAGACTTAGAGTGAATCTTCTCCCCATCCTCCCCCAACTGGCCTCCATTAAACTTCCAGCAACAATGTGGTGTATGTACACAATGGAATACTATTCAGCCTTCAAAAAGAAGGAAATCCTGCCATTTGAGACAAATGGATGAGCCTGGAGGATATTATGTTAAGTGAAATAAGCCAGGCACAGAACGACAAATACCACATGATCTCACTTACATGTGGAATCTAAAAAAGTTGAACTCGGCCAGGCATGGTGGCTCACGCTTGTAATCACAGCACTTTGGGAGGCTGAGACCAGCAGATTGCTTGAGCCCAGGAGTTCGAGACCAGCCTGCATAACATAGCAATACCCCATCTCTACAAAAAATACAAAAATTAGTGGAGCATGGTAGTGCATGCCTGTACTCCCAGATACTCAGGAGGCTGAGGTGGAAGGATTGATTGAACTTGGGACGTCAAGGCTGCAGTGAGCCATGATCACAACCCTGCACTACAGCCTGGGCAATAGAAGGAGATTTTCTCAAAAAAAAAGAAAAAAAAAAAAGAGAAGAAAAAAGTTGAATTCACAGAAGCAGAGTAGAATGATGGTTGCCAGGGTGGGGAAGTGGGCAGATGCCAAAGGACACAGAATGTCATTTTTAGAGAAGAAGAATAAGTTCAGGAGATCCATGGGACAACAAGGTACCTATAGTTAATAACAACATATCATACACTTGGAAATCACTAAGAGAGTAGATTGTTTAAGTGTTCTCACCCCAAAAAGTAAGTCTGGGAGGTGATATGTTATTTAGCTTGATTTAGCCATTTCATAATGTATACATACCTCAATCACATCATGTTGTATACCCTCTTGTACATAATTTTTGCCAATTCAATAAATTCAACAACTCCAAAAAACAAGACATTCTCTTTACAAAAATAATTATTAAAAATAAAATTCAGAATTCTATTTTATTTATTTATTTATTTTTGAAACAGAGTCTCGCTCTGTCACCCAGGCTGGCTGAAGTACAGTGGTGCGATCTCGGCTGACTGCAACCTCTGTCTCCCAGGTGCAAACGATTCTCCTGCCTCAGCCTCCCAAGTAGCTGGGATTGCAGGTGTGTGCCATCACACCTGGCTAATTTCTGTATTTTTAGTAGAGACAGTTTTGCCATGTTGACCAGGCTGGTCTCGAACTCCTGACCTTAGGTGATCCGCCAGCCTCGGCCTCCCAAAGTGCTGGGATTACAGGTGTGAACCACTGCACCTGGACAGAATATAAAAGATTGTTTAATTCAACTAAAACATTAAAACACAGATTATTTCTATAAGTGGTAATTGTTCTAACATGTTTTGGTCAAAATAGTCTCCTTACTTATCCACAATTAAATGGTTAATTGATATTTGATTAGATTTTTATAAAGTTTTCAAATCATGATTGACTTTTCCAATGTACAGTAAAATGTGTTTGAAAATATTGCATAAAAATTAATATTTAAAAATGGTCAGGCATGGTGGCTCATGCCTGTAATCCCAGCACTTTGGGAGGCCAAGGTGGGCCGATCACTTGAGGTCAGGAGTTTGAGACCAGCCTGGCCAAACCTCATCTCTACTAAAAATACAAAAGTTAGTCAGGCATGGTGGCATGCACGTGCATTCCCAGCTACTTGGGAAGCTGAGGCAGGAGAATCGCTTGAACCTGGGAGGTGGGCTCCCCAGGCTTAAAGCAAAACCTCCATCTTGTCTGTCTCCACTCTCATCCCAGGCAATCGCGGTCATTTCCACAGCCTCAACCACTGTCTACCTGGGATGCCTCCCAAGCCCGGGTCGCCAGCCCAAACCTGCCTTCCTAGCCCCAGACCCATCTGTCCTGGCACACATTGCCCCCTGGGTCCCAACAACCTCAGCCAATGAGACCAATGCCAACTTCCTGTCCTTGCCTGACACTGTCAGCCCTGAGATCAGACTTGACCATTCACCTCCAGTACCTGATAGGTCCGTCAGTCCTTTGGAACACATCCCACGAACATTCCCCAAACCAGGCACCGGACTCCACACATCAACACCGTCACGTGAGTCACCAGCATCCCTGGCAGGGACCCCTGTCCCAGCCTCCAACTCATCTCCTTCCTGTCCCTTGAGTTCTGTGTCACATTCCAGAGGCCACAAGAAGAAAAATGACCACCTTAATGAAATTAAAAGAATTGAGAAGACATTTCTCTATGGTCCAAAATCTTTCCAACTAAGAAACACATATCAAGATCCAGCCTGCTGGCCCTGTGGTTAAATGTTCCTGAAATAATTAAAGCCCAGGGCAACACAGCCCCCGCTCCACAAGAACTCCCAGCACAGTAAGACTTGCTTCTCTACAGGGGCGTGAAATGTCCAGTGTGTACCCTGCCCCTCTCTGTCATAGCTAACAGGAATGTGCTCCGTGTCTTCTTCCTGCTCAAAGGACCGTCCACCAACCTGCGCAGGCAGCACTTTCGGCAAGGGGAGGATGGGAGAACATCCTACCATTTCCCACTTACGCACTGCATTCATCAGGAGCCTGCCTCACAAATTACAAGAGCACTACGGCAGATCCACGACGTTCCAGCGGATGGCCATGTCTTCATGTCAACTTGAAAGATCATTGCCAGGGAAATATCTATATCTCGGCAGAGAGAGCTTCAGCCTGTGTAGTCCAGCTGTGCTCAAATGGAAATCAAAAAAACCAGATGTTGGTCAAAACACCCTGTCTCAGGGAGCTGGCTCTGCAGGTCCCCAGTGTGAGAGTGAACTGGGTGGGCCACCTGACCTGCCTACCCACATCCCGGCCTCCTGGAATCCTGAACCCTGAGAACCAGGGGGATGTGGTGGGGAGCAGGCAAGTCTTGTGCAGAAAGCCAAGATGCCACCCAAATCCACTCTGCAGTCTAGGTGAGCGATATTCTGGTCTGCACCACACCAGTGCACGAGGGGATGGAGGATGGAGTCTAGACAAGCCAAATGTAAAAAGATATTGTCCACGTATTTTGTGCTTTGTCTGTGTTACAATGCGATGACAAGCCCAGTGTGCTGGCTCACACCTGTGATCTCAGCAACTTGGGAGGCCGAGGCAGGCGGATCACCTGAGGTTAGAAGTTTGAGATCAGCCTGCCCAACATGGTGAAACCCCATCTCTACTAAAAATACAAAAATTAGCCAGGTGTGGTGGTGGGCACCTGTAATCCCAGCTACTCTGGAGGCTGAGGCAGGAGAATCACTTGAGCCCAGGACGTGGAGGTTGCAGTGAGCAGAGATCATGCCACTGTACTGCAGCCTGGGCAACAGAGTAAGACTCTGTCTTAAAAAAAAATTAAATAAATAAAGGCTATGCCCAGTATTTTCCATGTACTGTCTTATTATCTCAGTAAATCGCATATAACCTTCCTATGAAAGTGTATCTCATTTATCTCCATTTTATAGATGAGAAAACTGAGGCCCCTGGAGTACTATTAACTTTCCAAGACAGCATTGCTCATAAAGGGTACAGCAGGGACCCAAGGTCGACACTCTCACCCTCAAACATTTCCACAAGTGTAGACCAATGGCTCTCAACTGGGGTGGTTTTGCTCACATACCACTCCCTTGCCCCACAGCATTGAAACCATCTGGAGACATCTGGGGTAGCCATAGCTGGGAGGGTAGAATGGCACCTAGAGGATGGAGACCACAGATGCTGCTAACCATCCTACAATACACAGGATGCCCCCCCACCACCACCACGAATGGTCTCACCCCAAATGTTGTGACTGTGCCAAAGCTGAGAAATCCAGGTTTCTCCTCAGCAAGAAAGAAAATAGCTGCAACGTGGATGCACCTCTACAGGAGCCCCAGGCTGACAATAACCTTCCTGATCTGGTTTCAACCCTGGATGCTTTTACCTGGTGCATCCATCAGGGATTTCAGGGATTCCAGTGAGTTATCACCCTCGAATGCTCGGTTCTGCCTGACAACCCAGAAATCTCTGCCAAGGTGCCTGGTCTTGGGGAAGGCTCAGCAAGCGGTTGAGGTTGACAACCAAATACCTAGGAGAGACTTTTCTCTCTCTCCAGCAGGAGCTGTGGGTCAGACACACCCTGGGATCATTCACAAGCGGTCAATAAAGGCTTGGGGAGGGGCAGATTTTCTAGGACTTCTCAATGGGGTGGGTGTTTGTGGATACACAAGAAGCCTGTGAAACTTCTGATATTGGGAGGAAATCAATGCCCCCATCCTCCACCCCCACCCCCACCTCCCCACCATAAACACATGCCCTGCAGCAGGACTTGACACTCAGGGGCTCCTGGGGTCCCGATTTATCTGCTAAAACATCCTCTAGCCACCACCGAATAAAGCAACCCCTTGCGACCCAACCACAAGAGCACTGCCTGGAAGCAACTCCAAGGGACACCAAGTCACATTAAAACCTCAGCCATCCAGAACACCAGGCCTGGTGATGAGAAAGAACATTTTATCCTTAAAAGCATCTGAATGCCCATGCTGCTTCTTGCAGAGAAAAGTCCAAAATAATCTGTTATTAAAGAACGAGGATGGTTTTGACATTTTTACCAAGCTAGTGGTCTACGCAGACAAAATCTCATAAAAGGGCACTCTGTTCTTCTTGTTCCACTCAGACATAGCCTGTGAGTGAAGAAACAGGCTCTCCTCCTCAAAGAAATCACTGCTGATCCTCGTACCAGCCTGACACTGCTTCATGGGTTCTTCAAAGAGAGTATTCCCATAGGAACTAAAAGGGAAGAGGAATGTGTCTGGCGGGCATTGTGGGCAGCAGTGGGCTTTGGGCCAAATTTTAAGTTTGAAAATCAAGATTCCCTCTTTTCAAGGGGCCGCCGGACTGAGCAGATACAGGCACCGTGAAAAGAGCGTGCCATGTTCAGATTCAGGAAACAAGGATGGTTTCTGTTCAGTTCCTCCATCATCCTTCAGGTCATGCGATTCCCATTTCCCTCTGTGGACCAAACAATTCAGTGGGGTTTCTGCCTTTTAAACATTTCATTATCAACATATCATCCTTTTAGCCTCCAGAAAGCATTTTAACATGGAGATTCTGGCTTAAGACTTTTGTGGGTCTGTCTCTCTCTCTTTTCCTTGAAACGGTCTCACTTTGTCACCCAGGCTGGAGTGCAGTGGCATGATCACAGCTCACTGCAGCCTGACCTTCTAGGCTCTAGCAATCCTCCCACCTCAGCCTCCCAAGTACTTGAGACTGCAGGCACTCACCACCATAACTGCCTTTTTTTTTTTTTTTTTTTTTTTTTTTGGTAGATATGAGGCTTCACCATGTTGCCCAGGCTGGTCTTAAACTCCTGGGCTCAAGTGATCCCCCCCTTTCGGCCTCTCAAAGTGCTGGGATTATTGGCTTCAGCCACCATGCCCAGCCAAGGACCTTGTCTCTTGTGACGTACTCCAGAACAAAACATCACTGCAAAAACACACCAAGGCATGAGTTTTAGTACTAAGTCCCACTTATCCACCATACGCTATGTGCCAGGCACAACGCTAAGTGCTTCTATGGACGAGCTTCCCTTAATCTCAGCAGCAACAACCCCAGGCAATGGAGCCTGTTGACAGATCCATTTGCCACTGAAGACAGTAAGGCTCAGAGAGGGTAAGTGGCTTGTGCCATGTCAGCCAGCTAAGGAGGGGCAGAACCAGGATGCAAACCCCAGCCGCCTGGCTCCAGAATCGCGTTCCAAAGGTCTCACTACACTTGGTCACTCCACCGCATTCTGGTATCCTGGTCTTTGGCAGAGTCCACGTAAAAGAGGGAGGTAGAGGGAGTGAGAGGGACTTCATGCAATAAAGTTTCCCGGCGTTACACTGTCACCGTAATTGTGTCCCCAACCAGGACCTCTCCCTTCTCATCCTTTCCGTGATCGGCCCTGGAAAACCTTCCAAAGAACTGTCCTCCTTCTCCCGGGATCTCAGAGAAAATTCACCTGAGTTCAGTGTCCAGGTGACCCAAGCTCTGAATGCGGTAACGTGGACGGGGAGAAGAGGATGTCACCATGAGCAAGCCTCCCAGACAGCATCCAGGAGCAACCCCAAGACTGGGCAGGAGTGCTCTGATGCCGCCCATGGCGAGGAGGGCTGCCCATGCTGCCTAAATGGGTTCAGAATGAAGACCGCCCTCTCTCCCATGTGGGGCTCATTAACCATGAATCCAATTATTAAGACAAGCTCAGCTGAGCAAATGGTCAAACATAAAAACATGTGGAAGGAACAAAGAGGTCAATCCCATTATCCATTAAAAACCATCAAGGTGGCGGCCCTCACTGAGGGGTACAGTTCTCCAGCGGGCCCTCATCTGCCCTCCAAACCCACATGCCTCCCCAGTGGAAGGCCAGCAAAGCCACACAGGAAGAGTTGGGGTAGGAAAGCCGAAAGTGAACCCCAGGAGGCCAGCCTGGCTACGCAGCCCCATCCCACACACACTGGCCCGGTGATTCAGGGGCCAACGTTTGCAGGACACCGGGAGCTCACAGGGACAGCGCCCCGGGGATGCAAGGAACTTTGCCTCTCTGTCCCTCTCTGTAGGGATGGAAAGAGGAGAGCGATTTCTGGGATGGAAGCCATCTGCCTCCTCTCAACTCTTGCTGCCCAACCAGAAAGGGAAGAAAAACAGGAAGATGCGGGACGGGTGAGGAGCTGGGTGAGCGCCGCCAGCCCGCAGTCCAGCAGAGCAGGGCTTGGCCAAGCCTGGCGCCAGGGACTTCCCCCCTACCCCACCACAGGCCCCTCGCCAGGTGAGAGGCACCGACAGGGTCCCAGACAGATGCCCCAGACAGGATGCCCAGCGCAACACCCGCCACTTCCCCTGCTAGGGGCCCCCAGGACGCGGGGCTGCCCCTCTCTTTTTGGCCAGCCGCAGAGTCCAGCGGGTCTCCCAGCCAGGGACGTCGTGGGAGAATCAGGAAGTCAAAGCCACACAGCCGAGAAGCGGCAGCTGGCGTCTCGGAGGCCGTCACGCGCTGTCACTCCGCGCCCTTCGGAGTTGCCGCTAAAATACCAACTTCAACCCGGGGCCGGCCACTGAGCCTCCCGCCGCCCCTACCGGCGCCCCCGGCACCCCCGGACCCCGGCGCCCGCGTCACTTACTCCTCTGCCTTCGCCACCTGTCTGGGTGCCGGTCTCCTCCCTGCCTGGCCGCGGCGCGTCCTCCCCGTCCTCGCAGTCCTCGGGTTCTGCGCTTCCCCCCTCCAGCTACAGCCGCAGCCTCTTCTCTTCGGGAGGGACGTCGTCCTCCTCCCTCCTGGGCCGGCCATCCCTGCCTCGGGGCTTGCCAGTGGCTTCGGAGCTGCCGGAAGGGCTGGCCACGGCTGGGGGGCTCTGCCTGCACCTGGAGAAGAGGAAGGATACGGCGCGAGCGGCCTCTCGGCGGAGCTGGGGCGTCTGAGCGCGGGCTCGGTGGGTCCGCCCGGCGAGGGGCTGGGCATAGCGGCCGGCGCGGGCTCCTACGCGGGCCGCTCCTGGCTCTCGCGCCCTCTGCTGGCCGCTCGCGCGCACCGCGGACAAGCCGGGCCCTGGCCTGCGCTGCACTCACCTGCCCCCGCCCAGGCAGTCGCTGTCCCCTGCCTGTGGCCAGACCCGCTCTGGCCAGGCCCTGCACCTCCTCCCCACCCCAGCCAGGTTGCACCCCGATGGTCTCCCTGCCCAAGGAGGAGAGAAGAGAAGGGAAGCCCCGAGAGGGTGGACATCGGCCACAGCCACCTTGTCTTTGCTCTTACCGTGTGTCTTCCATGATTTGGAGGTGGTGGGAAACCCGAGGCTGCTCAAAACTCGTGGAGAATTCCGCCTGCAGGATGACATGAATGCACCTTCCCATTGCCTACCAACAGACCTTTTTTGAGCATCACTGTGGACCAGGTGTGGTGATGGGGGAGGGGATATTGTGGAGAACATGACAGGCATTGCCTTCACCCAGTGGGGCTCAGCGCTGGGTGGGAAGGCATTGAGAATGGACATTGTCAATTGGGCCAAAGGAGGCCAAGGAGAAGTGCTGGGGGCATGGGAACTGAAAAAGACAGGAGGCTCAGCAGGTCTTGGAGCTGGGAAAGTGACAGCAGCAGCGGCTGTTCCAAAGGAAGCAACAGCTGAGAGAGGTCTCGGAGAGTTGTTCTCAGCCCAGTGGAGGGTGTTCAGGCAGAGGGAACAGCGTGTGCAAAAGCCCAGAGGCTGGGAAAGAAGCAGAAAGAGGACTGTGGGGCTGGAGCGTGGTGGGCAAGGGGAGGAAGGTGTGGTGGGCAGACAGATTGACTGGGACCCAGCTGTGCAGGGGCAGAGGAGATAGGGGATCCTTGCAGGCCCCCAGCCGGGGCTCAGGCACAGAGACAATGCAGGTGGGCAAAGGGAGGAGACGTGGAGAAATATTTTGGAGGCATGCCCTGATGAATGAGCCCAGGATGCACCCTTAGTGTCAGTGTGGAGCTCCTTCCTTGACTGTGTGATGAGCTGAACTCGGGGGTATTTTCTGGACATTGAGGTGCTACACCAAGAGCCCAGGACAGGCTAAGTGAGCACTAGCAGCTCCTGGCCCACCTCAAAAGCAGGAGAGACAGGGGAGACTGGGGAGGCCGGGGTGGAAGGGGAAGCCAGAAAGGTAGGAGAGGCCAGGGAAGCAGAGGAGGCCAGGGAGGCAATGGAGGCAGGAGAGGCTGGGGAGGTTATGTCCTTTCCATGATTCTGCCCTGGATCCTAGGCCCCTGAACTCCCTGAGCTTCCCCACCCCAAGCGCTGGAACCAGGTTGCACAATGGTCTCCCCACTAAGCTCCTGATGGCAGCCCCTACCCTGCTGTGCTCCCTATTTCAACCCTAACAGCTCTCACAGTGGGCAGCACATAGTAGGTGCTCAGGAAACACTGGTGGGAGAGCACGTGGGTCTGCTCAGCACCTTCCTCTCTCCTCCAGCTCTCCCCATCATGAAATAATTCTGATAACGACACATGGACTTTGAGACCCTCTTCTATTACTTTCCATATGCTAATGCATCTATACCTCACAGCAGCCCTGGGGGTGGGTGCAATGAGGATGCCCATTTTATAGAGGAGGAGACTGAGGTATAAAGAGGGTAAGTGACATACGCACACTACAGGGGCTGGGGCCAAGTGATCAGAGCACTCAATCCCCAAAGGCAAGGTAGATGCAGTTATCATAAAAGACAGCAGAGTCAAAGCTGCAACCAGAATAGCCTGAATCCCAGCGACCTATGGTGCCTGCTGATCGTGGCTTTCCTAGAAGTGAAATAGATAAGAAGCCTGCCACATTTCACTTGATCTGTGTTTGCAGAAGAGCTCTAGGTCAAGTGAGCAGAAGTCTAATCTGAATGATAAAAACAGAGTCACAGTCCCCAGTCAATTTCCAGACATAAGCCAGTTCACAGACCTGGAGTCCCTTGTCTGAATGAGAAGCCAGGTCCCCTCCAGAAAGGACTCTGCTCCACTGCCAAAAATTTATACTGTCAGTCTTTCTCCCAACCTGCCCCCAAGGGAATACACAGCCTTTCGCCAGGATGACTGAACAGGAGAAAAGGAACTAATGAGACCTGTGCAGGATCACTGGACACAGGCTCTGAACTGGCACTAGGGCGAGACTAGGGTCTACCAGTCAGAATAGGCATTTTGGAGGTCAGGTGAATGTTGGTGCAAGTTCATGTCACGGTAGGTCCATTGGGTCCCCAAATCCATCCTCTGGTTATATACAAAGCGGCAATGCTGAGATTCAAATTCAGGGCATCCGACATAGAGCCTGGGCTCTTACTCATGAAACATTCTGACACTAGTAACCAATTTAAAAGTGTAAACACCTCCTGGGACTAGAATGGGTCCCCAAAACAGTCATGTAAATTGGTTCTGTCAAGAATTTCCTCCCACCCCCTGCTGAGAGCCAGTTGCAAGGAGAGACTAGGGAAGGGCATTGGGTAACTTTGTTGCTAAAAGCTCTTCTGGATAAAGACGTATGGGAAAAGAAGCAAATAGAGTTCAGCAGAAGAGGTAAGAAAGTAAGTTTATGTTTGGCCAGGCACGGTGGCTCACGCCTGTAATCCCAGCACTTGAGAAGGCCGAGGCGGGCAGATCACGAGGTCAAGAGATCGGACTATCCTGGCCAACATGGTGAAGCCCCGTCTCTACTAAAAATTCAAAAATTAGATGGGCATGATGGCGCGCGCCTGTAGTCCCAGTTACTCGGTAGCCTGAGGCAGGAGAATCACTTGAACCCAGGAGGTGGAGATTGCAGTGAGCGGAGATCATGCCACTGCACTCCAACCTGGGCAACAGAGTAAGACTCTGTCTTAAAAAAAAATTAAAATAAATAAATGCTATGCGCAGCATTTTCCATGTACTGTCTTATTATCTCAGTGAATCCCATATAACCTTCCTATCAAAGTGTATCTCATTTATCTCCATTTTATAGATGAGAAAACTGAGGCCCCTGGAGTAGTATTAATTTTCCAAGACCGCATTGCTCATAAAGGGTACAGCAGGGACCCAAGCTCGACACTCTCACCCTCAAACATTTATACAAGTGTGGACCAATGGCTCTCAACTGGGGTGGTTTTGCTCACGTACCGCTCCCTTGCCCCACATTATTTGAAACCATCTGGAGACGTCTGGGGTAGCCATAGCAGGGAGGGTAGAATGGCACCTAGAGGATGGAGACCACAGATGCTGCTAACCATCCTTCAATACACAGGACAGCCCCACCACCAGCACCACGAATGGTCTCACCACAAATATTCTGACTGTGCCAAAGCTGAGAAACCCAGGTTTCTCCTCAGCAAGAAGGAAAATCCCTGCAACGTGGATGCACCTCTACAGGAGCCCCAGGCTGACAATAACCTTCCTGATCTGGTTTCAACCCTGGATACTTTTACCTGGTGCGTCCATCAGGGATTTCAGGGACTCCAGTGAGTTATCACCCTTGAATGCTCGGTTCTGCCTGACAACCCAGAAATCTCTGCCGAGGTGCCTGGTCTTGCGGAAGACTCAGCAAGTGGTTGAGGTGGACAACCAAATACCTAGGAGAGACTTTTCTCTCCCTCCAGGAGGAGCTGTGGGTCAGACACACACTGGGATCATTCACAAGCGGTCAATAAAGGCTTGAGGAGGGGCAGATTTTCTAGGCCTTCTCAATGGGGTGGGTGTTTGTGGATAAACAAGAAGCCTGTGAAACTTCTGATATTGGGAGGAAATCAATGCCCCCCCATCCACCCTCCCCCACCTCCCCACCATAAACACATGCCCTGCAGCAGGACTTGACACTCAGGGGCTCCTGGGGTCCCGATTAATCTGCTAAAACATCCTCTAGCCACCACCGAATAAAGCAACCGCTTGCCACCCAACCACAAGAGCACAGCCTGGGAGCTACTCCAAGGGACATCCAGTCACATTAAAACCTCAGCCATCCAGAGCACCAGTCCTGGTGATGAGAAAGAACATTTTATCCTTAAAAGCATCTGAATGCCCATGCTGCTTCTTGCAGAGAAAAGTCCAAAATAATCTGTTATTAAAGAACGAGGATGGTTTTGACATTTTTACCAAGCTAGTGGTCTACGCAGACAAAATCTCATAAAAGGGCACTCTGTTCTTCTTGATCCACTCAGACATGGCCTGTGAGTGAAGAAACGGGCTCTCCTCCTCAAAGAAATCACTGCTGATCCTCGTACCAGCCTGACACTGCTTCATGGGTTCTTCAAAGAGAGTATTCCCATAGGAACTAAAAGGGAAGAGGAATGTGTCTGGCGGGCATTGTGGGCAGCAGTGAGCTTTGGGCCAAATTTTAAGTTTGAAAATCAAGATTCCCTCTTTTCAAGGGGCTGCCGGACTGAGCAGATACAGGCACCGTGAAAAGAGCGTGCCATGTTCAGATTCAGGAAACAAGGATGGTTTCTGTTCAGTTCCTCCATCATCCTTCAGGTCATGCGATTCCCATTTCCCTCTGTGGACCAAACAATTCAGTGGGGTTTCTGCCTTTTAAACATTTCATTATCAACATATCATCCTTTTAGCCTCCAGAAAGCATTTTAACATGGAGATTCTGGCTTAAGACTTTTGTGGGTCTGTCTCTCTCTCTTTTCCTTGAAACGGTCTCACTTTGTCACCCAGGCTGGAGTGCAGTGGCATGATCACAGCTCACTGCAGCCTGACCTTCTAGGCTCTAGCAATCCTCCCACCTCAGCCTCCCAAGTACTTGAGACTGCAGGCACTCACCACCATAACTGCCTTTTTTTTTTTTTTTTTTTTTTTTTTTTTTTGGTAGATATGAGGCTTCACCATGTTGCCCAGGCTGGTCTTAAACTCCTGGGCTCAAGCGATCCTCCCCCTTCGGCCTCTCAAAGTGCTGGGATTATTGGCTTCAGCCACCATGCCCAGCCAAGGACCTTGTCTCTTGTGACGTACTCCAGAACAAAACATCACTGCAAAAACACATCAGGGCATGAGTTTTAGTCTTAAGTCCCACTTATCCACCATACACTATGTGCCAGGCACAACGCTAAGTGCTTCTATGGACGAGCTTCCCTTAATCTCAGCAGCAACAACCCCAGGCAATGGAGCCTGTTGACAGATCCATTTGCCACTGAAGACAGTAAGGCTCAGACAGGGTAAGTGGCTTGTGCCATGTCAGCCAGCTAAGGAGGGGCAGAACCAGGATGCAAACCCCAGCCGCCTGGCTCCAGAATCGCATTCCCAAGGTCTCACTACACTTGGCCTCTCCACCGCATTCTGGTATCCTGGTCTTTGGCAGAGTCCACGTAAAAGAGGGAGGTAGAGGGAGTGAGAGGGACTTCATGCAATAAAGTTTCCCGGCGTTACACTGCCACCATAATTGTGTCCCCGACCAGGACCTCTCCCTTCTCATCCTTTCCGTGATCGGCCCTGGAAAACCTTCCAAAGAACTGTCCTCCTTCTCCCGGGATCTCAGAGAAAATTCACCTGAGTTCAGTGTCCAGGTGACCCAAGCTCTGAATGCGGTAACGTGGACGGGGAGATGAGGATGTCACCATGAGCAAGCCTCCCAGACAGCATCCAGGAGCAACCCCAAGACTGGGCGGGGGGGCTCTGATCCTGCCCATGGCGAGGAGGGCTGCCCGTGCTGCCTAAATGGGTTCAGAATGAAGGCTGCACTCCCAACTTCAACCCGGGGACGGCCACGGAGCCTCCCGACGCCCCTTCGTCGCGTCCCCGGCACCCCCGAGCCCCCGGCACTCCCGGACCCCCGCGCCCGCATCACTTACTCCTTTGCCGTCGCCACCTGTCTGGGTGCCGGTCTCCTTCCTGCCCGGTAGCGGCGGGTCCTCCCCGTCCTCGCAGTCCTCGGGCTGTGCGCTTCCCCCCTCCAGCTACAGCCCCAGCCTCTTCTCTTCGGGAGGGACGTCCTCCTCCCCCATCCTGGGACTGCCATCCCTGCCTCGGGGCTTGCCAGTGGCTTCGGAGCTGCTGGAAGGGCTGGCCATGGCTCCGCGGGCTCTGCCTGAACTTGGGGAAGAAGAAGGACCCGGCTCAAGCGGCTTCTCGGCGGAGCTGGGGCGTCTGAGCACGGGCTCGGTGGGTCCGCGCGGCGCGGAGCTGGGTATCGGGGCCGGCCCGGGCTCCTCCGCGGGCCGCGCCTTGCTCTCTGGCGCCCTCTTCTGGCCGCTCTCGCGCACCTCTGCCACGCCGGGCCCAGGCCTGCGCAGCTGTCACATGTCCTGGCCCAGGAGGTCGCTGTCCCTTGCCCATGGACAGGTCCGCTCTGGCAATGCCCTGCACCACCTCCCCGCCCCAGCCAGGTTGCACCCCGATGGTCTCCCTGCCCAAGGAGGAGAGAAGAGAAGGGACGCCACGAGAGGGTGGACATCGGCCACAGCCACCTTGTCTTTGCTCTTACCCTGTGTCTTCCATGATTTGGAGGTGGTGGGAAACCCGAGGCTGCTCAAAACTCGTGGAGAATTCCGCCTGCAGGATGACATGAATGCACCTTCGCATTGCCTACCAACAGATCTTTTTTGAGCATCACTGTGGACCAGTCGTGGTGATGGGGGAGGGGATATTGTGGTGAACATGACAGGCATTGCCTTCACCAAGTGGGGCTCAGCGCTGGGTGGGAAGGCATTGAGAATGGACATTGTCAATTGGGCCAAAGGAGGCCAAGGAGAAGTGCTGGGGGCATGGGAACTGAAAAAGACAGGAGGCTCAGCAGGTCTTTGAGCTGGGAGAGGGACAGCAGCAGCGGCTGTTCCAAAGGAAGCAACAGCTGAGAGAGGTCTCAGAGAGTTGTTCTCAGCCCAGTGGAGGGTGTTCAGGCAGAAGGAACAGCGTGTGCAAAAGCCCAGAGGCTGGGAAAGAAGCAGAAAGAGGACTGTGGGGCTGGAGCGTGGTGGGCAACAGGAGAGAGGTGTGGTGGGCAGACAGATTGCCTGGGACCCAGCCGTGCAGGGGCAGAGGAGATAGAGGATCCTTGCAGGCCCCCAGCCGGGGTTGAGGCACAGAGACAATGCAGGTGGGCAAAGGGAGGAGACGTGGAGAAATATTTTGGAGGCATGCCCTGATGAATGAGCCCAGGATGCACCCTTAGTGTCAGTGTGGAGCTCCTTTCTTGGCTGTGTGATAAGCTGAACCCGGGGGTATTTTCTGGACATCGAAGTGCTACACCCAGAGTCCAGGACAGGCTAAGTGAGCACCAGCAGCTCCTGGCCCACCTCAAAAGCAGGAAAGACAGGGGAGACTGGGGAGGCCGGGGCGGAAGGGGAAGCCAGGAAGGCAGGAGAGGCCAGGGAACAGAGGAGGTCAGGGAGGCAGGGGAGGCAGGGGAGGCTGGGGCGGCTGTGTCCTTTCCATGATTCTGCCCTGGATCCTAGGCCCCTGTAGTCCCTGGGCTTCCCCACCCCAAGCACTGTAACCATGTTGCACAACGGTCTCCCCACTAAGCTCCTGATGGCAGCCCCTATCCTGCTGTTCTCCCTATTTCAACCCTAACAGCTCTCACAGTGGGCAGCACATAGTGAGTGCTCAGGAAACACTGGTGGGAGAGCACGTGGGTCTGCTCAGCACCTTCCTCTCTCCTCCAGCTCTCCCCTGTCACGAAATAATTCTGATAACGACACATGGGCTTTGAGACCCTCTTCTATTACCTTCCATATGCTAATCCATCTATACCTCACAGCAGCCCTGGGGGTGGGTGCAATGAGGATGCCCATTTTATAGAGGAGGAGACTGAGGTATAAAGAGGGTAAGTGACATACGCACAGTACAGGGGCTGGGGTCAAGTGATCAGAGCACTCAATCCCCAAAGGCAAGGTGGATGCAGTTACCATAAAAGACAGCAGAGTCAAAGCTGCAACCAGAATAGCCTGACTCGCAGAGACCTATGGTGCCGGCTGATCGTGGCTTTCCTAGAACTGAAATAGATAAGAAGCCTGCCACATTTTTACTTGATCTGTGTTTGAAGAAGAATTCTAGGTCAGGTGAGCAGAAGTCTAATCTGAATCATAAAAACAGAGTCACAGTCCCCCGTCAATTCCCAGACATAAGCCAGTTCACAGACCTGGAGTCCCTTGTCTGAATGGGAAGCCAGGTCCCCTCCAGAAAGGACTCTGCTCCACTGCCAAAAATTTATACTGTCAATCTTTCTCCCAGCCTGTCCCCAAGGGAATACACAGCCTTTACCAGGATGACTGAATAGGAGAAAAAGAACTAATGGGACCTGTGCAAGACCACTGGACACAGGCTCTGAACTGGCACTAGGGCGAGACTAGGGTCTACCAGTCAGAATAGGCATTTTGGAGTTCAGGTGAATGTTGGTCCAAGTTCATGTCATGGTAGATCCATTGGGTCCCCAAATCCGTCCTCTGCTTATATACAAAATGGCCATGTTGAGACTTAAATTCAGGGTATCCAACTTAGAGGCTGTGCTCTTACTCATGAAACATTCTGACACTAGTAACCAATTTAAAAATGTAAACTGCTTCCAGCAGAAGATAAGAGACACCAACAGTGAAGTCAAGCTTCCCAGACATGCTCATGCTAGATTGACCAATCCTCAGTTGACCCATAGATCCATGAAAATAAATGATTGTTGTATTAAGCCACTGAGATTTGGAGTGACTTTTTATGCAGCATTTTGTGACAACAACTAACTGATACAAGGGTCACCGTCCTTTATCTCTGTAGATTTTAACCAATTTTTAATAGCTAGATGGAGATCTTCTAGTTGCCTTTATTTATAATGAAAATGACAGTAGAACTAGTTTGGCCTGACACTACCAGTAACCTAACCAGAAATTCACAAATACTTTCTTCTCCAACCCGCCCCAACCAACCTTTTTTGTTTGTTTGTTTTTGGGTTCTCCCTCTTTGCCTAGGCTAGAGTACAAATGGTACAGTCAGAGCTCACTGTAGCCTCAAAATCCTGGGCTCAAGTGATCTTCCCCTTCAGCCTCCTATGTAGCTAAGACTACAGAAATGTGCCACCATGCCTGGCTAATTTTTTTATTCTTTGCAGAGACAGGGTCTCACTATATTGCCCAAGTTGGTTTCAAACTCCTGGCCTCAAGCAGTCCTCCTGCCTCACCCTCCCAAAGTGCTAGGATTATAGGCATGATCCACCACAACCAGCCATTTCTTCTTTATAAATGGAAACCCTATTTTATTCTGACAGTGGGTTGCTTTCTTTTTTTTTTTTTCTAAGAAAAAGTTGGCCCAGCCCCAGGGAATAAATTTTGACTGGTCTAAACAGGGTTGGCCAACTATAGACCAAGGGCCAAATCTGGCCCTCTGACTGTTTGTATAATTTAAGTTTTACTGGAATAAAACCAGGTCCATTGATTTATGCCTTGTCTACATATGCTTTTAGACTACGATGGCACCACTGCGTCACTGCAACAGAGGTTATCTAGACAAAAAGCCTAAAATATTACCGTTTGCCTCTTTATGGAAAAAGTTTGTCATTCCCTAGTCTAAGGTTTAGATTCTGAGCTTGTCATTTTAGCCTACACCCCCTTACCAGTGACTAGCTCAAAACAAGTCTGTGATTCCATTCTGACTGTTCTACTGAGGGAATTCCCCCTTCTTCTCATGTGGAGCTGATGAGGGTAAGTTGTATTAATAGGACATATGCTCAGGTTTTCTGAAAAATACTTTTATCTAGAAATGCATAGGAATATGCTAGTGCCTGAAGATTGTCTCACCTGCCTCCAGAGCTAGTGCCCACACTTACTACTGAGAGGCCTGAGGAAACGCCTGCCTACCCACCACCAGAACCTGCATACGTCACATGGAGAACTAGAGATCAGCCTGCCACACACACCACCAAGGAGCCCAGTGGCGAACCTGCCCACCTGGCCCAGTGCTGCCACTGCCAGCAACCAAAGAAGCCACATGGAGGCCCAGGGATTGGCCCACGCAGACAGGCTATCATCAGTGCCCACAAACACTGCCCATGGTCCCTAGTACTGACACACCTCGTCCACAACCACTACCACTGATGCTGAAGGACAAGACTTCCTGGCATGCCCATCCTCAGCAAAGCCTCACCACAGCCTCCAATAACAACAGCAGTCTGGCCAAGGGTGGTGGCTCACGCCAGTAATCCCCGCACTTTGAGGGGCTGAGGTGGGTAGATCATGAGGTAAGGAGTTCGAGACCAGCCTGGCCAACATGGTGAAACCCCGTCTCTACTAAAAATACAAAAATTAGCTGGGCATGGTTGCACGTGCCTATAGTCCCAGCTACTCAGGAGGCTGAGGCAGGAGAATTGCTTGAACCCGGGAGGCAGAGGTTGCAGTGAGCTGAGATTGTGTCACTGCACTCCAGCCTGGTGACAGAGCTAGACTCCATCTCAATAACCACAAAAAACAAACACTGCAGTCTAAGCCACTGAATGACTCACAGACACCACTCATGCCAATTACAGCTGAAGGAATCATATGCAGATTATACCACTGTACCCAGCGAGAATCAAAGCCAAAGTGTGATATCCAATGAACATTGTAGATACAGCTATAAGAAAAGGTCTTTCCCATATAAAAGCCAATCCATAAAGTTGGAAGAAATGACTGTTATGTCAGAGGCACAGATAGTCACATAAGGATGCAAGAAATATGAAAGAGGAAACATAACATCTCCAAAGAAGCACAATAATTCTCCAGCAACAGATCCAATGAAAAGAAAATCTATGAAATGCCTGAAAAAAAATTCAGAATAATGTTATTAAAGAAACTCAGGGAGATACAAGAGAACACAGATAATGAAT
Source organism: Homo sapiens (assembly GCF_000001405.40). NCBI lineage: Eukaryota > Metazoa > Chordata > Mammalia > Primates > Hominidae > Homo > Homo sapiens. The sequence goes on from NW_018654717.1 coordinate 5,807,699, forward strand.
AAAAAAAAAAAAAAAAAAAAAAAACAGGAAAACAATTCATGATCTGAATGACAAATTCAACAGAGATAGACAGCATAACAAAGAACCAAACACAAATCCTGGAAGAGAATAAATCATTGAAATAAATACAAAAGATAATTGACAGCTTTAACAATAGACTAGATCAAGCAAAACAAAGAATTTCTGAACCTGAAGACTAGTCTTTTAAAATAATCCAGTCAGACAAAAAGAAAGAAAAAAGACTGAAGCAAGGCTACATGACATATGGGACACATATGTGACCAAAAACTGAAATTCTGGGAGTTCTGGATGGAGATGAGATGGGTAAAGGCATAGAAAACCTATTTAATGAAATAATAACTGAAAACTTCCTGAAAGCTTCCAAATGCAGGAAGCTCAAAGCTTACCAAATAAATACAACTCAAAAAGGTCTTCTCCAAGGCACATTATGGTAAAATTGTCAAAAGACAAAGAGAAAATGCTAAAAACAGCAAGAGAAAAGCATCAAGTCACTTATAAGAGAATCTCCATCAGGCTAACAGTGGATTTCTCAGCAGAAACCTTACAGGCTAGGAGAAAAGAGGATGTATACTACAAGTAAAAAAAAAAAAAAAAAAAAAAAAAGTAAGCCAAAAATACTATACCCAGCAAAGCTATCCTTCGCAAATGAAGGAGCCTGGCACAGTGGCTCACATCTGCAATTCCAGAGACTCAAGGCTGAGGCAGGAGGACCATTTGATCCCAGGAGTTCAAGGCTGCAGTGAGCTATGATCATGCCACTGTACTCCAGCCTGGGTGACAGAGTAAGACTCCATTGCTAAAAAATAATAATAATAATAAAAGAGAAAAAGTATTTCCCAGATAAACAAAAGACTGTTTGTTTGTGTCTTGTTTGTTGTGGTCCTACAAGAAATGTTTAAGGCAGTCCTACATTGGGAAGCTAAAGAACAATATCTACCATCATGAAAATACATGAAAGTATAAAACTCACTGCTAGTTCAGACACACAAAGAAGATTCAAACATCACCACTAAAGAAAACCACCAAACTGCAACCATAAATAATGAGAGAAAAAAGGAACAAAGGTGTATTAGTCTGTTTTCACACTGCTGATAAAGACATACCTGACTGAGACTGAGCAATTTACAAAAGAAAGAGGTTTAATGGACGTACACTTCCACATAGCTGAGGAAGCCTAAGAATCACGTTGGAAGGCAAGAAGAAGCAAGTCATGTCTCACATGGATGGCACCTGGCAAAGGGAGAGCTTCTGCAGAGAAACTACCCTTTTCAAAAACATCAGAACTTCTGAGACGTATTCACTATCATGAGAACAGCATGGGAAAGACCTGCCCCCATGACTCAATTACTTCCCACCAGGTCCCTCCCACAACATGTGGGAATTCAAGATGAGATTTGGGTGGGGATAAAATCAAACCATATCATTCTGCCCCTGGCCCTTCCCAAATCTCATATCCTCACATTTCAAAACCAATCATGCCTTCCCAACAGTCCCCCAAAGTCTTAACTAAGTTAAGCATTAACTCAAAAGTCCACAGTCCAACGTCTCATGTGAGACAAGGCAAATCCCTTCTGCCTATGAGCATGTAAAATCAAAAACAAGTTAGTTACTTCCTAGATACTATGGGGGTATAGGCATTGGGTAAACACAGTCATTCCAAATGGCAGAAAATTGCCAAAACAAAGGGGCTACAGGACCCATTCAAGCCCAAAATCCAGTGGGGCAGTCAAATCTCAAAGCTCCAAAATGATCTCCTTTGACTCCATGTCTCACATGCAGGTCATGCTGATGTAAGAGGTGGGCTCCCATGGCCTTGGGAGAAAAAAGGCCACAGCTCCACTCCTGTGGCTTTGTAGGGTTTAAATCCCCCCTGGCTCCTTTCACGGGTTGGCATTGAGTGTCTGCAGCTTTTCCAGGCACACAGTGCAAGCTGTCAGTGAATCCACCATTCTGGGGTCTGGAGGATGGTGGCCCTCTTCTCAAAGCTCCACTAGGTGGCGCTGCAGTAGGGACTCTATGTGGGGGCTCTGACCCCACATTTCCCCTCTGCACTGCCCTAGTACAGGTTCTCCATGAGTGCCCTGCCCCTGCAGCAAACTCCTGCCTGGATATCTAGGCATTTCCTTACACCTTCTGAAATCTAGGCAGCAGTTCCCAAACCTCAATTATTGACTTCTGTGCACCCACAGGCTCAACACTATGTGGAAGCTGCTAAGGCTTGGGGCTTGCACCCTCTGAAGCCACAGCCCACGTTGTACTTTGGCTCCTTTTAGCTGCAGCTGGAGTGGCTAGGACTCTGGCACCCTAGGCTGCTCACAGCAGGGGTCCCTGGGTCCAGCCCACAAAACCATCTTTTCTTCCTAGGCCTCTGGACCTTTGATGGGAGGGGCTGCCATGAAGACCTGTGACATGCCCTGGAGACATTTTCCCCATTGTCTTGGGGATTCACATTTGACTCCTCGTTACTTAAACAAACTTCTGCAGCTAGATCGAATTTTTCTTGAGAAAATGGGATTTTCTTTTCTATCGCATTGTCAGGCTGCAGATTTTCCAAACTTTCATGCTCTGCTTCCCTTACAAAACTGAGGGCCTTTAACAGCACCCAAGTCATCTCTTGAATGCTTTGCTGCTTAGAAATTTCTTTTATCAGATACCCTAAATCATCTCTCTCAAGTTCAAAACTACACAAATCTCTACAGCAGGGGCAAAAAGCCACCAGTCTCTTTGCTAAAACATAACAGGAGTCACCATTGTGCCAGTTCCCAACAAGCTCCTCATTTCCATCTGAGACAACCTGAGCCTAGACTTTATTGCCCATATAACCATCAGCATTTTGGGCAAGTCTCTAGGAAATCTCTTCCAAATTTTCCCACATTTTCCTGTCTCCTTCTGAGCTCTCCAAACTGTCCCAACCTCTGCCTGTTTCCCAGTTCCAAAGTCACTTCCACATATTCAGGTATCTTTTAGCAACACCTCACTTGTGGTACTAATTTACTGCATTAGTCCATTTTCACACAGCTGATAAAGACACATTCAAGACTGGGAAATTTACAAAAGAAAGAGGTTTAATGGACTTACAGTTCTACATTGCTGGGGAGGCTTCAAAATCATTGCGGAAGTCAAGGAGAGGCAAGTCACATCTTACGGGGATGGCAACAGGCAGAGAGCTTGAGCAGGGAAACTCCTCCTTTTAAAACCATCAGATCTCACGAGACTTATTCACTATTAAAAGAATAGCATGGGAAATACCTGCCTCCATGATTCAACTACTTCCCACTGGGTCCCTCCCACAACTCATGGGAATTCAAGATGAGATCTGAGTGGGGACACAGCCAAACCATATCAAAAGGATATACAGAATAACCAGAAAACAATGAACAAAATGACAGGAATAAGTCCTCACCTATCAATAATAACTTCGAGTATGTGTTAAATTACCTACCTAAAAGATAGAGACAGGCTTAATGGATAAAAAATGACCCAACAACGTCTACAAGAAACTCACTTCACTTGTAAAGACACACACAGACTGAAAGTGAAGGGATGGAAAAAGATATACCACACAAACAGAAATCAAAAGTAATCAGGAGTAGCTAAACTTGCATCAGATAAAACAGACTTTAAGTCAAAAACTGTAAAAAGGACAAAGAAGTTCATTATATGGTAATAAAGGGATCAATTCAGCAACAAAGTATAACAATTCTAAATATGCATGCAACCAACATAACCGCATCCAGACAGATATAGCAAATATTATTAAATCTACATGGAGAGATAGAGTCCAATACAATGATAGTTAAGAAATTCAATATCCTACTCTCAGCATTGGACAATTCATCTAGACATAAAATCAACAAAGAAACATTAGATTTAAGCTGCACTTTGGACCAAATGGACCTAACAGATATTTTCAGAATATTTCATCCAGCAGCAGCAGAATATACAATCATCTCATCAACACATGGAACATTCTCCAGGATAGACCATATGTTAGGACACAGAACAAGGCTCAATAAAATTTTAAAAATTAAAATATCAAGTATCTTCTCAGACCACAATGGAATAAAGCTTGAAAGCAATAAGAAGAAAAAATTTGGAAACTGTACAAATACATGGACATTAAACATGCTATTGAATGATTTTTGGGTCAATGAAGAAATTAAGATGGACATCAAAAATTTTTTTTAAACAGAAAATGGAAACACATCATGCAAAACCTATAGGATACAGCAAAAGCAGTACTAAGAGGAAAGTCTGTAACAATAAATTCCTACACCAAAAAAGTAGAAAGATTTCAAATAAACAACCTAATGATGCACCTCAAGGAACTCAAAAAGAAAGAACCAATCAAACACACAATTAGTAGAAAGAAAAAATATAAATAACATAGCAGAACCAAATGCAACAGAGACAAAAAAGAAATGCAAAGAATCAACAAGATAAAAGTTGGTTTTTTGAAAAGTTAAACAAAACTGATAAACCACTAGTGAGGCTAACCAACAAAAAAAAAAAAAAAAAAAAAAAGGAGACCCAAATAAATACAATCAGAAATGAAAAAGGAGACGTTACAACTGTTATCAAAGAAATAAAAAGGATCATTAGAGGCTATTATGAGCAACCATATGCTAACAAATTGGAAAACCTAGAGGAAAGGGATAAATTCCCAGACATACACAGCCTACCAAGATTGAACTAGGAAGAAACAGAAAACCTGAACTGACCCAAAATGAATAGCAGGTTTGAATCAGTAACAAAAAGTCTCCCAAAAGAGAAAAGCCCTAGACTAGGCTTTTATGCTGATTTCTACCAAATTTATAAAGAAAAACAAACACCAATTCTTCTCAAACTATTCCCAAAAATTGAAGACGGAGGAATTCTTCCTAACTCATTGTATAAGGCCAGCATTACCCTGATATCCAATCAAGACAAGGACACAACAAAGGGAGAAAACTACAGGCCAATATTCCTAATGAACATACATGGTAAAATTCTCAGCATAATACTACCAAGCCAAATCTAATGATGAATGAAAAAGATAATATACCATGATCAAGTGGGATTTATCCCAGGAATGCAAAAATGGCTCAACATACACAAATCAATACATGTGATACATGATATCAACAAGATGAAAGGCAAAAACTATCTGATCATCTCAGCAGATGCAGAAAAATCACTCAGTAAAACTTACCATTCCTTCATGATGAAAACTCTCAACAAATTATGCATAGAAGGAACACTTCAACCTAAGAAAAGGCATATATGACAAATCTACAGCTAACATCCTACTCACTGGGAAAAATTGAAAAGCCTTTCCTCTAAGAACTGGAACAAGAGAAGGATGCCCACTTTCACCCCACTTATTCAACACAGTATGGGACATCCAAGCCAGAGTGATCAGACAAGATAAAGAAATAAAAGGCATCCAAATGGACAAGAGGAAGTCAAATTGTCTCACTTTGCAAATGTCATAATCTTATACCTGTAAACAGAAAAACCTAAAGACTCCACCAAAAAACTCTTAAAATAAATTAGGCTGGGCATGGTAGTTCATGCCTGTAATCCCAGCACTTTGGGAGGCCAAGGTGGACGGATCACCTGAGGTTGGGAGTTTGAGACCAGCCTGGCCAACATGGTGAAACCCTGTCTCTACCAAAAATACAATTAGCCAGGCATGGTGGTAAGTGCCTGTAATCCCAGCTACTTGGGAGGCTGAAGCAGGAGAATCGCTTGAACCCGAGAGGTGGAGGTTGCAGTGAGCCAAGATTGCACCACTGCACTCCAGCCAGGAAAACAGAATGAGACTCTCTCAAAAAATAAAAAATAAAAATTAAAAATTTTTTAAAAACGGATGTATAATTCAGTAAAGCTTCAGGACAGAAAATCAACATACAAAAATCAGTAATGTTTCTATATACCAGTAACAAACTAGCTAAAATAGAAATCAAGGAAGAAATTCTATTTACAATAGCTACAAAAATAAAATACCTAGGAATAAACTCAACCAAGGATGAGGAAAAAAAAAACCAAAAAACCTCTACAATGAAAACCACAAAACACTGTTAAAATAATTTGAGAAGGACACAAACAAATGGAAAGGCATCTTATGCTCGTCGGTTGGAATAACTAATACTGTTAAAATGACCATACTACCCGAAGCAATCTAGAGATTCAGTATAATCCCTATCAATTATATTTTTCACAGCAACAGGAAAAAAAAACCCTGAAATTCATATGGAACCACAGAAGACCCCAAATAACCAGAGCAATACTGAGCAAAAAGAACAAAGCTAGAAGCCTCACACTACCTGATTTAAAAATATACTGCAAAGAGGCCGGGTGAGGTGGCTCAAGCCTATATCCCAGCACTTTGGGAGGCCAAGGCAGGTGGATCACAAGGTCAGGAGATCGAGACCATCCTGGCTAACACGGTGAAACCCCGTCTTTTCTTAAAAAAAAAAAAAAAAAAAAAGTTAGCCAGGCGTGGTGGCGGGCACCTGTAGTCCCAGCAGCTACTCGGGAGGCTGAGGCAGGAGAATGACGTGAACCCGGGAGTAAGAGCTTGCAGTGAGCAGAGATCACGCCACTGCACTCCAGCCTCGGTGACAGAGCAAGACTCCATCTCAAAAAGAAAAAAAAAAATAACATTATATATATATACTGCAAAGCTATAGTAACCAAAACAGCGTGTATTGGTATTAAAACAGACACAAAAACAAAGGAAACAGACTAAGGAATCCAGAAATGAATCCACATATTTACAGCTAACTGATTTTCAAGAAAGCTGTCAAGAACATACATTGAATAAAGGACACCCTCTTCATTAAATGGTGCCAGGAAAACTAGATATCCAAACACAGAATAATAAAACTAGACCCTTATCTCTCATCACTTACAAAAATAAACTCAAAATCAATTAAGGACTTAAATGTAACAGCCACAACTATAAAACTACTAGAAGTAAACACAGGAGAAACGCTTGAGAACAAAGATTGTATGGCTAACACTTAAAAAGTACAAGCAACAAAAACAGACAAATGGGATTATATTAAATTAAATACCTTCTGCATATCAAAGAAAACAATCAAGAGAGTGAAAAGACAACACCCCTCCCTTACACCATACACAAAAATTAACTCAAGATGGCTTAAAGACTTAAATGTAAAACCCATAACTATAAAAACGCTAGAAGACAACCTAGGCAATACCCTCCAGTACATAGTGATGGGCAAAGAGTTCATGGTAAAGATGCCAAACGCAATTGCCACAAAAGCAAAAAGTGACAAATGGGATCTAATTAAATGAAAGAGCTTCTGCACAGCAAAAGAAACTATCAAAAAACAAACAGACATTTCTCAAAAGAAGATATACACATCACCAAGTTTATGGAAAAAATATTCAACATCACTAATCATCACGGAAATGCAAATCAAAACCACAATAAGATATCATCTCACACTTGTTAGAATGGCTATTATTAAAAAGATAAAGCACAACAAATGCTAGCAAGCATGTGAAGAAAAGAAAATTATTGTATATTGTTGGGAATGTAAATTAGTACAGCCATTATGAAAAAAAGTACAGAGATTTCTCAAAAAAACTAAGAACAAATCTACCATGATCCAGCAATCCCACTCCTAGGTATACATCCAAAAAAAAGGATATCAGTGTATCAACGGGATATCTGTACCTCCATATTTACTGCAGCACTATTTACAATAGCCAAGATATGGAATCAATCTGAGTGTCAATCAATGGATGAATGGTTAAAGAAAATGGGAATATATGCACAATAGAATAGTATTCAGCCTTAAAAAAGAATGAAATCCTGTCATTTTCAGCTAAATGGATGAAATTAAACGTCATAACGTTAGGTGAACTAGGCCATGCACAGAAAGAAAACTATTGCATGTTCTCACTTATATGAGCGGTTTATGTTCCTGGAAATCAAAGTGGGGGCCATGTTTCAGGTCAGTAGGGTCAGGGACAGAGATCGCAGTTATGGACTTGTGTGCCCTGGAGCTATATAAAATTGATATCATGGAGATAAAGAGTAGAATGATAGTTAATAGAGGCTGGGAAGAGGAGGGGTTTGAAAAGAGGTTGATTAATGAGTATAAAAATATATAATGGAATAAGATCTAGTGTTCATTATCACAGAAAGTGACTACAACAATTTGTTGTGTATTTCTTTTTTTTAATTTCAATAGTTTTTAGGGAACAGGTGGTATTTGGTTACATGGATAAGTTCCTTAGTGGTGATCTCTGAAATTTTGGCATACCCATCACCAAAGCAGTTTACCCAATGTATAGTCTTTTCTCTCTCACTCCCTCCCACCTTCCCATTGAGCCCCCAAAGTCCACTCTTTCATTCTTGTGCCTTTGCATCATCATAGCTTAGCTCCCACTTACGAGTGAGAACATGCAATGTTTGGTTTTCCATTCCTGAGTTACTTCATTTAGAATAATGGTCAAATCCATCCAGGTTGCTATGCATGCCATTATTTTATTCCTTTTTAAGGCTAAGTAGTATTCTATGGTATACATATATATAACACATTTTCTTTATCCACTAACTGATTGATGGACATTTGGGCTGGTTCTATAGTTTTGCAACTGTGAATTCTGCTGCTGTAAACATGTGTGCAAATGTATCTTTTTCATATAATGACTTCTTTTCCTCTGGGTAGATACCTAGCAGTGGGATTGCTGGATCAAATGGTAGATGTACTTCTAGTTCTTTAAGGAATCTCCATACTGCTTTCCATAGTGGTGGTACTAGCTTACATTCCCACCATCAGTGTAAAAGCGTTGTCTTTCACCACATCCATGCCAACATCAATTTTTGTTTTTTTTGTTTTGTTTTGTTTTTTGCTTTTTTGAGATGGAGTCTCGCTCTGTCGCCCAGGCTGGAGTACAGTGGTGCCATATCAGCTCACTGCAACCTCTGCCTCCCTGGTTCAAGCAATTCTCCTGCCTCAGCCTCCTGAGTAGCTGGGATTACAGACAACTGCCACCATGCATGGCTAATTTTTGTATTTTCAGTAGAGACTGGGTTTCACCATGTTGGTCAGGCTGGTCTCAAACTCCTGACCTCGTGATCCGCCCACCTTGGCCTCCCAAAGTGCTAGGACTACAGGCGTGAGCCACCGCGCCTGGCCCTCTTTTTGTTTATTTTACACGTGGTATTGCATTGTGGTTTTGATTTGCATTTCCCTGGTAATTAGTGATGTTGAGCATTTTTTCATATGTTTGTTGGCCATTTGTATATCTTCTTTTGAGAATTGTCTGTTCATGTCCTTGGCACACTTATTGATGAGATTCTTTTTTTCTTGCTGATTAGAGTTCCCTGTAGATTCTGGACATTAGTCCTTTGTCAGATGCAGTTTGTGAAAATTTTCTCCCACTCTGTGGGTGATCTGTTTACTCTGCTGATTATTTCCTATGCTGTGCAGGAGGCTTTTAGTTTAATTAAGTCCCATCTATTTATCTGTGTTTCTGTTGCATTTGCTTTTCGGTTCTTGGTCATAAACTCTTTGCCTAAGCCAATGTGTAGAAGCATTTTCCAATGTTATCTTCTAGAATTTTTATGGTTTCAGACCTTAGATTTAAGTCTTTGATCCATCTTGTGTTGATTTTTGTATAAGGTGAGAGATAAGGATCCAGTTTTATTCTTTTACATGTGGCTTGCCAATTATCCCAGCACTATTTGTTGCATAAGGTGTACTTTTCTTACTTTGTTTTTGTTTACTTTGTCGAAGATCATTTGGCTGTTAAGTATTTGGCTTTATTTATAGGTTCTCTACTCTGTCCCATTGGTCATGTGCCTATTTTTATACCAGCACCATGCAGTTTTGGTGACTATAGCCTTGTAATATAGTTTGAAGTTGGGTAATGTGATGCCTCTAGATTGGTTCTTTTTGCTTAGTTTTGCTTTGGCTTTGCAGACTCTTTTTTAGTTCCAAATGAATTTTGTTTTTTTTTTTTCTAGTTCTATAAAGAATGATGATGATACATTGATAGGAATTGCATTGAATTTGTAGACTGCTTTTGGCAGTATGGTCATTTTCACAATATTGAGTCTACCCATCCATGAGCATGGAATGTGTTTCCATTTGTTTTTGTCATCTATGATTTCTTTCAACATTGTTTTGTAGTTTTCCTTGTAGGGGTCTTTCACCTCCTTGGTTAGGTATATTCCTAAGTATTTTATTTTTACAGCTATTATAAAAGGGTTTGATTTGATTCTCAGCGTGGTAGATGTTGGTGTATAGCACTGCTACTGATTTGTGTACATAGATTTTATATCCTGATAAATAGAATTATTGTGTATTTCTAAATAGCAATAAGATTTTAAATATTCCCAACACAAAGAAATGATCAACGTTTGAGGTGATTAATATCCTAAAGACCCTGATTTGATCATTACACATTGCACTCATGTACCAGAATCTCACATGGACCCCTTAAATGTGTACAATTATTCTCTATCAAAAACATTTTCCTTTTAAGAAACATGCAGGAATACACTGTACCTCTTCTTTGCTGTCTCTGGATATTGTCACACGAGGACTTGACATGCGGATTGTGGCAGCCTCTGTGACCAAGAGCAGAAGACAATAGCAGCATAGAAACCTCAAATGAAAAACCTAACATCTCAAGCTACTAATTTAGCCAACTTGGCATCAGCTATCTCTGGTCTTAGTACATGAGGTGATAAGCCCCCACTGTTCAAGTTGGGTGGCCATCAATTGCTGCAGAATAGAAGTTAATGAGGCTTCCTCCTCCTGGATCCCCTGGTAGACCCTGACATGCCCATTTAGTCACAGGCAGAAAGGGAAGCACAGGGTAAGGAGACCTTGCTGACTGTGCCAGATGCAGATCTTACCTGTCCTGTTTAGAACACTCAAAGTTCAATTGGTTAAACAAAAAAAGGAAAAAGACAGTAAGGAGTATAGCACTCCCCAGAGGCAACTTAATGTAACACTCTATACTTTAGATTTTCTAGACATACATAGAAATCAGACCACTACTTCTGCAGAACATTTTACTGGTAAAAAGAATAGGCCACATGAGGGAAAACTGATTTGGTGGAAAGACAACAAAAACAAAACATGGGAAATAGGTAAGGTGATAACATGGGGGAGAGGTTTTGCTTGTGTTTCACAAGGAGAAAATCAGCTTCCTGTTTGGATACCCACTAGACATTTGAAGTTCTACAATGAACCTATCAGAGATGCAAATGAAAGTGCCTCTGCAGAGACAGAAAACCCGCCATCGAGCATCATCGACTCGCAGGGTGAACAAAATGGTGATATCAGAAGAACAGATGAAGTTACAATCCACCAAGGAAACGGCACATGTGGAGAGCCAGGGAGAGGAAGAGAAAGAAAAAGAGACAGAGATCAGAGAGAGACACAGAAAGAGATTGGGGAGAGAAACAGAGTAAAAGAGAGAGAGAGACCGTAAGAAAGGGAGACAAAGAGATAAAAGGTGCGAGTGAGCAGGTGAGGAGAAAGACTGAAAACTATGAGAAACAGCAACTAAGACACAAAGGAGGTGGGAGACTGCCTTGGCGCCGCAGCACCCACACCGTCCTCTTGCCCCGTCACTTGGGTTAAAACCACCGGAAATTCCACTATTGCAAATTTTGTATTAATCCTTGTATTTCTGTCCTTTCTATTGTTAGTCTACAGGTGTATCCAGCAGCTCCAGAGAGACAGCGACCAGCGAGAAGGGGCCATGATGATGGTGGTGGTTTTGTCAAAACGAAAAGGGGGATATGTAGGGTAAAGAAAGAGAGATCAGACTGTTACTGTGTCTACATAGAAAGGGAAGACTTAAGAGACTCCATTTTGAAAAAGACCTGTACTTTAAACAATTGCTTTGCTGAGATGTTGTTAATCTGTAGCTTTGCCCCAACCACTTTGACCCAATCTGGAGCTCACAAAAACATGTTGTATGAAATCAAGGTTTAAGGCATGTAGGGCTGTGCAGGACGTGCCTTGTTAACCAAATGTTGGCAAGCAGTATACTTGGTAAAAGTCATCACCATTCTCTCGTCTCAATAAACCAGGGGCACAGTGCACTGTGGAAAGCCGCAGGGACCTCTGCCCTTGAAAGCTGGGTATTGTCCATGGTTTCTCCCCATGTGATAGTCCGAAATCTGGCCTCATGGGATGAGAAAGACCTGACGGTCACCCAGCCCGACACCCATAAAATGTCTGTGCTGAGGTGGATTAGTCAAAGAGGAAAGCCTCTTGCAGTTGAGATAGAGGAAGGCCGCTGTCTCATGCCTGCCCCCTGGGAACTGAATGTCTCGGTATAAAACACGATTGTACATTTGTTCAATTCTGAGGTGGGAGAAAAACCGCCCTATGGTGGGAGGCGAGACATGTTTACAGCAATGCTGCCTTGTTCTTCTTTACTCCACTGAGATGTTTGGGTGGAGAGAAACATAAATCTGGCTTACATGCACGTCCAGTCATAGTACCTTCCCTTGAACTTCATTATGACATGGATTCTATTGCTCACGTTTGTTGCTGACCTTCTCCTTATTATCACCCTGCCCTCCTACTACATTCCTTTTTGCTGAAATAATGAAGATAATAATCAATAAAAACTGAGGGAACTCAGAGAACGGTGCCAGTACAGGTCCTTGGTATGTTAAGCGCCGGTCCCCTGGGCCCACTGTTGTTTCTCTATACTTTGTCTCTGAGTCTGATTTGTTTTCTGTCTCTCATCCCACCCGACAAGAAATACCCACAGGTGTGGAGGGGCAGGCCACCCCTTCATTATGAGATTACAGGCATGAATAACCCAACCTGGCCACCAAACTCACTCTTGAGAGGCCAGAAGTGATGCTGGAACTTTCTTCCTCTGTGGGTTAAAAAGGGAAAATTAGGGAGAACAGAAGGCATGAGAGATACAGCGATGGATATGTCTATATGGAGCTTCTGTCTGCATCCAGTAGAAAATGCATCTCTAGGCACCAGGTTTAAGAGTGAAAACCTAGAGTCTTGTCTGTTAGCATTCTCCTTCCCCACACACCAGAGAGGGAATACATTTGCTCCAGCACACCCGGATGTAGGAAATGTCACATTCCTATTTCTGTAACTTCACTTAAATCTGCTCTGAGTCCCTGGATGCCTGGCAGGTGGAGAATTCAATCTTGTCATTACCAGCATTCCTTTCCCTTCTCCATGGGCTTATGTAAGAATTCTGGGCTTACACACTGTTGGAAAGCCAGGTAGGAACTACATCCCCTGAACTCTCCATTCTTCCAGCTGCTCACAATCCATCAACATTCTTTGGGCCATCTGCTATAGCAAGACCCTCCTCACAGCATCATTCCACTGACCCACAGGCTCAGCCCCAGGGACCCTCACTAGAACAGGTCTCCACTATGCATAGGAACTCACAAAAACCTTCTCTTCATCTTGGCTTCCTCTGATATCCAGCCACTCCCCCAATTCTCACCTTAAACACAGATGGCAGCTCCTTCCCATTCTTCCAAACCTGGGGGATTGTCCAGACAAATTCTCTGCAGACACCAAAGCTTCACCCGCCCTCTTCAGGGAGGTGATGCAAGGGCATCTGAGATCTTTGGAAGCCCAATTCTGGCCTCTCTTTGGGGTGGGCTGAGAGTGGGAAGTAGACTCTCTTTTCCAAATGCCATGTTTATCTTGTTCATCATTATATTATCTCCAATGCCTGGCACATAGTAGGCACTACAGACTGACACATAGGAGGTGCTATTAGTGTCTGTATAATGGGACTCTTGAGGTTGAAGCTATTAGCAGAAACCTGCCAAGCAAAAGGATGGAAAACCAACCACTAAAAAAAAAAAAAACAAAAAGAAAACAATCGTGGCTTTGAGCTCTAAACACACAAGGCACCACCCCAAGTTTGGGCAATTTTAATACAACAGCCATTTTGCCTCCAAACAAACTGGCACAGAGAACCTCCCTCTGCCTCTAAAAGAGAACCAGTTTCCCTTTCTCTAAGTGGGCAGCATTTCTCCCCGGTGGCAGTACCCAGCCCACTACCACCAGCAAATGACTGCAGCCAGGACCCAAGAGCTTGATAGTTTAAAGAATAGATTTTATAGGGAAAAACAAAGTAACATTCACATAAATCTGGAACTACCACCACTTTCCAGAGACCGAATCCCATTTGTGGAATCTCTTGCGTGTCAAGCACCTTGCAGTCAGCTCAACTACACACTTTTGGGATTCGTTGCAGAGAAGAGTGAAGGTTATCTGCAAAATAAAGGAACCAGGGCTCAGAATTACCAGAACAATCAATGACAGAGGAGGTGAGTAGAAAAGGGAAGGGTGAAGTCAAAGGAGAGAAGTCAATGAGTTGGCCAACACCAAGCAAGGATCATGGGACCCTCTCCACGACCCCACATCTCAAATGAAGTCAACAAAACCCATCAATGCTTGGTGTAAGTGTTGTATGCTCCCGGAAATGAAAGCAGGGGCCACATTTCAGGTCAGTAGGGTCGGGGGTAGAGGCAGCGGTCATGGACTTGTGGGCCCTGGAGGATGGGATGATTCTGAGACATTGAATCCCTACACTGATCTCAGTTGAAATCTCAGGTAGGGCTTCAACATTCGTGGACCAAGGACTCTGTGGGCCTGAGAGCAACAGCCTTGGTGCATGTCCCAGCTCCATCAATCCCAACTGGGGCTTTGAACAAGTTACTTATTTTTTTAACTAACGTTATTTTAATTGACAAATCAAAATTGTACACATGTATGTGATGTTTTGATATGTGTATACAATGTGGGATGATTAGATCAAACTAATTAACATGTCCATCCCCTAATTTACTGATAATTTTCATGATGCGACATTTGAAATGTACCCACTTAGTTATTTTGAAAGATACATTATTATTTACTATAGTCTCACTGCTGTGCTATAGATTTCAAAGCATATAATCCAGCAACCCAACTTCTGGATATAGACCCCCAAAAAATCAAAATCAATATGTCGATGGGATCCCTACATTCCTGTGTTCACTGCAGCACTATTCACAATACCCAAGATATAGAATCAACCTAAGTGTCCATCAGTGGATGAAAGGATGAATTAAATGTACTATATACACACAACGGAATACTATTAACCCTTAAAAAAGAAAGAAATCCTGTCATTTTCAACAACATAGATGAACTTGAAAGACATTGTGTTAAGTGAAATAAGCCAGGCACAGAAAGACAGATACTGCATGATTTTATTATATGTGGAATCTAAAGAAGTTGAACTCACAGAAATAGAGAGTAGGACAGTGGTTATCCGGGGATGGGGTGAAGGAAAGGGAGGGGATAGGAGACACTGGTCAAAGGGTACAAAGTTTCCAATAGGAAGAATAAGTTTTGAACAAGCTAAACTCCTCTGAAAGTTCAGTTCCTCATCTGTAGAGCAGGGACACATCATCAACCTTCTACGGATGTTGCTGTAAGAGTAAGAGATGATGTTCAACACAATACCTAACACACAGTCAGGTCTCCTTAAGCTTGAACCTGCATCCCCATGACCTCTACATCTCAGGACAGAAGGGCTCACAGCCAGTGTCTAAGTTCCCGATGAAAAGTGGATCCCAGACCAGGCTGAACAGCAGGATCCCTAGGGGATACCCCACCCTACTGAGTCAAAATCACCAGAGGTAGAGCCTGGGTATGTGTGTATGTATGTGTGTGTATATGTGTGTGTGTGTGTGTGTGTGTGTGTGTGTGTGTGTGTGTGTATGTATAAGAGACAGGGTCCTGCTCTGCAGTCCAGGCTGGAGTGCAGTGTCACAATCATAGTTCACTGCAGCCTCAAATTACTCCTGGCCTCAAGCCATCCTCCCATCTCAGCCTTCAGAGTAGCTGAGACTACAGGCGCATGCCACCAAGCCTGGATACTTATTTTTTTTTTTTTCTTCTTTTTGTAAAGTCTCCCTCTGTTGCCCAGGCTGGAGTGCAATGGTGCAATCTTGGCTCACTGCAACCTCTGTCTCCCGGATTCAAGTAATTCTCGTGCCTCAGCCTCCTGAGTAGCTAGGATTACAGGCATGCACCACCACACCAAAGTAATTTAGCTCTTTCATTGTTGTTTCTTGTTTGTTTTTCACAAATAGAGCTTCTTATTTGCTACTGTTTTAAGTCTGAACTTTAAACAGATTTTTGGACTGGTGGTTCCTATCCATCAGCTCATTCAACTTTAGCATGTGTCTCGTCCCTAGTGGGTTTTCCAGAATTACTACCGTCACCACGAAGCTCCATGCCTTTCAAACCCAGGGTTCTCCAGCATTTTTACTTTTCTAATGAAGACATCATGGAGAGGATAGATTGGCAAGCCTTTTCTACATCTTTTCCAATGTTGTCTGCAATCAATTTATTAACCACTTCTTTCAAGTCATTTGTCTGCACCTCTCAGGTCATGATTTCCATCATCTTCTTCTGGATTTGGCAGACTGTTGGTGCTGAGCATAAGAGGTCTTCAGTATCTGATTGTTGTGTTTTTTAGTAAAACCAACACAAAACAGAAGAAAGAAGTAACCATCGGTAGTCTTGACATCAACATGAGCTTCAATTATTGTTGAACATTTTTCAACCTTGGAACATATTTTGTCACAGGTAAGACCCATGCCATTGAAGTTAGACAGGCAGCTTTTGCCCTGAACATCTTCAGTAATCAGCTTGAATTTTCTAAATGCAACTTCATCATTCTGCAAATCAGCAAGACTCATTTCAAACACTAGAAACTTGAGACCATCAGATGCAATTTGGGTTCCTTGGGTCCTGGTGACCAAGTCTTTCCAATATTTCTTATATTGAACATAGCAGGTGCTTTCACATCATACTGATCTTTCTTAGAGAATGGACCAACTACTTTCTTCTTAACTCCCTTTTTGCCACCTTTCATAAGGCACTTGTTCTTAACAACCGCCATGGTGCTGCTCAGAGTACCAAAAGGCTAAATTTTATATTTTTGGTAGAGACGGGATTTCACCATGTTGGCCAAGCTCGTCTTGAAGTGATGTCAGGTGATCTGCCCGCCTCAGCCTCCCAAAGTGCTGGGATTACAGGTGTGAGCCACTGCACCCAGCTGATATTTATTTTTTCTTTTTTTGTACAGACAGGGTCTTGCCATGTTGCCAAGGCTGGCCTGGAACTCTTGGCCTCAAGCAATCCTCCCACCGCAGCCTCCCAAAGCACTGGGATTTCAGGTGTGAGCCACTATGCCCAGCCTGGAATCTATTTTTAAAGCAATCAAGTGTTGAATAAAATTGCAACTTGGGCTGTTTTTTCTTTGCATTTTTTACATTTCAATGCTTTTTAATATATTCAGGGATATACGCAAACATTACCAGTCAATTTTAGAACATTTCATGACCTCAAAAACAAACCTCATACACTTTAGCTAACACCCCCATCCTCCCATGCCCCTACCAGCCCTAAGCAACCACTAATCGACTTCTTATTTCTATAGATTTCCATCTGAATGAAATCATGTAGAATGTGATCTTTCATCTGTTTTGAAGGTTTATCCACGCTGTAGCGTATGTACTTTCCTCGTTTTTGTGATCAAATAATATTCCAACATGTGGGTAGACAACAATAGGTGTCTCTCTTCATCTGGTGATGGGCATTTGGATTAATCCCCTCTTTGTGTTATTAGGAGTGATGCTACTGTAATTATTCATGTACAAATTTTTGTGTGGACCTGTGCTTTCATTTTTGAATATGAAAATATGGCACACCTCCAAGGAAGACATACAAGTGGCCAATAAGCACATGACAAGATGCTCAATGAAATTCACCATCAGGGAAACAGAAATCAAAACCACAATGAGATACCACTTCATACCCATAAGGATGGCTAGAATTGAAGATAGAGAAAATTGGCCTGGTGCGGTGGCTAATGACTGTAATACCAGCACTTTGGGAGACCGAGGCAGGTGGATCACCTGAGGCCAGGAGTTTGAGACCAGCCTGGCCAATATGGTGAAACCCTGTCTCTACTAAAAAAAAATACAAAAATTAGCCAGGCATGTTGGCAGGTGACTATAATACCAGCTACTCTGGAGGCTGAGGCAGGAGAGTAACTTGAATCTGGGAGGCAGAGGTTGCAGTGAGCTGAGATTGTGCCACTGCACTCCAGCCTGGGCGACAGAGCAAGACTTTGTCTCAAAAAAAAAAAATACGGAAAATAACAAGTGTTGGTGAGGATGCAGAGAAACTAGAACTTTCATACACTGCTGGTAGGAGTTAAAATTGTGTAGCCACTGTGAGAAACAGTTTAACAACTTCCTAAACAATTCTACATGGAGTTACCAAATGACCCAGCAATTGTACTTCTAGGTATAGGCCCAACTTGGGCTCTTTTAATCTATGGAAAATGAGCTGTGGGTACTTGGCAAGAACAAAGAGGGAGAGAGGCAGAAATGGAGCCACGAGGGCACATTGATTGGTCTCTAGTACACAGGGCTCCTACTGCAAATGGTCTCTAAATGACTTCATCCGTTGCTCATAAAAAAAAATCACCCTCTGCTCCAATCGTGGAGGAAGAAGTATGGATTGGACCTGGTGAGTCACGGTAAGACTGACTGCTAAACTTCATGAATGATGAGGGGATTTGCACCTATAATCTTGACTGTACTAGATTTTTTATTTTATCCACTGTCTTTGAAAACCTAACTCTTGACTAAGAACTAACTTTCCTGTACTTGTTGTTGACTCTAAGTAAACTTCCATTTCCACATAGTCCAAAGATGATGTGCTGAGAAATCTCTCAAAAGAAAAATGCTAAGAATACAGGCAGAGTTATGCGGCAGGTTTTGCAGAATTAACACAAATTGTACCTGTAGGTACGAAGCACAAAACATTTTCATGGGTAAAGAAAAAAGTGTTCTTCATTCTAGTAGACACTGCAGGATGAGGCCGATCAAGGTCCTTGCCCAGCCAGACCTTGGGCTCTTACCTAATTTGTGTTAGAGTCAACCCTGATGGAGTCTGTATCTCAGTCATCTTTTTTTTTGACATGGAATCTCGCTCTGTCTCCCAGGCTGGAATGCAGCGGGGTGATCTCAGCTCACTGCAACATCTGCCTCCTGGGTTCAAGCGATTCTCCTGCCTCAGCTTCCCAAGTAGATGGGACTACATGTGCATGCCACCATGCCTGGCTAATTTTTGTATTTTTAGTAGAGACGTTTCATCATGTTGGCCAGGCTGTGCTCAAACTCCTGCCCTCAAGTGATCCGCCTGCTTTGGCCTCCCAAAGTGCTGGGAGTACAGGCATGAGCCACCATGTCCGATCTCAGTCATCTTTTTATCCTCCACACCTGGCAAGTTCTAGACACACTGTGGTTCCATACAAGTTTGTTGAATAAATAGGAGACAGATAGAAAGTGGGAACTCTGGAAGTAGAGAAGATTCCAGAAATTGTGCATATTTCCCAGAGACTGTGGCCAAATTCCTCAGTCCTGCCAGAGTTTGTCTATCTCATCTCAAACCTTATGTGTGGGCCCAGGCACAGTGGCTCACACCTGTAATCCCAACACTTTAGGAGGCTGAGGTGGGCAGATCACTTGAGGCCAGGAGTTTGAGACCAGCCTGGCCAACATGGTGAAACCCTGTCTCTACTAAAAATACAAAAATTAGCCAGGCATGGTGGTGTGCACCTGTAGTCCCTGCTACTCGGGGGGCTGAGGCACAAGCATTGCTTGAACCCAGGAGGCGGAAGTTGCAGTGAGTCATGATTATGCCACTGTACTCTAGCCTAGGCAATAAAGCAAGACTGTCTCAAAAGAAAAAAAAAAAACCCCTTAAGTGTGGGCCTTGTTACAGAATTAATGTTTATATGGACAATATGTACATGGGTGTATGTTAAGAGCATGAGTCATCCACAAGATTTTAGCAAAGTCCATTTAGAAAGCTCAATGCTTTGGGCTTCCACTTGCTTTGCTGCCTCTGTCCTCAGAAGGAGGCTTCATCCTTCCATGTAACCAGCAAATTCTTTATGCAGAGATGTACACAACACACTCCTCTCCTTGGCTATGACACCTTGAAAGGGTCCTCTTGGTGTCCCCTGGTGCTCATTTCAGAGTAGTTCAAATTAAGGTGATCAGCTTTCATGCCAATCACTCTACAAATCACTCCTGTTATGACCAATTTTTCTAAATGGTTTATTGAATTTTTACTTAAAGAAATGTGCACATAGAAGAGGTCAACACAGTAATTTTCTTACAAACTGAACATACTGGCCAGATGCAGTGGCTCTTGCCTCTCATCCCAGCACTCTGGGAGGCCAAGGTGAGCAGATTGCTTGAGCCCAGGAGCTCGAGACCAGCCTGGGCAACATAGTGATACACCCCTCTCTACAAAAAATAAATAAATACAAAAATTCGGCAACAGTGATGGCACATGCCTGTAGTTCCAGCTACTCAGGAGGGCTGAGGTGGGAGGACTGCTGGAGCCCAGGAGGCAGAGGCTGCAGTGGGCCATGACGGTGCCACTGTGCTCCAGCCTCGGTGACAGAGCAAGATCCTGCCTCAAAACAACAACAACAACAACAACAACAACAAAAAACTGAACATCTCCATATTACTGACACCCAATTCAAGAAACAAAATATTCCAGCCCCTTCCAGGATATTCCTGGGGTCTCTTCCATCTCTACTAACCCCTGACTACAAACAGCCTCCACCTATTTCACCTGACATTGTACTTTATGAAAGCAGCAGTTCTCAGATGGGGCTATTTTGTCCCCTGGGGACATTAGGCAATATCTGGAGACACTGGGGGTTGTCTCTACTTCGGGGGAGTTGTGTTACTGCATCCAGTGAGTCCAGGGATCCAGGGATGCCGCTCAACATCCTGAAATGCACAGGGAACCCCCACACATAGAACAGAGAAATTGCTGAGCCAAAATGTCAGCAGTGTCACAGCTAACACCCTGACATACACACTATCGCACAGTATCTGCTCTTTTGTGCTCAGGATCTCTTTCATTCTAATCATCTCATAGGAAACAGAAATGTCATTTAGAGGTAGGTAGAGTCCAAAACAAAGAAGATCCAGAGTTTTTTGTTTTTTTTTTTTTAATCAGCCTGGTGCCTTTAGAGCTAGGATTTAGTTTCCATTCTTTCTATCTCATTTTCAAGTGATTTTTCTTCAAATGGCATCTGCTGGGCTCAAGACCTGGAAGTCCCCAGAAAGCTGAGATTCACTTGGGAATTTTGTACACACCCACACAGGTATACACTGCCATTTGCATGCAGACATCCACCCACAGATACACACATCCGGAGACCAAGGCAGAAAGCAAACTCCACCATAAAAGCACGGTTTCCCGAACTGGAGAAACCCACCATTCACTCCAGGGAGGTACCTATTTGTTTAATTCAGCCTCTGATAGTCAGGCTGTTGCCAAGCCCAGTTCTGAAACTCTTCCCTTCTAGGAAAGAGAGATGGATTTTTTTCTTTACTCAAGAATATAGATCTAAAAAAAACAAACACTTCTGCATCTCAAAGCAGTCTCTACCTCCTGAGCTACACATATTGATCAGCATTTTATTGTCAATTTTCTTTTATTTGAATTGGAGAAAAATATAACCTAATTATGTTCTTACTGACAGTTTGGAATCAGTTACACTAAATCCAATTCTCTGGGTTCTCATGATTAATGTGTTTAATTTGGGGGACAACAAAGCAAAAGCATTGGTCGTGTTTTAATATAATTAATACAGGATATATCTAAGGGGTTGAAGTATCACTGTAGCAAGAAGCTCATTCTGCAGTAAAAGGCAGGTTCTGCCACTAGGATTGAGTTAGGGTGGTTCATGGCTGCACCGTTTTATCAATGTCTCTTCAAGAGTCCATGGAATGTGGAATGGGAAAGACTGAAATAGTCCAAGTCTTGGCTAAGCTTCTATTAAGGGGTGTTAGGAGCTGATAAAATAAGCTGGCTTTATAGACATCCCACACTGTAGTTCTCTAAGCTACAGATTCTCAGATTTTTCTATTTTATAAACCAGTAAAAATTTTTTTTTAATTTGAGAACAAACATAAGGTTGCTATTTTTTTTTTCTTTTTGGTAAGAAGGAAATTTTTTAAACTACTAGTTACACACACACACACACACACACACACACACACAGAAATTCCACCATGATTGGTCAGAATAGGTGAGGTTTTGCTGCAACAACAAACAACTCCTAAATCTTGGTAACTTCAAACATCAGAAGTTGTTTTTCTTACTCATGCTACATCTGCAGGGAGGTGTGGGGTGCTCTGTTTCCCATCAAACTTTCCCTAAGAGTAAGGCTAATGGGGGTTGCAATACCTCAAGTATCACCAAGCAGGGAACAGAGGGAGAAGAATGCTAGAGAGTCTTGTACTAAGAATTAAATGCTCCAGGCTAGAAGTCTAACACTGCACCTCTGCCCCCAGCCTCTTGGCCAGTACTAGCCACATCTTCTCCCCCACCACACTGCAATGCATGGAGACAGGAGAATTGGATACATTATAAATTTCTACCCCATGGCATTTCATAAAAGAGAAAAAAATGCAAATACAAAAATGTTTTAATAGAATAGAATATATACATTTTTAGAATAAAGAAAAATCCTCCAAAAAGGACAGCTGGTGGTCTTTCACCAATGGGCACATTTCTGTGACATTTTCTCTGTTTTTCCATTTTATCCTTGACCTATGAACATTTTATACAGATGGTCCAAAGAACACCATTTGGGGACCACTGCTGTAATCAGGTGATGAAAACGGCCCCAAGAACAGAGCACAGTCTCTTTAGCAAAGACCCAGCAGGACCAGGGTGACCACTTTCTCACCATCAATGTGCAGACATCCACCTGCAGCATACTTACATACCAACATCAAACAGTAGCTCTTTATAGCTTGATTCTAATGCCCTTTGATCTTCATACTCATTGTAAAGCTCTCTGGTCCCAAGATCTAACATTGCCACTCTAGCTACGTCCTGCAACTGTTCACCTCTCCTGCCTCCTCATCCCTCTAAACTTCCCTTCACAACCTCATGTTTCCTTCTTGCTATACATTCCTGCTCAGCCTGGACTTAACATTCACCTTCCTCTTGTACGGTGCTCCTAAACTCGTTCTTCCCTGCCTTTAACCACACCCACCTGGAAAATCTCCATACCCCATTGATGACTTGCCTCGCAACTGCCCAAGGGCTGCTGAATGATACTGGAAAGAATCACAACAGGGATCTGGTAGTTCCACTAAATAATCTCACCATCCAACTCTAGGAAAGACTTCACTTCTGTTCAGCAATATTTTTAAACATCATAAATAAATTCCAAACCATATTTGCTATAACTATTGACTTTAAGCCTCTTCCATATCTAAAAGCCCCCTAACCCATCCCTAGGGGTGAAAAGAGCCCAGAGTTGAGTTCTCTCAACTCACTTCCATCTCACCCCTAGATCACTGTATCTTGACCCTCTTCCTCTGCCTTTCCCATCTTATAAGGAGAAACATCCTTCTCCTTTCCCAAGCTACCTTCTCCACTTGTGCCTCATTTGAGACCTGCCTTTATCACCCGTTCCCTTGGAACTCCCATGACTCACCACCTTCACTTGTCATTTCACTCATAAATATTTTGCACCATGTATGTGCCAGGCGATTAACATATAATCATGCTTAAGTCTCCACATGCTAATAAGAAAAACCTTGATTATCCCTGCTATGCCCTCAAGTCATTACCCTCCCTGCTCCTTTCCTGTGTTCCCAAACTTTGTTGATCTTCATCAATCCCTCTGATGCAGATGGCTCCGAAGTTTGCATCCTATTAGGTTGGTGCAAAAGTAATTGCGGATTTTGCCATTAAAAGTAATGGCAAAAATAGCAATTATTTTTGTACCAGCCTAGTATCTTTTCTCCTTCCACCAAACTTTGTCCCTGAGACATCTCATCACCTATAACTACCTCCTCCATGCAGTTGATTCCCAGATCTGTATTATTCTACTGAAAGTCCATTCCCCAACTTTCTCAGCTAAAATAACAGAAGCCCAATTAGAATTCATGATAACAGTTTCCCACCCCCACCACCACCGTCGCCCTGCCATTGTTAGCAAAACCATCTCTTGAGTGGAGCTCAAAGATGTGTAATCTCCCACTCCCCAGAAAGATAACTTCAGACTCAGCCTAGAAGTAAAGATCCTCCAGATATGGCCTCAACTACCCTCCAACCCATGTCCCCAGTGCATCCCTTTGGTGCTCCCTTCGGTGGAGTTAAAATGGAGTGAGTGTTTTTCTTTTCACATACTCCTGGTGTTCTTCCACAAATACAATTTTCACCTCTCGAATATTTTCAAGGATTCTCCATGCTACACACAGTGACATCCAAACTCCCCATCAGGACCCCCGTCTTCCCAAACCTTCTTTGCAGTTTTCTGCCTCCATGTTTTTCCTTGGGTCATCCTCTTCTCTAATGTAACCTTGTGTATTACTCTAAGTTCTCCAGAGAAAGAGCAGAGAGATAGAGGTAGAGCTATACACATAGAGACAGATTGATTTGTTGTAAGGGATGGCTCACATGGTTATGGAGGCTAAGGAGTCCTGGAGTCTGCAGCCAGCAAGCTGGGGACCCAAGACAGCTAATGATATAGTTCCAACTCGAGTCCACATCTAAAGTCAGGAGAAGATTGATGTCCCAGCTCAAATATAATCAGGTAAAAAGAGCAAATTCTCTGTGACTCTACCTTTTTGTTTTGTTCAGGCCTTCAGTGGATTGGATGAGGCTCACCCATATTGGGGAGGACAATCTGCTTTATTCAGTCTACCAATTAAATGTTATCCTCATCCAGAATACCTCAGAGACACACCCAGAATAATGTGTAGCCAAATATCTGGGCACCCCACAACCCAGTCAAATTGATACATAACACTAACCATCATGCCTTGCTTCTACTCTCTCGCCATTACTGCATGGCCAAATCCTTCCCTTATTTCAAGGCTTAGTTCAAATGTTACCTCTTAACTAAGCCTTCCCTGCTAACCCCAAATATTAATAGAATTGGTTTCTCCCTTCTCAGATATCTCAAAATATGTTGTGAGTTTCTCTTTCACTGTATTTATTACAAACTCCCTTATAAATGAAGACAGTGATTCCCAGACAAATTATCACAAGAATATAAAAGAAGTCTTCTTTGAGTGTGAAATATCTCATGGAATATAGCACATGGCCTCTTCATGAAGAAACTACTGGGAGAGAAAAAGACAAGCTGGAAGAGGCCAGGGAGAGGGGGTCAGTACAAAACACAATGAGGCTGGGCTCATACAGTTGCTCACACCTGTAATCCTAGCACTTTGGGAGGCCAAGGCCAGTGGATCACGAGGTCAGGAGATCGAGACCATCCTGGCTAACATAGTGAAACCCCGTCTCTACTAAAAATACAAAAAAGTTAGCCAGGCATGGAGGTAGGCACCTGTAGTCCCAGCTACTCGGGAGGCTGAGGCAGGAGAATGGTGTGAACCTGGCAGGCAGAGCTTGCAGTGAGCCAAGATCACACCACTGCACTCAAGCCTGGGTGACAGAGCAAGACTCCATCTCAAAAAAAAAAAAAAAAAAAAAAAAAAAAGAAAGCACAATGAAATGTGAGTGGATGGGTGCCTATAATTTCTAAGGGAAATAGAGTATAATCCAAGAATTTTATAGCCAGCTAAATTATTGCCCAATCAAAATAGGCAATAAACACCATCACAAGTTCAAGAACTTAAAGAATACAGTATTTCTGAGCTCTTTAAAGAAAAGTCTTCATAATAAAATTTAGTCAGCCAAGAAATTAAAAAATAAGCAACTTGTGAATTGAATGACCATGACAAAAGGCTAGTGATGAGAGGTGAATCCATTTAAAAATAGGACTATGATTGCAGAACAGAAAGGAAAGGTGGCCAACCTTAACAACATAAAACAACCTAGAAATCACTAGTTTCCAGAGGTAAAGGGAGGGACTGTAGGAAGTAGAAGTGCTAATGCCCTTTATTTAGTCAATTAATCAGGTCTAAAATTGAAACGTGGTTTTAAATACATAACTTCTTGTTTATTTTCCTCCCTAACTACCTGAGGATCAACCACCATGATGAATGACACAGCAACTATCTGGACCAGGAAGTTCATGATCAATCGACCGCTCCAGAGGAAACAAATGGTCACCAATGTCCTTCATCCCGGAAAGGCAACAAAATGTACAAGACCACAATGGATGTCATCTTCATATTAATAGTTGGACTCAGAACCCATTTTGGTGGTGGTTAAACAATCTTCATCCACATTGGAGTGCAGTGGTACGATCTCAGCTTACCAAATCTCTGCCTTCCAGGCTTAAGCAATTCTCCTGCCTCAGCCTCCCATGTAGCTGGGATTACAGGCAAGAACCACTACTGCCTGGCTAATTTTTATATTTTTAGTAGAGATGGGGTTTCACCTTGTTGGCCAGGCTGGTCTTGAACTCCTGACCTCAAATGATCCACCCGCCTTGGCCTCCCAAAGTGCTAAGATTACAGGCATGAGCCACCGCGCCCAGCCTTTTCTGTATTAAATTTTTAAAAACACAACATTTAAAATAATCAAGTCATTCTTTTTTAATCTACTTTGTATTATAGGTATCCAAATACTCACCTATTCTCTCTCACATGATGACAAAGTCGTTGAAATGTCATGTCATTTTGTGGCTCCAGCCCCAGGGATTCTGACTCTGATTCTAAAGGGTATGCATGCAGAGCGAGCAAGCCGCCTGGATGATTCTCTTACACGTGTTTTAAGGGCAGCAGTTTGAGGCACCCTGATGCAAAAGAACGAACCCTCAAGGAAGTTGGCTGTACATGTATTTTCCTTCCTAGCACAGGAAACGACAGAAAGATTATCCAATCAGTACCACTCATAGCACCTGATTATATGTGTATGAGGAATTCAGAAATGGTTTGATCAAGGTTCAAGACCTAAAAAGAAGCTTTTCTCTCGGACACCAAATCCCCATCTCATGCATGGCTGGGTTAGTAGAAACTGAGGATGATGCTTCTTCCTCCAGCATTGGTATCCTATGGTTTTTGTTGTTCAGTAAATGAAGTACCTCCATCCCCCAACATCCCCAAGCTCAATTCCAGTTTCCTCACATACACTTTTTTTTTTTTTTTTTTTTTTTTTTTTTTTTTTTTTTGAGACAGAGTCTCGCTCTGTCACCCAGGCTGGAATGCTGTGCAATGGTGCAACCTCAGCTCACTGCAACCTCCACCTCCCAGGTTCAAGCGATTCTCCTGCCTCAGCATCCTGAGTAGCTGGCATTACAGGCATACACCATCATGCCTGGCTAATTTTTGTATTTTTAGTAGAGATGAGGTTTCATCATGTCGTCCAGGCCTGTCTCAAACTCTCAGCCTCAAGTGATACACTTACCTCAGCCTCCCAAGTGCTAAGATTACAGGTGTGAGCCACCGTGCCCAGCCCCCTCACTTACACTTTTACAGAAGATCTGATCATACCCACTCCGCAGAAGTCAGAATGGCCCCCACGTGGTGTTAAACGGGAGTGAAAACTTGAGTTCAATCAACTGAGGGTGACACAGAAACATTTCCCCCAAAACGCTTTTGGCAGCTCTGCTGATCCATAACCTGGCTCCATTTCAGGACAAGACCTCCACTTAAGCTGCACTGGCTTCCACTAGAGTAAATCACATTAACTCATGGCAAACACAACTGAAGGGCAAAAAGATTCTTTTTAAAATGATTTTTGTCTCTCACTTAACAACACACGCTGGTCTCCCTAGAGCCTGACTCCATTCAGCACCTGTTCCACTGAGCACCCACTGAAAGCTCAGATCATGAGCTGAGATGACCCAGACATCAAGGAGTTTACAATCCAGGGGAAGAACAGACCTGAATACAAGTGATGACAATACAAGACAGAGTCAAAGAGCCCAACTTGAAGTATCAGCAGAATAGCACCAAAGACTAGTTCCCAACCCAGCTCCCAGCGCCAGAGCCAGAGCCAGGCTGGCTGCATGAGATCAGCTGGGAGCTTTTGCAAACCTAGGTCCTAGCTGAGACCCTAATCATCAGACTGGCAGTCACTGGGAGTGAGCTCCAGGAACTGGTGTATTTAATAAGCACCCACACACACATGATTCTGATGTTCCTAAGGGTTGTAGAAACATGGAACTATAGAAAACACTAAAAAAAAAAAAAAGGCACTAAAAGAAACCTATAAATATTCACTACCATTCCAGGCATCATGAGGACACTCCACGTGCACTATTTACAATACTTTCAATAACTTGCAAGGGAAGCATTCATTCATGTCGATGGGTTTTATCGGGATCAGAGCCAGCCCTGGGATTGTTTGAACCTGCGCTGAAAGTCACCCCCTCCTCCCCACAGGAGGGGGCTAACATTAAGGAGGAGGGGCCAGAAAGGAAATGGAGTGTCCTTTTATTATGAGACCACAGTGAGAGAGTTTATTTTTTTTTTTCCAGAGTCTCGTTCTTGCCACCCAGGCTGGCGTCCAGTGGTGCAGTCTCAGCTCACTGCAACTTCTGCCTCGCGGGTTCAAGTGATTCTCCTGCCTCAGCCTCCAGAGTAGCTGGGACTATAGGCACCCGCTGCCACACCTGGCTAATTTTTGTATTTTTAATAGAGACAGGGTTTCACCATGTTAGTCAGGATGGTCTTGATCTCTTGCCCTCATGTTCCACCTACCTTGGCCTCCCAAAGTGCTGGGATTACAGATGTGAGCCACCACGCCTAGCCTCAGGCTTTCAAGTAAAGCCACAATGGACCACAGAGGTTAGACATCAGGGCTAACATGGAATCTCTGTCATTAAATCTTGAGATCTTATTATCTTTGCTCAAAGAAAAAAATAATCACAATTGACATTTTGAGGACAAGACATCTGAATGTAAACTTGATCTTAGAGGATATTAAGGAATTACTGGTAATTTGATTAGGTATGACAATGATCATATAAAAAATGCCCTCATGTTTTTAGAGGGAAAGTAAATTACATAGGGGTGAATATCAGGATGTAATTACATAACTACTGTAAACTATTTTTTAAATACTTCAGAAAAACAAATGGAGCAAACATTGCAAATGTTAATAGTTTTTAAACCTATGTGATGGGTATATGATAGCTCATTAAACTAGTCTCTCTACTTTTATGTATATTGAAAATTTTTCATAATGAATAAAAAACCTGGCCGGGCGCGGTGGCTCACGCCTGTAATCCCAGCACTTTGGGAGGCCGAGGCGGGCGGATCACGAGGTCAGGAGATCGAGACCATCCCGGCTAAAACGGTGAAACCCCGTCTCTACTAAAAATACAAAAAATTAGCCGGGCGTAGTGGCGGGCGCCTGCAGTCCCAGCTACTTGGGAGGCTGAGGCAGGAGAATGGCGTGAACCCGGGAGGCGGAGCTTGCAGTGAGCCGAGATCCCGCCACTGCACTCCAGCCTGAGCGACAGAGCGAGACTCCGTCTCAAAAAAAAAAAAATAAAAAAAAATAAAAAAAAAAAAAAAAAAAAAAAAACCTTGGCCAGGCACAGCAGCTCATGCCTGTAATCTCAGTACTTTGGGAGGCCGAGGTGGATGGAGGACTGCTTGAGCCCAGGAGTTTGAGACCAGCCTAGGCAACATGGTGAATCCTCATCTCTACAAAAAATAGACAAATTAGTCAGGCATGGTGGTGTGCACCTGCAGTCCCAGCTACTCAGGAGGCTGAGGAGGAGGATCACCTGAGCCCAGAAGGTCAAGGCTGCAGTGAGCAAGGTCATGACACTGCACTCCAGCCTGGGAGACAGACCCTGTCTCAAACAAACAAGCAAACCAAAACCCTCTTGATCCCATTTCCCAAAAAAATGATTTTTTTGAGATCTTACCATCTCCTGGCTTGGTGCAGAGTACAGGAAATCAAGACAACGTACAGCACACAAGGAATAGGGAGGGAGGGAAGCATGGGGGAGGCTGACACCGTGGACTCTCCCAGCTCAGTCGACCCATGCGCCTTGTTTCATGGAAGAAAGGAATGGAAGATGAATCATGCCTTCAGCACACAGTGATCTTCCTCACTAGTAAATGTGCCTCCAGAAGTGTCCAAGAACTCAGTGCCAGAGCCAGGCTGGCTGCATGAGAATCACCTGCGAGCTTTTGCAAACATAGGCCCCTACTGGGCCCAAATGTATTCGTCTCTGAGAGGAGGAGAGAGGCAGAACAAGGAAAAGGATGGGAAGAAACCAGCCTTGTGCACAGGAGGATGCTGGGATTCCTCCTGCACATTTAGCGCAATGCAGCCTATTTTACAAGGTCACAGAAGCTCAGAGAGGTAAACCTGCCCAGGTTCTCATAGCTTTTAACTGGCAAAACCCACCCAAATCTCTGTCTCTAGAGATGTTTCCACTTGCTTCAACTCTGGAGCTGTCTTAGTTGTAAAGACGACAGATTCCACTCATCACTCGCTTTTGTTTGCAGATATTGCCTAAGGTCCCTTGTGAATATTTAGGTCAGGGCTGTTTTTTTGAGTATTTTGTTTGTTTGTTTGTTTCTTGTTTTTTTTACAAAGCAATCTTGTGGAAA
This sequence comes from Homo sapiens, assembly GCF_000001405.40. Lineage (NCBI taxonomy): Eukaryota > Metazoa > Chordata > Mammalia > Primates > Hominidae > Homo > Homo sapiens. The sequence continues at coordinate 5,838,321 of NW_018654717.1, forward strand.
GAACCCAAAGTGGCTCCCCCATTTAAGACCCTGTAAACAGAGAGACGAGAGTCTGGATTCCTGATCTGGTTTCCACACCTTCCTTAGATTTCCCTGTGTGTAAAATCCAACAACAATTTTTGACAAATTGCCTCCCTTAGGGGAGAGATGGAGGAAGTGTTAACTTTGCTTTTTTTTTTTTTTTTTTTTTTCTGTTTTCAGACAGAGCCTTGCTCTGTCGCCCAGGCTGGAGCGTAGTGGTGCCACCATCTCGGCTCACTGCAACCTCTGCCTCCTGAGTTCAAATGATTCTTGTGCCTCAGCCTCCCGAGTAGCTGGGACTACAGGTAGACGCCACCACACCTGGCAAATTTTTGTATTTTTAGTAGAGATGGGGTTTCACATATTGGCCAGGCTGGTATCGAACTCCTGGCCTCAAGTGATCCACCCCCCTCAGCCTCTCAAAGTGCTAGGATTACAGGCATGAGCCACCATGCCCAGCCACTTTGCTATTTTTTTTTAACACACAGCTTCGAGGTCCAGTATGATTTCACAGATTAGGAAACATCACAGGCAAAGAAGAACACTTTGCATTCAAATAGCAGAATGTTTTCATTTTCAAAGAGCTCTTACCTGCCATCTAATCTTGTCTTCCTAGCAGTCCTGGGAGAGAAGCAGATGTGGTTTCCAATCCCACTTTCCAGAAGAGGAGACTGAGGCAGAGGACATGTGAGGACAGGTGAAGGTCATGATCATTGTCAGCCCCCTGCCCCAGCTGGACATTCCCAGATCTGGTGGACTTCCAGCCAGAGGAGACAGAAGGACTGGATCACTCAACTCTGCCATGGGTGCCAGGACCCAATTTTTCCCTGGCTAACTCGGTCACCTCCTGTCTGGGATCTCCAACTACTACCCATCCCACAAGTCTCAGCTAAAACAGCAATTCAACGGGGAACTTTTTTCTGAGGCTCCAAGATTGGGCCAGGCCCTCTCCATGGCTCTCTGCCCTTCCCCTACTGCAGAACGTAGCACCTGTATGTCACTACTGGTTCAAACATGTGTCTTTCGTATGCTCTCCACGTTATCTGCAGCATCTGCCAAGAATAATAATGAATGGTAAAACCTAATCTCTATTGAGTGTCGATGATGCACTTTTAATGTGACATCTTATTTAATCCTCACTATATCTGCAAGAGTAGAAGCTATTAATAGCCAATTTTCAGATAAGAAAATCAAAGCACGGTTTCTATAACTTACCCAAGCAGCTAGCTAGGAGGCTGCTCAATTTGAGCCCAGGGAATCAGATTCCAGAAACCATGTTCTCAATTACTAGAACAGATACCTCCCCAGAATCTAGTAGGTGGTTAATGAGTCTTTGTGGAATAAATGAACAGAAGGACAAGCAGTGGATGGATACATAGGTGGGTAGGTGGATAGATGGGTGGATGGAAAGATGGGTGGGTGGGCAGATGGATGAATGAATGGATGGTTGACTCGGTGAAGGGATGGCTGAGTGGGTGGAGAAATGGATGAGTGGGTGAGGGGGTGGAGGGATAGATAAATGGATGGACCGGTGGGTGGACAGATGGGTAGATGAGTGAATAGGTGGATAGAGGCATGGGTGAGTGGATGGATAGATGGGTTGGTGGGTGGGTAGGTGGATGATAGCTGGGTGCATAAGAGAGTGGGTTGGATGGATAGATGGGTGGGTGGGTGGATAGATAGGTAGGTGGGTGGATGGATGTATGCGTGTCTGGATGGATGGATGGATGGATGGATGCATGGATGGATGCATGGATGGATGGAATGGTGGATGGATGGATGGACAGATGAACAAATGGACTTGAGCATTTATTCAGGGTCCTCCAAAGAATTGAGTGATTTCCTAGGGTGTGTCATCACCTGCAGGTAGGTGGGCAAGGCGGCTTACCTCTGTAATACTCATGATTATGGGTAGTGCTCAGCCTTAGTCGCCACTCTCAGAACACTTTATTGACTAGGAAAGTCAGAACTGGCACTGACAACTAATGCAAATTACAGCTATAACTAACAGAAGATGTTGAGTGATGACAGCTGGGCAACCAATAATCAATAACTTGGCTGTGCCATGTTGCTGCCATGCTGGACAGGTAGAGCCACGGGTTCCTTGATCCCTCCATCATATTGAGGATGCTTATCAAGACTTCCCCAACCATGGGGACAGGGATCTTATCAAATGCTTGCAGTTCACCCCAAAAGGCTCACCCTCTTCGTTCCACCTGCACATGACCTTCAGCTCAAAGACATTTCCAGTCCTCCAGGTCAGCCCTTCTTCCAGCCTTTGAATTAACCCTGATGACTGCCTGCCCATTACGTGTCTTCACCATTCATCACACAGCCTTTTCCAAGGCTTTCCTTCAGTCCAGCCCTCACTAAACGCTGGAACTGTTGTTGACAAAATCCAGAACAAGCTGTCTGGGGGATAAAGGTGGGAAGCAGGCTGTAGTAATGGGGAAAAATTCTAAGCAATCTCGAACACAGAAAAGAAACTGAACAGATAAGAGAGAGGCAGTCAAGAGAAGAAGTGTTAATTTTGCATAACTGAAGCTGAGGAAGATCGGGGGGCATGGCAGACCACAAGATAAATATGATATAGACTCCTTTTTAAAAAAGTATAAACACCCACCCTTTCCTACTGAGAACTGTGCTTCAAATATTGCTAAGGTCTTTACTAAAGGCGAGTCAGAAACACGGGGTATTTTATGCAATACAGTAAGAAGGCCCATAGGCAAGCATGTTCCTGACACCACCTTCTAGGATAACCCCTGGGATTCTGGTTACACCTGTCCTAAAGTTGTCTCTCACTCCTGCTGTTGGAGGACTACCATGAGAGAAGAACCACAGTGAAGTGGTTAAGAGTGTGCACCCAGCGACCAGCCAGATGGCTTCTAACCATCACTATCTAATACTGAGCAAGTTACATAATGTCCCTGAGCCTCAACTTTCTCATCTGTAAAATGGGTATGCCGTCATTCATTAATCAAATTCTAGGTAAGCATATACTAAACATCAGAGACACAAATGAGAATCAGGAACAGGCATGGCCCTGGCCATCATGGTGACCACAGTCTTGAAGGGGAAGGATGACACGCACAGAAATAGGAAGCCATAGCTGAGCTCATGACATCTGGTGTCATGAAAGTAGTTAACAGGGGGTTGCTGTGACTGAGTCAGTGTGGCCAGGTGTCCCTGAGGATGTAGTGACTCCACTGTCAGATGAGACCATGATCAGGTGAACAGGTAGGGAGAGGGAAAATCGTTCCAGGCAGAAAAAGCAGGATGTGCAAAGGCCCCGTCGCAGGAAAAGAGCAAAGGAAGTGCAAGAGCCTGAAAGAGGCCAGAAAGAACAAGTGAACATGTGGATAATCACAGCACCCACCTCAAACAGGACTTGCAAGAAACTGAGACACTGTCTGTAACAGATTCAGCAATGACTAAATAGAAACTATCTCCTAAAAGCACAGGATGAAGCTCCTTGGTGGTATTTCCCATGTGAGGCTGCCATGGACTCAGAGGCCAAGTTCAACCTGCCTGTAGACAACCTCCAAGCCATACAGCCTCAGGCTCAGGATACCCAGGACAGAGTCCTGGATGCTTGAAGTCACGATAAGTATCCAGAATGACACAGAATTCCGGCCAGGCATGGTGGCTCACATCTGTAATCCCAGCACTTTGGGAGGCCGAGGTAGATCACCTGAGGTCAGGAGTTCGAGACCAGCCTGGCCAACATGGTGAAACTCCCTCTCTACTAAAAATACAAAAAAATTAGCCAGGTATGGTTGTGGGTGCCTGTAGTCCCAGCTACTCAGGAGGCTGAGGCAGGAGAATCGCTTGAACCAGGGAGGCAGAGACTGCAGTGAACCGAGATTGCACTATTGCACTCCAGCCTGGGCAGCAAAAGTGAAACTCCGTCTCAAAAAGAAAGAAAAAAAAAAAGAATGACACAGAATTTGCTAAAGGGGGAGAAAGGGCTTTCTTCCAAAGCCCTTTCAGATGAAAATTAAGAAGCTCTTTGCAAGCACCTCAGAGGAGAATCCCTCACCCTGATGAATCAGGCACAGGGGCGGATCCAAGACAACTGGCTGCGTGCATGTGAACAAGCCTATGGTGGAAATGCAGTGCTTTATTTGTTTGTGGTGGTTTAATCACCAGGAGGGAGAAGCTTCTAAAGCAGCATTCAGAGGTGGCTGTTGCCTGGGTTTTCTGGAAGGGGGAGGCGGTGAAGATGAGGGCTTCCATTTCATCTGCAGGCCCCGTGCAGAAGGAGCTGGGGAAAGCTTTGCAGCCATCTGCACACTGTTTGCCATCTTGTCTGGCTGGGCAGCCGAGCTCAAGATGGGGGCGGATGGGATAGCTCTTGCCACCGTATTTGGACAGAGATGGCAGGGAAGTCAGCCCCCATGAAGAAGACAGGAGCACACAGGTGCTGGGCAGTGCTGCCTAGGCCCCTGGGCTGAGGTGTCCAACCCCACAGCCTCTAGGTGCCACTAAAGCAGCCCGAGAGGATCTTCTCTGTCCATCTCCATCCTGGCACCTACAGACACTTGGAGAGAGTCCTTCACATGGGAACTCACAAATGCACACTGATAACCCCCACACGGAACTCTCATACGTAGCAAGTGAAAAGACAGGATGCCAGTTTAACTTGAATTTCAGATAAACAACAAATCATTTTTTAGGGTAAGCAGGTCCCAAATATTGCATGGGATATATTTGCACCAAAAAAAAAAAAAAGGTTAATGAGAAATTCAGGTTTAATTGGACTTCCTGTATTTTACCTGGCAAGCCTAACCCTGCATAAACACAACCTCGAGCTTGAAACTCACAGAAAAGCCACGGCCGTGCTCACACACGTGCACAAACCCATATGCCTTACAGAGTCAAGGGCTGTGATGAGGGTCCCCACCCTTGCACATTTCCCTGTCCTCTGTCTGGGCTCAGAGTAAACAGAGGGTCACCTGGCATCCAGTTCTAAGCTGGGCTTGGAGGTGTCCTACTGAAGCAGGATGCTGACCTGCACTTCCCCAGGTCAGCTGGGACTGCAGCCAGGCCTAGCTTCCAGTCTCGGGCCTAGAACACACAGCACAGCCCCAGACCTTGGCAAGAAGGCTTCATCTCAAAAGCCACTAGTGCAGGAACTATTAGAAGCCCCACTTCTTTCCTCTGTTTCTGCTGCCATTGCCCCAGTCTCTGACCCTGACACTCAATCACTCTATAAACACAGCAGGTACTAGGGGTGGCTCTGGGCTCGGCACTAAAGACAATGCCCCTGGTAAAGCCACAGTCTAGCAATGACAGTCAACCACCTATCAGCAACAGCCCTGCCCCACACGTGCTGACTGCGCACAAGGCCGGCACTGTGAACGTGCTCTCAACAGTGATCTCACTGAACCCTCATGGCAGCTCTAGGATGCAGACAGTAGCATCACATTATCCCCATTTTACTTTTGAGGAAACTGAGGCCTGAAGGCGGCAAATGCAGGCCTCGAGATTTGCAGTAACATTGCCAGGAATGTTTGAGAAAGCAAACTTCTCCAGAGTGAGGCAGTCTGCCAGAGCTCAGAAGCCAGAGTCCCTGTTAGCAGGGGCTGGGGGGACTGTGGGGTGGGGGCAGACAAGCGGGTAGGGGCTGGACCCCCCAGGACACCAGGGTGCAGACTGGTGTGAGTAAAAGAAAGAGAGGCGGTCGTGCCATCATCTGCAGAAGATGATGTCTACAGAGGACAGTACCATGTGAGCCCTTGGGGAGCTGGATGACTGGATGGAATTTTGCACAGGATGCAAATTAAGCACAGATACCCCTCTGACCTAGACAGCCCACCTCCAGGAACATCTCACAGAAATGCAGACACAGCACCAAGTGATGTGTGTAAGGAAATTCATCAGAACACCGTCTGTGATTGGGAAAAGGCGGAAACCATCCAAAGAAGTATCGGTGCAGGGCTGGTTAAACGAAGCAAGGTGCATCCACACGTCAGAATAACTGCTGGGAAAAGAAGGTGGTTCCCAGGTTCCAACGTGAGACAATGTCAAAGACATGCTGCCTGAAAAGCAGGCTTTCCAAAGAATAAATACGGCATTATTCCATTTTACTTTTTAAAAAAGTTACAATAAACACTTATGTGCAAATACATGTGCTTGCGTGCACAGAGGAAAAAGGTGTGGACAGGAACAGAAAACCAAACTCTGCGGGTTCTCACTCATAAGTGGGAGTTGAACAATGAGAACACATGGACACAGGGAGGGGAACATCACACACCGGGGCCTGTCGGGGGTGGGGGACAAGGCGAGGGGGAGCGTTAGGTCAAATACCTAATGCATGCGGGGCTTAAAACAAAGATGACGGGTTGATAGGTGCAGCAAACCACCATGGCACATGTATATCTATGTAACAAAACTGCACGTTCTGCACATGTATCTCAGAACGTAGAATAAAAAGTAAACAGAAATCAAAGAAAAAGCTGTGGAGAGGTATACCCCAACCCTTCCCAGTGTTACCTCTGAGAAGCAAGATCAAGAAAAGCAAGTCAAGAGGATGTTTAGTTTTTTGTTTTCTATATAATTTTTTTTTTTTTTTGGAAACATAGTCTCCCTCTATTGCCCAGTCTGGAGTCCAGGGACACAATCTCGGCCCACTGCAACCTCCTCCTCACTGCAACCTCCTCCTCACCGCAACCTCCTCCTCACCGCAACCTCCTCCTCACTGCAACCTGCTCCTCATTGCGGCTTACTCCTTCTGGGTTCCAGTGATTCTCTTGCCTCAGCCTCCCAAATAACTAGGATTACAGGTGCGCACCACCAAGCCTGGCTAACTTTTGTATTTTTTGTAGAGACAGGGTTTCACTATTTTGGCCAAGCTGGTCTCAAACTCCTGGCCCACCCACCTTGGCCTCCAAAAGTGCTGAGATCACAGGTGTGAGCCACCATGCCTGGCCTACATTGCTTGAATTCTCAGACCACATGGACCCTCTCATCTGGTCCAATTGCAAGAGTCCAAGGCAGGAAAGGCAGAAGGCAGGGGCTTACCCCTCCGTCAGGACAACATAGAACAGAGTCAAAAAAGAAAAACATGAATGGATCAGTCAAAGGGCCGTTCACATGCCCTCCCAGGCACCTACACCTTGCAGCTTAAGCCAACAAGCTTTCAAGCCACAGAGTCTTCCTTCCTAGAGACTAGCAAGGACACAAGCCCTGGCCAGGCCCCTTCAGGAGGATGGTCTGAGGTATAAGGTGGGGTGCACAGTCAGGGGTAGCAGGAGGAAAGGGGGACACGAAGCCAAGGAAACCAGGGCATCCCATGCTTCCTGAAGGCCACCAGAACAGGGCACCACACAGAGCCCCTGTGTACCTCTTTCTACAACAGCCTGAACACAAGGAAAAGGAAAACAAGGAAAATACACAAAGCCCAGCCTCACCTGGAGCAGGTTAAATAAAGGTGCTTGACTTCATGTCCTTTGGAATTGGAAATCCAAGCTTCCTCTTCTGTGCCTTTAAGGTCCTGGCCGCTGACCCACAGCTCCCTTCTCTTCCCTCCTCCTTTTGTCCTGACTTTTTTTTTTTTTTTGAGACGGAATCTTGCTCTGTTGCCCAGGCTGGAGTACAGTGGCACAATCTCAGCTCACTGCAACCTCCACCTTCCGGGTTCAAGCAATTCTCATGGCTCAGCTTCCCGAGTAGCTGGTATTATAGGTGTCACCATGTCCGGCTAATTATTGTATTTTTAGTAGAGACAGGTTTTCACCATGTAGGCCAGGCTAGTCTCAAACTCCTGGCCTCAGGCCATCCGCCCACCTCGGCCTCCCAAAGTGCTGGGATTACAGGTGTGAGCCACCATGCCCGGCCCTCTTGTCCTAACTCTGCCATCTCTTTGCAGTCTCCCCTGAGCAGCTTTTCCTGGGCCCGCACTGCCCCCCTCCAGAGCTGCACTCTCAAACCACCCCCAATGCCCCCTGGCCCTGGCTCCTGCCCCGGGGCTCTGATCCTCAGCTAGTGAGGTCTAGAGGGTCAGAGGGAGCCAGACTCCCTACAGAAGCTAAGGCGGGAGACCTGTGCTGTGATGTGGGTAATCTGCCCCCTTCCAGCTGGGGCCAAATAGAAGGGGGAAAGGCTGCCCCCAGAATACAGGGCTCTCAGAGGCCCTGGGGATCTGTGCTGGCAGTCAGGAGGACTGTCACCTCAGTGCAGTTGCCTGCAAGGAGGGCTGTGCAGGAAGCTGCATGTTGCTCAGAGAACAAAAAAAGGAAATGAAATGCACCATCTCGTTATTAGCATGAGCTTTTGAGGCAGACACTTAAATATGCGTGCCTAGACATTGTAAAACTTGGGGGAAATGTTAATTTCAATAACGCCAGTTCTTGAGCTTGCAGAAACCATTCTTTTATCTCCCTTCCTAGTCATTTAGGGGCTCCATCACTCAGAGTGGCAGCGCCAAGACAGCCGGCCTCACTGGGTTTTGTAAGCTGTGCAAGGTGAGATCCCAAGCCCTTACCTGGAGACCCATCTTAGGAAAATGTTAGAACAGGGCAACAAGTTGCCATTTCCTCCCTCCTTTCTCTTCCCCATACAAAAATCAGAAAGCACACTAGCCCAGTGCCCAGCCACAGTGATGAGGAAACCCCACTCAAAATCCTGGGTTGTGCTCCTGATACCAAAGATCTGCAAAATTGGGACTCACCTGCTGCAACCCCAGCCCAGACGTGTGTACATTTCAGGGGTGGCTGGACTCATGGCCGCCTGTAACGTCAGGGTGGTACAAAGTCCTCTTAATCTAAGACTGTCGGGGTACAAAGATAAGCATTTTTTTTTCCTTTTTCTTGAGAGCCAGATGGTAAATAGTTCAGCTTTGCAGGCCATAGGTCTCTGTCCCAACTCTCCAACTCTCCATTGTAGCAGGAAAGCAGCCACAGACAATATGCACTGAAATGGGTGTGGCTGTGTTCCAATAAAACTTTATATGTATGAACAGGCAGGGAGCTGGTTCTGGCCTGTGGGCTACAGCCTGCCTCCTCTGCTACAGCGTGATCTCCAAGGACCGATCCGTCTTGTAGACCAGCAGCTGGCACACAGGAGCTGCTCAGATACTTGAAGGAGGAATGGAGAAGGCAAACAGCCCCCAGTATGCAGACGTGAGGGTCTCCCAGCGGCACCATCCTTTGCCATCTCATGCCGAGGGACAAAGACAGAGCAGAGCTCTCCACCAAGGCTGGGTTCTCCTCCAAGGAAATGTGATAACAGGACAGAAAGCATCGTGGAAGGATAGGGGCTTTGGAGTCCCACAAACCACAGTTTGCAAGACCAGGAGCATCCTGCACTTCCTTGCACACATCCTGGGTGGGTGCTGGAGCATCTAGACTTAGAGTGAATCTTCTCCCCCTCCTCCCCCAACTGGCCTCCATTAAACTTCCAGCAACAATGTGGTGTATGTACACAATGGAATACTATTCAGCCTTCAAAAAGAAGGAAATCCTGCCATTTGAGACAACATGGATGAGCCTGCAGGATATTATGTTAAGTGAAATAAGCCAGGCACAGAACAACAAATACCACATTATCTCACTTACATGTGGAATCTAAAAAAGTTGAACTCAGCCAGGCATGGTGGCTCATGCCTGTAATCCCAGCACTTTGGGAAGTTGAGGCTGGTACATTGCTTGAGCACAGCAGTTCGAGACCAGCCTGCATAACATAGCAATAGCCCATCTCTACAAAAAATACAAAAATTATTGGAGCATGGTAGTGCATGCCTGTACTCCCAGATACTCAGGAGGCTGAGGTGGGAGGATTGATTGAACTTGGGACGTCAAGGCTGCAGTGAGCCAAGATCACACCCCTGCACTACAGCCTGGGCAATAGAAGGAGATTGTCTCAAAAAAAAGAAAGAAAAAGAAAAGAAAAAAGTTGAATTCATAGAAGTGTAGTAGAATGATGGTTGCCAGAGTGGGGAAGTGGGCAGATGCCAAAGGACACAGAATGTCATTTTTAGAGAAGAATAAGTTCAGGAGATCCGTGGGACAACATGGTACCTATAGTTAATAACAACATATCATACACTTGGAAATCACTAAGAGAGTAGATTTTTTAAGTGTTCTCACCACAAAAAAATAAGTCTTGGAGGTGATATGTTATTTACCTTGATTTAGCCATTTCATAATGTACACATACTTCAATCACATCATGTTGTATACCCTTTTGTACATAATTTTTGCCAATTCAATAAATTCAACAACTCCAAAAAACAAGACATTCTCTTTACAAAAATAATTATTAAAAATAAAATTCAGAATTCTATTTTATTTATTTATTTATTTTTGAAACAGAGTCTCTCTCTGTCACCCAGGCTGGCTGAAGTACAGTGGTGCGATCTCGGCTGACTGCAACCTCTGTCTCCCAGATTCAAATGATTCTCCTACCTCAGCTTCCCAAGTAGCTGGGATTACAGGTGTATGCCATCACGCCTGGCTAATTTCTGTATTTTAAGTAGAGACAGTTTCGCCATGTTGACCAGGCTGCTCTCGAACTACTGACCTTGGGTGATCTGCCAGCCTCGGCCTCCCAAAGTGCTGGGATTACAAGTGTAAGCCACTGTGCCCGGCCAGAATATAAAAGATGGTTTAATTCAACTAAAACATTAAAACATAGATTATTTCTATAAGTGTTAATTGTTCTAATATGTTTTGGTCAAAATAGTCTCCTTACCTATCCACAATTAAATGGTTAATTGACATTTGATTGGATTTTGATGAAGTTTTCAAATCATGATTGACTTTTCCAATGTATAGTAAAATGTGCTTGAAAATATTTCATAAAAATTAATATTTAAAAATGGTCAGGCATGGTGGCTCATGCCTGTAATCCCAGCACTTTGGGAGGCCAAGGTGGGCCGATCACTTGAAGTCAGAAGTTTGAGACCAGCCTGGCCAAACCTCATCTCTACTAAAAATACAAAAGTTAGTCAGGCATGGTGGCATGCACGTGCATTCCCAGCTACTTGGGAGGCTGAAGCAGGAGAATCGCTTGAACCTGGGAGGTGGGCTCCCCAGGCTTAAAGCAAAACCCCCATCTTGTCTGTCTCCACTCTCATCCCAGGCAATCGCGGTCATTTCCACAGCCTCAACCACTGTCTACCTGGGATGCCTCCCAAGCCCGAGTCTCCAGCCCAAATCTGCCTTCCTAGCCCCAGACCCATCTGTCCTGGCACACATTGCCCCCTGGGTCCCAAGCAACCTCAGCCAATGAGTCCAACGTCAACTTCCTGTCCTTGCCTGACACTAACAGCCCTGAGATCAGACCTGACCATTCACCTCCAGTACCAGATAGGTCCGTCAGTCCTTTGGAACATATCCCACGAACATTCCCCAAACCAGGCACCGGACTCCACACATCAACACCGTCACGTGAGTCACCAGCATCCCTGGCAGGGACCCCTGTCCCAGCCTCCAAATCATCTCCTTCCTGTCCCTTGAGTTCTGTGTCACATTCCAGAGGCCACAAGAAGAAAAATGACAACCTTACTGAAATTAAAAGAATTGAGAAGACATCTCCATATGGTCCAAAGTCTTTCCAACTGAGAAACACATATCAAGATCCAGCCTGCCAACCCTGGGGTTAAATGTTCCTGAAATAATTAAAGCCCAGGGCAACACAGCCCCCATTCCAAAGTACTCCCAACATAGTAAGACTTGCTTCTCTGGATGGGCTCGAAATGTCCAGTGTGTACCCTGCCCCTCTCTGTCGTAGCTAACAGGAATGTGTTTCATGTCTTCTTCCTGCTCGAAGGACCATCCACCAACCTGTGCAGGCAGCACTTTTGGCCAGGGGAGGATGCTAGAACTTCCCACCATTTCCCACTTACGCACTGCATTCCTCAGGAGCCTGCCTCACAAATTACAAGAGCGCCACAGCAGACACAACACGTTCCAGCAGGTGGCCATGTCTTCATGTCAGCTTGAAAGATCATCACCAGGGAAATATCTATATCTCGGCAGAGAGAGCTTCAGCCTGTGTAGTCCAGCTGTGCTCAAATGGAAATCCAGAAACCCAGATGTTGGTCCAAACACCCTGTCTCAGGGAGCTGGCTCTGCAGGTCCCCAGCGTGGGAGTGAACCGGGTGGGCCACCTGCCCTTCCTGCCCACATCCCTGCTTCCTGGAATCCTGGACCCTGAGAACCAGGGGGACATGGTGGGGAACAGGCAAGTCTTGTGCAGAAAGCCAAGATGCCACCCAAATCCACTCTGCAGTCTAGGTGGGTGACATTCTGCTCTGCACCACACCAGTACATGAGGGGATGGAGGATGGAGTCTAGACAACCCAAATGTAGAAAGATATTGCCCAAGTATTTTGTGATTTGTCTGTGTTACAATGCTATGCCCAGCCCAGGGTGGTGGCTCACACATGTGATCTCAGCACCTTGGGAGGCCGAGCTGGGTGGATCACCTTAGGTCAGGAGATTGAGGCCAGCCTGGCCAACATGGTGAAACCACATCTCTACTAAAAATACAAAAATTAGCCAGGTGTGGTGGTGGGCAACTGTACTCCCAGCTACTTGGGAGGCTGAGGCACGAGAATCACTTGAGCCCAGGAGGTGGAGGTTGCAGTGAGCGGAGATCATGCCACTGCACTCCAGGCTGGGCAACAGAGTAAGACTCCATCTTAAAAACAAAATAAAGATAAATAAATGCTATGCCCAGCATTTTCAATGTACTGTCTTATTATCTCAGTAAATCCCATGTAACCTTCCTATGAAAGTGTATCTCATTTATCTCCATTTCATAGATGAGAAACCTGAGGCCCCTGGAGTTGTATTAATTTTCCAAGACTGCATTGCTGATAAAGAGTACAGCAGGGACCCAAGCTTGACACTCTCACCCTCAAACATTTCCACAAGTGTAGACCAATGGCTCTCAACTGGAGTGGTTTGGCTCACGTACAACTCCCTTGCTCCACGGCATTTGAAACCATCTGGAGACATCTGGAGTAGCCATAACTGGGAGGGTAAAATGGTACCTAGAGGATGGAGACCACAGATGCTGCTAACCATCTTACAATACACAGGACGGCCTCCCCACCACCACCACCACCATGAATGGTCTGACCCCAAATGTTGTGACTGTGCCAAAGCGGAGAAACCCAGATTTCTCCTCAGCAAGAAGGAAAATCCCTGCAACGTGGATGCACCTCTGCAGGAATCCCTCTGCAGGAGCCCCAAGATGAGAATAACCTTCCTGATCTGGTTTCAACCCTGGATGCTTTCAACTGGTGCGTCCATCAAGGATTTCAGGGACTCCAGTGAGTTATTATCCTCGAATGCTCGGTTCTGCCTGACAACCCAGAAATCTCTGACAAGATGCCTGGTCTTGGGGAAGGCTCAGCAAGTGGTTGAGGTTGATAACCAAATACCTAGGAGAGACTTTGCTCTCCCTCCAGGAGGAGCTGTGGGTCAGACACACCCTGGGATCATTCACAAGTTGTCAATAAAGGCTTGGGGAGGGCCAGGTTTTCTAGGCCTTCTCAATGGGGTCGGTGTTTGTGGATACACAAGAAGCCTGTGAAACTTCTGATATTGGCAGGAAATCAATGCCCCCCACCCTCCACCTCCCCACATCCCCACTATAAACACATGCCCTGCAGCAGGACTTGCAACACAGGGGCTCCTGGGGTCCCGATTTATCTGCTAAAACATCCTCTAGCCACCACCGAATAAAGAAACCCCTTGCCACCCAACCACAAGAGCACAGCCTGGGAGCCACTCCAAGGGACACCAAGTCACATTAAAACCTCAGCCATCCAGAGCACCAGGCCTGGTGATGAGAAAGAACATTTTATCCTTAAAAGCATCTGAATGCCCATGCTGCTTCTTATAGAGAAAAGTCCAAAATAATCTGATATTAAAGAACGAGGATGGTTTTGGCATTTTTACCAAGCTAGTGGTCTACGCAGACAAAATCTCATAAAAGGGCACTCTGTTCTTCTTGATCCACTCAGACATGGACTGTGAGTGAAGAAACCGGCTCTTGTCCTCAAAGAAATCACTGCTGATCCTCGTACCAGCCTGACACTGCTTCATGGGTTCTTCAGAAAGAGTATTTCCATAGAAACTAAAAAGGAAGAGGAATGTGTCTGGCGGGCATTGTGGGCAGCAGTGGGCTTTGGGCCAAATTTTAAGTTTGAAAATCAAGATTCCCTCTTTTCAAGGGGCCACTGGACTGAGCAGATACAGACACCGTGAAAAGAGGGTGCCATGTTCAGATTCAGGAAACAAGGATGGTTTCTATTCAGTTCCTCCATCATCCTTCAGGTCATGCGATTCCCATTACCCTCTGTGGACCAAACAATTCAGTGGGGTTTCTGTCTTTTAAATATTTCATTATCAACATATCATCCTTTTAGCCTCCAGAAAGCATTTTAACATGGAGATTCTGGCTTAAGACTCTTGTGGGTCTGTCTGTCTCTCTCTCTCTCTCTGTCTTTTCCTTGAAACAGGATCCCACTTTGTCACCCAGGCTGGAGTGCAGTGGCATGATCACAGCTCACTGCAGCCCGACCTTCCAGGCTCTAGCAATCCTCCCACCTCAGCCTCCAAAGTACTTGGGACTACAGGCACACACCACCATACTTGGCTTTTGTTTTGTTTTGTTTTGTTTTGTTTTGTTTTTTGGTAGATATGAGGCTTCACCATGTTGCCCTGGCTCGTGTTAAACTGCTGGGCTCAAGCGATCCCCCCTTCACCCTCTCAAAGTGCTGGGATTATTGGCTTGAGCCACCACGCCCGGCCAAGGACCTTGTCTCTTGTGATGCACCCCAGAACAAAACATCACTGCAAAAACACACTAAGGCATGAGTTTCAGTCCTGAGTCCCATTTATCCGCCATACACTATGTGCCAGGCACAACGCTAAGTGCTTCTATGGACGAGTTTCCCTTAATCTCAGCAGTAACAACCGCAGGCACTGGGGTCTGTAGACCGATCCATTTGCCACTGAAGACAGTAAGGCTCATAGAGGGTAAGTGGCTTGTGCCATGTCAGCCAGCGAAGGAGGGGCAGAACCAGGATCCAAACCCCAGCTGCCTGGCTCCAGACTCGTGTTCCCAAGGTCCCACTACGCTTGGTCACCTTACTGCATTATAGTATCCTGGTCTTTGGCAGAGTCCACGTAAAAGAAGGAGGTAGAGGGAGTGAGAGGGCCTTCACGCAATAAAGTTTCCCGGCGTTACACTGCCACCGTAATTGTGTTCCCGATCAGGACCTCTCCCTTCTTATCCTGTCCGTGATTGGCCCTGGAAAACCTTCCAGAGAACTGTCCTCCTTCTCCTGGGATCTCAGAGAAAATTCACCTGAGTTCAGTGTCCAGGTGACCCAAGCTCTGAATGCAGTAACGAGCACAGGGAGATGAGGATGTCACCATGAGAAAGCCTCCCAGGCAGCATCCGGGAGCAACCCCAAGACTGGGCAGGGTGGGGCTCTGATGCAGCCCACGGCGAGGAGGGCTGCCCGTGCTGCCTAAATGGGTTCAGAATGAAGGCCGCCCTCTCTCCCATGTGGGGCTCATTAACCACGAATCCAATTATTAAGACAAGCTCAGTTAAGTAAATGGTCAAACATAAAAACATGTGGAAGGAACAAAGAGGTCAACCCCATTATCCATCAAAAACCATCAAGGTGGCAGCAGTCACTGAGGGGTACAGCTCTCCAGCTGGCCTTCATCTGCTCTCCAAACTCACGTGCCTCCCCAGTGGAAGGCCAGCAAAGCCACACAGGAAGATTTGGGGTAGGAAAGCAGAAAGTGAACCCCAGGAGGCCAGGCTGGCCACGGAGCACCATCCCACACACACAGGCCCGGTGACTCAGGGGCCCACGTGTGCAGGACACCGGGAGCTCATAGGGACAGCGCCCCAGGGAATGCAAGGAACTTTGCCTCTCTGTCCCTCTCTGTAGGGATGGAAAGAGAACGATTTCTGGGATGGAAGCCATCTGCCTCCTCTCAACTCTGGCTGCCCAACTAGAAAGGGAAAAAAAAAACAGGAAGATGCGGGACAGGTGACGAGCTGGGTGAGCGCCACCAGCTCGCAGCCCAGCAGAGCAGGGCTTGGCCAAGCCTGGCACCAGGGACTTCCCCCCTGCCCCCACCACAGGCCCCTCGCCAGGTGAGAGGCACCGACAGAGTCCCAGACAGATGCCCCAGACAGGATGCCCAGGGCAACCCCCCCCCTTCCCCTGCTGGGGGCCCCCAGGACGCGGGGCTCCCCCTCCCCTTTTGGCCAGCCGCAGAGTCCAGCGGGTATCCCAGCCAGGGACGTCGTGGGAGAATCAGGAAGTCGAAGCCACACAGCCGAGAAGGGGCAGCTGGCGTCTCGGAGGCCGTCACCAGCTGTCACTCCGTGCCGCCGGAGTTGCCGCTCAGTAACCAACTTCAACCCGGAACCGGCCACGGAGCCTCCCGCCGCCTCTACCCCGCGTCCCCGGCACCTCCGCGCCCCCGGACCCCCGCGCCCGCGTCACTTACTCCTCTGCCGTCGCCACCTGTCTGGGTGCCGGTGTCCTCCTTGCCCGGCCGCAGCGCGTCCTCCCCGTCCTCGCAGTCCTCGGGCTGTGCGCTTCCCCCCTCCAGCAACAGCCGCAGCCTCTTCTCTTCAGGAGGGACGTCGTCCTCCTCCCTCCTGGGCCGGCCATCCCTGCCTCGGGGCTTGCCAGTGGCTTCGGAGCTGCCGGAAGGGCTGGCCATGGCTCCAGGGGCTCTGCCTGCACTTGGGGAAAAAGAAGCACCCGGGGCGAGCGTCCTCTCGGCGGAGCTGGGGCGTCTGAGCGCGAGCTTGCTGGGTCCGCGAGGCGCGGAGCTGGGCATCGGGGCGGGCGCGGGCTCCTCCGCGGGCCGCTCCTGGCTCTCTGGCGCCCTCTGCTGGCCTCTCCCGCGCAGCGCGGACACGCCGGGCCCGGGCCTGCGCCGCGCTCACCTGTCCTGGCCCAGGAGGTCGCTGTCCCTTGCCCGTGGCCAGGCCCGCTCTGGCCAGGCCCTGCACCTCCTCCCCGCCCCAGCCAGGTTGCACTCCGATGGTCTCCCTGCCCAAGGAGGAGAGAAGACAAGGGACGCCCCGAGAGGGTAGACATAGGCCACAGCCACCTTGTCTTTGCTCTTACCGTGTGTCTTCCATGATTTGGAGGGGGTGGGAAAACCGAGGCTGCTCAAAACTCGTGGAGAATTCCGCCTGCAGGATGACATGAATGCACCTTCCCATTGCCTACCAACAGATCTTTTTTGAGCATCACTGTGGACCAGGTGTGGTGATGGGGGAGGGGATATTGTGGAGAACATGACAGGCATTGCCTTCACCCAGTGGGGCTCAGCGCTGGGTGGGAAGGCATTGAGAATGGACATTGTCAACTCGGCCAAAGGAGGCCAAGGAGAAGTGCTGGGGGCATGGGAACTGAAAAAGACAGGAGGCTCAGCAGGTCTTGGAACTGGGAAAGTGACAGCAGCAGCGGCTGTTCCAAAGGAAACAACAGCTGAGAGAGGTCTCAGAGAGTTGTTCTCAGCCCAGTGGAGGGTGTTCAGGCAGAGGGAACAGCGTGTGCAAAAGCCCAGAGGCTGGGAAAGAAGCAGAAAGAGGACTGTGGGGATGGAGCGTGGTGGGCAAGGGGAGGAAGGTGTGGTGGGCAGAAAGATTGCCTGGGACCCAGCCGTGCAGGGGCAGAGGAGATAGGGAATCCTTGCAGGCCCCCAGCCGGGGCTCAGGCACAGAGACAGTGCAGGTGGGCAAAGGGAGGAGACGTGGAGAAATATTTTGGAGGCATGCCCTGATGAATGAGCCCAGGATGCACCCTTAGTGTCAGTGTGGAGCTCTTTCCTTGACTGTGTGATGAGCTGAACTCGGGGGTATTTTCTGGACATTGAGGTGCTACACCAAGAGCCCAGGACAGGCTAAGTGAGCACTAGCAGCTCCTGGCCCACCTCAAAAGCAGGAGAGACAGGGGAGACTGGGGAGGCCGGGGCAGAAGGGGAAGCCAGGAAGGTAGGAGAGGCCAGGGAAGCAGAGGAGGCCAGGGAGGCAATGGAGGCAGGAGAGGCTGGGGAGGATGTGTCCTTTCCATGATTCTGCCCTGGATCCTAAGCCCCTGAACTCCCTGAGCTTCCCCACCCCAAGGGCTGGAATCATGTTGCACAATGGTCTCCCCACTAAGCTCCTGATGGCAGCCCCTACCCTGCTGTGCTCCCTATTTCAACCCTAACAGCTCTCACAGTGGGCAGCACATAGTAGGTGCTCAGGAAACACTGGTGGGAGAGCACTCGGGTCTGCTCAGCACCTTCCTCTCTCCTCCAGCTCTCCCCTGTCACGAAATAATTCTGATAACGACACATGGACTTTGAGACCCTCTTCTATTACTTTCCATATGCTAATCCATCTATACCTCACAGCAGCCCTGGGGGTGGGTGCAATGAGGATGCCCATTTTATAGAGGAGGAGACTGAGGTATAAAGAGGGTAAGTGACATACGCACACTACGGGGGCTGGGGCCAAGTGATCAGAACACTCAATCCCCAAAGGCAAGGTGGATGCAGTTATCATAAAAGACAGCAGAGTCAAAGCTGCAACCAGAATAGCCCGACTCGCAGCGACCTATGGTGCCTGCTGATCGTGGCTTTCCTAGAAGTGAAATAGATAAGAAGCCTGCCACATTTCACTTGATCTGTGTTTGCAGAAGAGTTCTAGGTCAAGTGAGCAGAAGTCTAATCTGAATCATAAAAACAGAGTCACAGTCCCCAGTCAATTTCCAGACATAAGCCAGTTCACAGACCTGGACTCCCTTGTCTGAATGGGAAGCCAGGTCCCCTCCAGAAAGGACTCTGCTACACTGCCAAAAATTTATACTGTCAATCTTCCTCCCAACCTGCCCCCAAGGGAATACACAGCCTTTCGCCAGGATGACTGAACAGGAGAAAAGGAACTAATGAGACCTGTGCAGGATCACTGGACACAGGCTCTGAACTGGCACTAGGGCGAGACTAGGGTCTACTAGTCAGAATAGGCATTTTGGAGGTAAGGTGAATGTTGGTGCAAGTTCATGTCATGGTAGATCCATTGGGTCCCCAAATCCATCCTCTGGTTATATACAAAGAGGCAATGTTGAGATTCAAATTCAGGGCAACCAACATAGAGCCTGGGCTCTTACTCATGAAACATTCTGACACTAGTAACCAATTTAAAAGTGCAAACACCTCCTGGGGCTAGCCAGAGTCCCCAAAACAGTCATGTCAATTGGTTCTGTCAAGAATTTCCTCCCACCCCCTGCTGAGAGCCAGTTGCAAGGAGAGACTAGGGAAGGGCATTGGGTAACTTTGTTGCTAAAAGCTCTTCTGGATAAAGACGTATGGGAAAAGAAGCAAATAGAGTTCAGCAGAAGAGGTAAGAAAGTAAGTTTATGTTTGGCCAGGCACGGTGGCTCACGCCTGTAATCCCAGCACTTGGGAAGGCCGAGGCGGGCAGATCACGAGGTCAAGAGATCGGACTATCCTGGCCAACATGGTGAAGCCCCGTCTCTACTAAAAATTCAAAAATTAGATGGGCATGATGGCGCACGCCTGTAGTCCCAGTTACTCAGTAGCCTGAGGAAGGAGAATCACTTGAACCCAGGAGGTGGAGATTGCAGTGAGCGGAGATCATGCCACTGCACTCCAACCTGGGCAACAGAGTAAGACTCTGTCTTAAAAAAAAATTAAAATAAATAAATGCTATGCGCAGCATTTTCCATGTACTGTCTTATTATCTCGGTGAATCCCATATAACCTTCCTATCAAAGTGTATCTCATTTATCTCCATTTTATAGATGAGAAAACTGAGGCCCCTGGAGTAGT
Organism: Homo sapiens; assembly: GCF_000001405.40. Lineage (NCBI taxonomy): Eukaryota > Metazoa > Chordata > Mammalia > Primates > Hominidae > Homo > Homo sapiens. The sequence continues at coordinate 5,858,183 of NW_018654717.1, forward strand.
ATTAATTTTCCAAGACCACATTGCTCATAAAGGGTACAGCAGGGACCCAAGCTCGACACTCTCACCCTCAAACATTTCCACAAGTGTGGACCAATGGCTCTTAACTGGGGTGGTTTTGCTCACGTACCGCTCCCTTGCCCCACATTATTTGAAACCATCTGGAGACGTCTGGGGTAGCCATAGCAGGGAGGGTAGAATGGCACCTAGAGGATGGAGACCACAGATGCTGCTAACCATCCTTCAATACACAGCACAGCCCCACCACCAGCACCACGAATGGTCTCACCACAAATATTCTGACTGTGCCAAAGCTGAGAAACCCAGGTTTCTCCTCAGCAAGAAGGAAAATCCCTGCAACGTGGATGCACCTCTACAGGAGCCCCAGGCTGACAATAACCTTCCTGATCTGGTTTCAACCCTGGATGCTTTTACCAGGTGCGTCCATCAGGGATTTCAGGGACTCCAGTGAGTTATTACCCTCGAATGCTCGGTTCTGCCTGACAACCCAGAAATCTCTGACAAGATGCCTGGTCTTGGGGAAGGCTCAGCAAGTGGTTGAGGTTGACAACCAAATACCTAGGAGAGACTTTTCTCTCCCTCCAGGAGGAGCTGTGGGTCAGACACACCCTGGGATCATTCACAAGTTGTCAATAAAGACTTGGGGAGGGCCAGGTTTTCTAGGCCTTCTCAATGGGGTGGGTGTTTGTGGATACACAAGAAGCCTGTGAAACTTCTGATATTGGCAGGAAATCAATGCACCCCACCCTCCACCCCTCCCCACATCCCCACCATAAACACATGCCCTGCAGGGCAGGACTTGGCACTCAAGGGCTCCTGGGGTCCCGATTTATCTGCTAAAACATCCTCTAGCCACCAACGAATAAAGCAACCCCTTGCCACCCAACCACAAGAGCACAGCCTGGGAGCCACTCTAAGGGACATCCAGTCACATTAAAACCTCAGCCATCCAGAGCACCAGGCCTGGTGATGAGAAAGAACATTTTGTCCTTAAAAGCATCTGAATGCCCATGCTGCTTCTTGCAGAGAAAAGTCCAAAATAATCTGCTATTAAAGAACGAGGATGGTTTTGGCATTTTTACCAAGCTAATGGTCTACACAGACAAAATCTCATAAAAGGGCACTCTGTTCTTCTTGATCCACTCAGACATGGCCTGTGAGTGAAGAAACGGCTCTCCTCCTCAAAGAAATCACTGCTGATTCTCACACCAGCCTGACACTGCTTCATGGGTTCTTCAAAGAGAGTATTCCCATAGGAACTAAAAGGGAAGAGGAATGTGTCTGGCGGGCATTGTGGGCAGCAGTGGGCTTTGGGCCAAATTTTAAGTTTGAAAATCAAGATTGCCTCTTTTTGAGGGGCCGCCGGACTGAGCAGATACAAACACCGTGAAAAGAGGGTGCCATGTTCAGATTCAGGAAACAAGGATGGTTTCTGTTCAGTTCCTCCATCAACCTTCAGGTCATGCGATTCCCATTTCCCTCTGTGGACCAAACAATTCAGTGGGGTTTCTGCCTTTTAAATATTTCATTATCAACATATCATCCTTTTAGCCTCCAGAAAGCATTTTAACATGAAGATTCTGGCTTAAGACTCTTGTGGGTCTGTGTCTCTCTCTCTCTCTATCTCTCTTCCTTGAAACAGAGTCTCACTTTGTCACCCAGGCTGGAGTGCAGTGGCATGATCACAGCTCACTGCAGCCCGACCTTCCAGGCTCTAACAATCCTCCCACCTCAGCCTCCAAAGTCCTTGGGACTACAGGCACACACCACCATACCTGGCTTTATTTTTTATTTTTTTTATTTTTGGTTGATATGAGGCTTCACCACCGTGCCCAGGCTGGTCTTAAACTCCTGGGCTCAAGCGATCCTCCCCTTTCGGCCTCTCAAAGTGCTGGGATTATTGGCTTGAGCCACCATGCCCAGCCAAGAACCTTGTCTCTTGTGATGCACCCCAGAACAAAACATCACTGCAAAAACACACCAAGGCATGAGTTTTAGTCCTAACTCTCATTTATCCACCATACACTATGTGCCAGGCACAATCCTAAGTGCTTCTGTGGATAAGCTTCCCTTAATCTCAGCAGTAAACCCCAGGCAATGGGACCTGTTGACAGATCCATTTGCCACTGAAGACAGTAAGGCTCAGAGAGGGTAAGAGGCTTGTGCCATGTCAGCCAGCTAAGGAGGGGCAGAACCAGGATGCAAACCCCAGCCGCCTGGCTCCAGACTCGCGTTCCCAAGGTCCCACTACACTTGGTCACTCCACTGCATTCTGGTATCCTGGTCTTTGGCAGAGTCCACGTAAAAGGAGGTGGAAGGAGTGAGAGGGACTTCACGCAATAAAGTTTCCTGGTGTTACACTGCCACCGTAATTGTGTTCCCGACCAGGGCCTCTCCCTTCTCATCCTTTCCGTGATCGGCCCTGGAAAACCTTCCAGAGAACTGTCCTCCTTCTCCCGGGATCTCAGAGAAAATTCACCTGAGTTCAGTGTCCAGGTGACCCAAGCTCTGAATGCAGTAACGTGCACGGGGAGATGAGGATGTCACCATGAGCAAGCCTCCCAGACAGCAACCGGGAGCAACCCCAAGACAGGGCAGGGGGGGCTCTGATGCAGCCCGCGGCGAGGAGGGCTGCCCGTGCTGCCTAAATGGGTTCAGAATGAAGGCCGCCCTCCCATCTTCAACCCGGGGTCGGCCACGGAGCCTCCCGCCACCTCTACCCCGTGTCGCAGGCACCCCCGCGCCCCCGGCACCCCCGGACCCCCGCGCCCGCGTCACTTACTCCTTTGCCGTCGCCACCTGTCTGGGTGCCGGTCTCCTCCCTGCCCGGCCGCGGCGCGTCCTCCCCGTCCTCGGGCTGTGCGCTTCCCCCCTCCAGCAACAGCCGCAGCCTCTTCTCTTCGGGAGGGACGTCGTCCTCCTCCCTCCTGGGCCAGCCATCCCTACCTCAGGGCTTGCCAGTGGCTTCGGAGCTGCCGGAAGGGCTGGCCATGACTCCGGGGGCTCTGCCTGCACTTGGGGAAGAAGAAGGACCCAGCGCGAGCGTCCTCTCGGCGGAGCTGGGGAGTCTGAGCGCGGGCTCGTTGGGTCCGCGCGGCGCGGAGCTGGGCATCCGGGCGGCGCGGGCTCTTCGGCGGGCCGCTCCTGGCTCTCTGGCGCCCTCTGCTGGCCTCTCCCGCACACCGCCGCCACGCCGGGCTCGGGCCTGCGCCGCTCTCACCTGTCCTGGCCCAGGAAGTCGCTGTCCCTTGCCCGTGGCCAGGCCCGCTCTGGCCAGGCCCTGCACCTCCTCCCCGCCCCAGCCAGGTTGCACCCCGATAGTCTCCCTGCCGAAGGAGGAGAGAAGAGAAGGGACGCCCGGAGAGGGTGGACATCGGCCACAGCCACCTTGTCTTTGCTCTTACCCTGTTTCTTCCATGATTTGGAGGGGGTGGGAAAACCGAGGCTGCTCAAAACTCGTGGAGAATTCCGCCTGCAGGATGACATGAATGCACCTTCACATTGCCTACCAACAGATCTTTTTTGAGCATCACTGTGGACCAGGCGTGGTGATGGGGGAGGGGATATTGCGGTGGACATGACAGGCATTGCCTTCATCCAGTGGGGCTCAGCGCTGGGTGGGAAGGCATTGAGAATGGACATTGTCAACTCGGCCAAAGGAGGCCAAGGAGAAGTGCTGGGGGCATGGGAACTGAAAAAGACAGGAGGCTCAGCCGGTCTTGGAGCTGGGAGAGGGACAGCAGCAGCGGCTGTTCCAAAGGAAGCAACAGCTGAGAGAGGTCTCAGAGAGTTGTTCTCAGCCCAGTGGAGGGTGTTCAGGCAGAGGGAACAGCGTGTGCAAAAGCCCAGAGGCTGGGAAAGAAGCAGAAAGAGGACTGTGGGGCTGGAGCGTGGTGGGCAAGGGGCGACAGGCGTGGTGGGCGGACAGATTGCCTGGGACCCAGCCGTGCAGGGGCAGAGGAGATAGGGGATCCTTCCAGACCCCCAGCCGGGGCTCAGGCACAGAGACAATGCAGGTGGGCAAAGGGAGGAGACGTGGAGAAATATTGTGGAGGCATGCCCTGATGAATGAGCCCAGGATGCACCCTTAGTGTCAGTGTGGAGCTCCTTCCTTGGTTGTGTGATGAGCTGAACCCGGGGGTATTTTCTGGACATCGAAGTGCTACACCCAGAGTCCAGGACAGGCTAAGTGAGCACCAGCAGCTCCTGGCCCACCTCAGAAGCAGGAAAGACAGGGGAGACTGGGGAGGCCGGGGCAGAAGGGGAAGCCAGGAAGGCAGGAGAGGCCAGGGAAGCAGAGGAGGCCAGGGAGGCAGGGGACGCAGGAGAGGCTGGGGAGGCTGTGTCCTTTCCATGATTCTGCCCAGGATCCTAGGCCCCTGTACTCCCTGAGCTTCCCCACCCCAAGCGCTGGAATCATGTTGCACAATGGTCTCCCCACTAAGCTCCTGATGGCAGCCCCTACCCTGCTGTGCTCCCTATTTCAACCCTAACAGCTCTCACAGTGGACAGCACATAGTAGGTGCTCAGGAAACACTGGTGGGAGAGCACTCGGGTCTGCTCAGCACCTTCCTCTCTCTTCCAGCTCTCCCCTGTCACGAAATAATTCTGATAACGACACATGGGCTTTGAGACCCTCTTCTATTACTTTCCATATGCTAATCCATCTATACCTCACAGCAGCCCTGGGGGTGGGTGCAATGAGGATGCCCATTTTATAGAGGAGGAGATTGAGGTATAAAGAGGGTAAGTGACATAGGCACACTACAGTGGCTGGGGCTAAGTGATCAGAGCACTCAATCCCCAAAGGCAAGGTGGATGCAGTTACCATAAAAGACAGCAGAGTCAAAGCTGCAACCAGAATACCCTGACTCGCAGAGACCTATGGTGCCTGCTGATCGTGGCTTTCCTAGAAGTGAAATAGATAAGAAGCCTGCCACATTTTTACGTGATCTGTGTTTGCAGAAGAGTTCTAGGTCAGGTGAGCAGAAGTCTAATCTGAATCATAAAAACAGTGTCACAGACCCCATTCAATTCCCTGCCATAAGCCAGTTCACAGACCCGGAGTCCCTTGTCTGAATGGGAAGCCAGGTCCCCTCCAGAAAGGACTCTGCTCCACTGCCAAAAATTTATACTGTCAATCTTTCTCCCAGCCTGCCCCCAAGGGAATACACAGCCTTTACCAGGATGACTGAACAGGAGAAAAGGAACTAATGAGACCTGTGCAGGATCACTGGACACAGGCTCTGAACTGGCACTAGGCTGAGACTAGGGTCTACCAGTCAGAATACACATTTTTTAGGTCAGGTGAATGTTGGTCCAAGTTCATGTCATGGTAGATCCATTGGGTCCCCCAATCCATCCTCTGGTTATATACAAAATGGCCATGTTGAGATTTAAATTCAGGGTATCCAACTTAGAGGCTGTGCTCTTACTCATGAAACATTCTGACACTACTAACCAATTTAAAAATGCAAACACCTCCTGGGGCTAGCGAGAGTCCTCCAAACAGTCATGTAAATTGGTTCTGTCAAGGATTTCCTCCTACCCACCCCACCCACCACTGAGAGCCAGTTGCAAGGAGAGACTAGGGAAGGGCATTGGGTAACTTTGTTGCTAAAAGCTCTTCTGGATAAAGAAGAGCTTTACCAGGAAAAAGAAGCAAAATAGAGTTCAGCAGAAGTTGCGAAAAGAAGCAAATAGAGTTCAGCAGAAGAGGTAAGAAAGTAAGTTTATGTTTGCCCAGGCACGGTGGCTCACGCCTGTAATCCTAGCACTTTGGGAAGCCAAGGCGGGCAGATCACGAGGTCAAGAGATCGCACCATCCCGGCCAACATGGTGAAGCCCCGTCTGTACTAAAAATTCAAAAATTAGCTGGTCATGATGGCACACGCCTGTAGTCCCAGGTACTCGGGAGCCTGAGGAAGGAGTATCACTAGAACGCAGGAGGCAGAGGTTGCAGTGGGCCGAGATCATGCCACTGCATTCCAACCCGGTGACAGAACTAGACTCCATCTCATAAAACAAAACAAAACAAACAAAAAAAGTAAGCTTATTTTTAAGCCTGAACAAATGTAATGATTTAGGGGTTCTGCAAACACGGCCCCAATCAGGCTACAAGATGTTGTGGCAGCAATATTTACAGCCAGTCACTCCTGGACGGCTGAGCCACTTTTCAAAACGCCCTTGCACGGCTGTGCAGAGTGGCTGGCTCCACTGGCAGCCGGCAGAGTAATAACTCACACTGTCACCACTGCCCTAAAACCTCTTCGGTAAGCGCTTTGTTTTTTTGAGATGGAGTCTTGCTCTGTCATCCAGGCTGGAGTGCAGTGGCACAATCTCGGCTCACTGCAAGCCCTGCCTCCTGGGTTCATGCCATTCTCCTGCCTCAGCCTCCCAAGTAGCTGGGACTACAGGCACTCGCCACGATGCCCGGCTAATTTTTTGTATTTTCAGTAGAGACGGGGTTTTACCGTGTTAGCCAGCATGGTCTCAATCTCCTGACCTTGTGATCTGCCTGCCTCTGCCTCCAAAGTGCTGGGATTACAGGCGTGAGCCACCGCGCCTGGCCTGGTAAGCACTTTTAATCAATGCAACAGGAATAAACATTTGCTGCAGAGCGGCAATGTGCAGGGAGGAACATGCTTCCACTCAGGATCAGAAAGCAAAACCTCCTGGCTGTTTGCATCTATGCAAGAGCTCACAGGAAAAGCCCTCTGTGTGGCTGCCAGCCTCACACACTCCCCCCAAGGGGTGAGTTTCTCTTTCCATGTTAATCTATGCTCTGACGTGCCATCTGTCAACCACCACACCATTCTCAGTTGACATTTCAAAGCATCTTTGCCCTGAGAATGGTCACCAGCCCTGCCCTGCAAGCCCCCAGGTGACAATGAACTTAAATGAGAGAGAAAACAGGTTTCGGGGTGGATTTCAGTTCAGCATCTTGGAGTCTCTGTGTGGACATGAAATCTGTCTCCCCAGCTGTGGGCTGCATCCTTGTTTGTCATCTGGTTTGGTTCTTGGGGACTTGGAAACTCGTGGGCACCTTTGCAATTTGTCAAGAAGCTGCACGGCCCTTCCAACAAAAGCAAGGAATAGGAGCAGAAGCCCAAGGCTTCAGATCAAGGTGCAATTTAAAGCAGCCTCAGTGTAAAAGCAAACAAGAGCCAGAGGGATGCCTAAGGCAGAGTCTAGACCCCAGGGCAACTATAAGGCAAAGAGAAAGAGAGAGAGAGACAGAGACAGAAAGACAGAGAGAGATGGGGGGACACAGGAGGCACCCAGGCCTCTGGATCAAAATCCCTACAAGAGGGGCCTCCTAAAAATGCAGGAGGCTGAGGTGGGTGCACACAGAAGTTCAAGACTAGCCTGGGCAACATAGCAAGACCGTGTCTTTACAAAAAATACAAAAATTAGCCGGGTGTGGTGGTGTATGTCTGTGGTCCCAGTTACCCAGGAGGCTGAGGTGGGAGGATGGCTTGAGCCCAGGAGGCAGAGCTGCAGTGAGCTGAGATAGCACCACTGCACTCCAGCCTGGGCAACAGAGTGAGACTTCATCTCAAAAAAATTTTAAAATATTTTTAAAAAGGATCGCCCCGGCTACTTGAATGGGTAATAAGAAGGTAAGAGCAGAAGCAAGGAGACCAGCAGGGACATTCTGCAGGTGGGAGTCCACAGTGGCTCACACCAGGCTGGGGCTGAAGACTGGCTGAATTCTGTATATATTTTGATGATGAAGCAACTCACCGACTCTTGAAGAGTGGGCTCTAGGAGATGGTATTTTTAACAAGCTCTCAGAGGATTCTAATGCAGGCTGAAGTTGAAGAACTGGTTTAGGTGAAGCTTCTGTTTCATCCTTGGGGAAGTACCTACTGACTTTTCTCTAAGCCACCTCAAAAGAGGTGCTAGACAAGATGTGCTCCAATGTCTGAACATGTGTGCATAGCTCTAGAGCCAACCTCAGGACACTGAGTCAAAGGTTAGGAGTACAACAGTGAACAACCACTGTCCTCTTTTCCATGAGCTTTGCATTTAATGAGAGAAATAAAAAGCAAAAAAAAAAATCATTTTCAACTCAGAATGGTAAGAGTTACAGTGACAGTATGCCTGGGGCAATGGGAGCACATAGAAGGGGCACCAAATCGGCCAGGTGCAGTTGTTCATGCCTGTAATCCCAGCACTTCGGGAGACCAAGGTGGGTGGATCACTTGAGGCCAGGAGTTTGAAAACAGCCTGGCCAACATGGTGAAATCCTGTCTTTACTAAAAATACAAAAAAATCAGCCAGATGTGGTGGCGGGCACCTGTAATTCCAGATACTCAGAAGGCTGAGGTGGGAGAATTGCTTGAACCCGGGTGGTGGAGATTGCAGTGAGCCAAGATCGCACCACTGCACTCCAGCCTGCATGGTCAGAGCAAGACTCCTTCAAAAAAAACAAAAGAAAGAAAAAAGAAAAAGCCCGGAGGTGGGTGGGCGTGCAATCTATATCAGGTTGTGAGAAATCCTTCTCCACCACAGGACTCCTCAGTTGAAGACTAGAAAATGGTAGGAACTAGCCAGGTCGATAGGAGAGGTGTGGAAGATCATTCCCAGCAGAGGGAAGAGCATGTGCAAAAATCGAGACGTGAGAGGGTGAGGAGCTGAGAGATGTTCATATAATTATAAAAAGTGACTAACATAGAGGTAAGATGGAGCCAAATCTTAAAGGCTCTTTGTCGTGTCTATCCTGTAGACAAAGGGAGACAGTAGATGTTTTTAGACAGGGGAGTAATGATCCACTTTGTGCTAGAACAAGAGCAGTCTGGCTGGAGGAGAGTGGGAGGTGAGTAGACCAGGTAGGAGGCTGCAATACACCAAGTGAGACAAGATGGTTGGCTGGACCAAGGCTGTGGCAGTGAGGATGGAGAGGAGACAGTAGACTAACTTGACTGAGAAAGAGGGAGGAATGAAGGAGGAGGCCCAGGTATTTTGGAAGCTGGGTGGATGGTGGTGTGAATCTGACGTGGTGAGCCCAGGCAGAAGAGGAAATCAGGAGAGGCAAGGTAAGATGAGGTCAATGCAAGACAGACAGCCAAGTGGAGATAACAACTGGGCAGTTGGATTCATCAGCCTGGAGTTATACAGAGAGCTCTGGAATGGAAATAAAGAGGAAAGGACTTTGGGAATAGGTGAATCCTCCCAGAATAATGTGTAGAGAAAGGAGAATAGAACACAGGGGACAGAAAAAGGGAAGAGATTTGTTATTAAAACCAACCATCCATCAGACATCTCCCAATAAAACACTTGTTAGAGGTTTCCTCAGTGTGAGTTATTCAGGACCAGAGCTAAAGACCATATTCCCAATAAAATCACTGGTGGGAAGGTCTTCATGAAAACATTTAATTCTGCTTTTAAAACAACAACAACAACAAAAAGGCTTTAGCTACCGCACAGACCCTGGAGCAATTTTTCGGCAAGAGTCTATCAAACACGAATCTGATCTGACTCAAGGAGGTGTCATATCAAGTGTAAAAATCCAATTCCAATGTCCTTAAAAGCCTTTCTGCCAGGTACAAGACCCTAATCCAATTGAAGTGATTTTCTATTGATTAATAGGCTGGGAATACACAGGTTGTTTGTTTTTGAGATTTCCCTCCCTGTGCCTTCATGGCAGCTGTGAAAGAGTCAAAAGGCTCCTAACTGTCAAAATAAAAATGACACTTGGTCACAGAGGAAACAGATTATAGGTCAATCACATTGATGACTTTTTAACTATGAGAAGCCATTAATCTTACTGAATAAGCAAATCTGTTTACATAACCAGATTTTTATAGGCTACTGGGAATAAAGGTTTTCCTAAGTGGGTGATTTGTACAACGATAGCCTTTGGGTCTCTGATGGAACAGCTCTGATGAGGAAATGTTCCTTTAATTATGTGGAAGGCCAATTACCACGTTATCGCCACATTGTTTTTCAGATTGCATGTAATTTCACCATTTCCATAGCTTCAGCACTATAATTCTGGAGAAAATTCAGGCACCAAGGAGACACCTGAGGCACATTATGCTGGAGACAAAGATGTTTTAGCGAATTCAATTTAAGCTTCAACATTAAAGTTATTTTCTTGAAAAAAAACATATTGCAATAATGAGCTTGTGTATGTCAACTCTATAGTGGAGGTAATAATATCTAGAGAGAGCATGTCCTGTCTCCTCTTTTTAATGCTCATTTGAGTAATACATAATGCTATAGAGAGAACCTTTCTCTAATATGTGCTTCATCTCAGGCTAAGTGTGTTTTGGGCAACTGTGCTTCATGGAAAAAAAAAAAAAGGTAAAGGATCTAATTGGGGAGCCATTCACAAAAGTGTTACCACTTGATTTTTTTTATACTCTGAGATTTCTTATTCCCAGTGCCTACCAGGAAAGGACTTTCTGGAGAAGCTCAGATTAATCACTCCTTATGAGAGGTGACAGTGTGCTGGCAGCCCTCACAGCCCTCATTCGCTCTTGGTGCCTCCTCTGCCTGTGCTCCCACTTTGGCGGAACTTGAGGAGCCCTTCAGCCCGTGGCTGCATGGTGGGAGCCCCTGTCTGGGCTGGCCAAGGTCGGAGCTGGCTCCCTCAGCTTGCAGGGAGGTGTGGAGGGAGAGGCATGAGCCAGAACTGGGGCTACACATGCTGCTTGCCTGCCGGCTGAAGTTCCAGGTGGGCATGGGCTTGGCGGCCCTGCACTAGGAGCTGCTGGCCAGCCTAGCAGGCCCGGGCAGTGAGGGGCTTAGCACCTGGGCCAGCAGCTGCTGTGCTTGACTTCTCGCCGGGCCTTAGCTGCCTCCCCATGGGGCAGGGCTCAGGACCTGCAGCCCGCCATTCCTTAGCCTCCCCCCTCTGTGGGCTCCTGTGCAGCCCGAGCCTCCCCAACAAGCACCTTCCCCTGCTCCACGGTGCCCAGTCCCATCGACCACCCAAGGGCTGAGGAGTGTGGGCGCACAGAGAGGGACTGGCAGGCAGCTCCACCTGCGGCTCCTGTGTGGGATCCACTGGGTGAAGCCAGCTGTGCTCCTGAGTCTGATGGAGACTTGTAGAACCTTTATGTCTAGCTAAGGGATTGTAAATACACCAATCGGCACTCTGTATCTAGCTCAAGGTTTTTAAACACACCAATCAGCACCCTGTGTCTAGCTCAGTGTTTGTGAATGCACCAGTCGACACTCTGTATCTAGCTACTAGGGAGGGGACTTGGAGAACCTTTGTGTGGACACTCTGTATCTAGCTAATCTAGTGGGGATGTGGGGAGCCTTTGTGTCTAGCTCAGGGATTGTAAACGCACCAGTCAGCACCCTCTCGAAACAGACCACTCAGGCTCTCTGTAAAATGGACCAATCAGCAGGATGTGGGTGGGGCCAGGTAAGAGAATAAAAACAGGCTGCCCGAGCCAGCAGTGGCAACCCGCTGGGGTCCCCTTCCACACTGTGGAAGCTTTGTTCTTTTGCTCTTTGCAATAAATCTTGTTGCTCCTCACTCTTTGGGTCCACACTGCCTTTATGAGCTGTAACACTCACTGAGAAGGTCTGCAGCTTCACTCCTGAAGCCAGTGAGACCATGAACCCATCAGGAGAAATGAACAACTCCAGACGTGCAGCCTTAAGAGCTGTAACACTCACTGTGAAGGTCTGCAGCTTCACTCCTGAGCCAGCAAGACCAGGAACCCCACCAGAAGGAAGTAACTGCGAACACATCTGAGCATCAGAAGGAACAAACTCCAGACACGCCACCTTTAAGAACTGTAACACTCACCAGGAGGGTCCGCGGCTTCATTCTTGAAGTCAGTGAGACCAAGAACCCACCAATTCCGGACACACTTACACACTTGGCACTGGGAGGTCTGTATGGAGCAAGTGAGGAAATCAGCAGAGTAAAGATAGAGGGAGAACAACATGATGGGGGAAAGCAAAGTTACTGCCATGTAGGTTTCAATTCTGCCACTCATGACTGAGACCCATGACCTCCTCTCTCTAGGACTCTGTTGTTCTTATCTGTAGAGTGGAGGAATACAAGGGTCTTTTAAAGTATTAACATTTCCTGACCTATCTGTAAAACACTTTCATTCAAACTGATGGGAATCTTGACTACTTTGCCAAGAGGACATAATAATCATCAAGCTGAATGCACCAAACAACATTGCCTGAAACTATTTAAGCAAAAACTGACAAAGTTACACAGGACAGACAAACCTCCTATGAGAGTAAGAACTCTTCAGCACATGCTTAGTGTGTCAAAGACAATGCTGTGTTCACACCATTCCTCTTCCTCTACATGCAGAAAGACTACATTTCCCAGCCTCACTTGCAGTTAGTTTGGAACCATGTGACTGCATTTCCACCAATAGGAATGTAAGAAATCACTTCTGGGCCAAGGTTATCAAAGGCAAGTGTGAGCTATGTTCCCTCTCTCCCTATCCATATGGCTGCAAGTGAAAAACTCTGAGATGGCAGAATTAAAAGATGGAAACCTGCAGAATCTCTGAATCACTGTTGGACAAGGGCCCCCAAGGAGAACCCCTGTCCTGCACCAGACTATACTATGGGTGCCAACCCACTGAGAGTTCAGGGTTTATTCGTCTCAGCAGCAGTCTATTGTTACACTGACTAACATCCTAAGGTTTGAGAGATCTAGCATATTGTTAACTGAAGCTAGATTTCAATTACACTGAGAACCTTATCTATTTAAAAATAAAAACTCTCCTAAAAAAAACAAATAATCCACATTCCTTTTAACCACATGTGGAAAATTTGCAAAAAAAAAAAAAAAAACTGGCCACATATTAGGCCATAAAGAAGTCTCAGCAAAATCCACTATACAATTGACATTGTCCAGACCACATTTTCCTGACCATAATGCAATAAAATTAGAAGTCAACAGCAAGAAGATAGATAAACACAAGCACACATTTGGAAAATTAAAAATATCCTTTCATGAGTTAAATGAAAAATCGCAATAGAAATTACTAGACATTTACAACAGAACGAAAATACAACTTTATATATATATACATATTTACATATATATATACATATTTACATATATATATATATATATATATATGTATTTTTCTTTGTGAGTCTTCCAACTTTGTTCTTCCTTTACAAGGTTATCTGGGAAATTCTGGGTTTCCTGCAAATCCTCATACAGTTTTATGCTGTTTGTCAATTTCTGTGGCTGGGACAAACTTATCGTAGTTCTCATAGACCAGGGTTTGCATCGCTGTCTAGAGCCCGGATCTGCTGCACCATGTCCGTCTCACTGTCCATCAGCTGGGCCAGAGGGCACTCTCTAGGCAGCTTGTCTAGGTAAACTTCTGGGTTGAACTGCGCCCCGTTCAGATCAGTGGGGTCCAGGGGGTCTGGACCCGCGGGGAGTCCCACCGCCTCCCCTTCCGAGAGGCCACTGTAAAGCTTTAGCATCCTGTGCGCCTTCCACCGACACTCCGTGAGCCTCCCACTCGGGCCCTTCTGGGAAGTCCCCAGGTCCACAGCCCGGGCTAGGCCCAGTGACAGCTGCCGCCGCCATAGGTCCAACTGCAGCCCACGGGCGTAATTTTTATATTTTTAAGTTGGCTACATGGAGCTACTTGGCGTTTGCTTTCATCACACCGTTGAGGAAAGAGGTGGTTGCTTATGGTACCCCTGTTTTTACTGCAACCTGTAATGGATGAGAACCTCCCTGTTGCAGAGAGCAAAACACTGAACTAAATTGTGCTGTAACACAGCTCTGTGTTGGCGGATTGGGAGTGATCATGCAAATGCTTGCAAATTTGCACAGTGACAGACACAATCTTTTGGGCAGCTGTTCACTATAGGAAAAGGCAATTGACTAAAAGTCAGTTACTGAGCTATCTCAATACTTTCATTTCATTTTAACTTTTGCAGTAGGGTGCAATTAAAGGAGAGAAAGAAAACAAAGTGATAAGTGTAAGATAATGTACACACATGTGTAAAAGAAAATGACAAGACAGGATGACTATTTGTCTCTTGGGTAGCTCCTTGGGCTCCATGTCTCCTTCCTCAGAGAACCTCGTTTTCCTTTGTCCAGATTTGTTAGGGTGGATAATCCAGGGGCCTGCTCCCCCATGATAGAAGCCAAAGACGTCCCTGCAGGCGCCTCCCGCTGCATCCTTTTCTGCACTGCCCACATGGACACAACTCAGCCGATTAGACTTGTTCTCAGAACTTTAGTCTTGAGCAAAGAGATTAAAGGGTGAAGTGACTGAAGGTATGCCCTTCCAAAGTGGTACGTGAGCTAATGGCTAAAGTTTGCCAAGCCCATCCAATCACTTTTTTTCGTAATTTTTATATATTTATTTTTTTGAGAGAGATTCTTGCTCTGTTGCCCAGGCTGGAGTGCAGTGGCGTGATCTCGATTCACTGCCACCTCTGTCTCCCGGCTTCAAAGGAGTCTCCTGTCTCAGCCTCCCCAGTAGCTGGGATTACAGGCATACGCCACCATGCATGGCTAATTTTTTTTGTGTGTGTGTATTTTTAGTAGAGACAGGGTTTCACCATGTTGGCCAGGCTGGTCTTGAACTCCTGACCTTGTGATTCGCCTGCCTCAGCCTCCCAAAGGGCTGGGATTACACGCATGAGCCACCGCGCCCAGCTTCAAAAAGTTTTAAGCAAAGCTCAGAGGTCTTAACCACAGGCACATCGGAGGATCATGTTTGAAACACTTTCCAGCTTCCTCAATAGGAATGGAAACCAAACTCCGAATTGATGACTCCTTTGAGGAAGTCGAGAGCTGTAAGGAAAGCCAGTAACAGGGGCAAGGGAGAGATGCGTCCCGAATGATCCTGTGCCAATTCTTTCTGGAATCCTTGATGTGATCTCAGCTGCCCTTTCTATACATGACACAGTGATTGTGGCACCCACTGGTCTAGCTGTGGTCTCCAAGGAACCCCCAAAGGGAAGGGCTCAGGGAGCAGGGGCATCAGCCTGAGTGACAAGGATTTGAGAGGGCAGGTTGGATGCAGGGAGAGGACTGGCCAAATGCCATGTGTCTGGACTTAGACTGCCTGGTTCAAATTGGACTTCGCCCTTTTTGACTTCGTGATCTGGTACAAGCTACATGAAAATCCGTTGCGCCTTTTCTAGTCTGTAAAATCATCCTGAAATGTGCACTAATAACGTGGAGACTATGCAGATGAAATGAAACAAGCTGCATAGAGCACAGAGCTCAGAGTCTGGCCTTTATGAAGCCCTCAGTAAGGGTTCATGATGCCATGGTGTCTGTCGTCATCCTCTTTATCCTCATCATCACCTTCATAATCTCTTTGTTGTTCTTAGGGAATAGTTTAGAGGGACTGATCCCCTGCTATCATGGGTGAGATGTCTATGAAAAGGACAACCAGTGGGGGAGGAAAGCAAAATTTTGAATAAGATTTCTGAGACCCCCACCACAACCAAGAACAGAAACGCCACAGTCTGCTGAGCATAGAGTTGCATATTGGTCTCATCCCATCCACCCATCACACTCTCCTGTTTGTCCTGAGGATGAGGAAACAAACAAGGCTCCCGACCATCCCTCAGTATTCACTTGAAGGGGTGACCTGCCCCTCCACACCTATGGGTATTTCTAGTCATGTGGGACGAGAGACTGAGAAAAGAAATAAGACACAGAGACAAAGTACAGAGAAACAACAGTGAGCCCAGGGGACTGGCGCTCAGCATACCAAGGACCTGCACTGGCACTTGCCTCTGAGTTCCCTCATTTTTATTGATTATTATTTTTATTATTTTAGCAAAAAGGAATGTAGTAGGAGGGCAGGGTGATAATAAGGAGGTCAGCAACGAGCATGAGAACAATAGAATCTATGTCATAATGAAGTTCACGGGAAGGTACTATGACTGGACGTGTACGTAAGCCAGATTTATGTTTCTCTCCACCCAAACATCTCAGTGGAGTAAAGAATAAAAAGGCAGCATTGCTGCAAACACGTCTCGCCTCTCACCATAGGGCGGTTTTTCTCCCATCTCAGAACTGAACAAATGTACAATCAGGTTTTATATCGAGACATTCAGTTCCCAGCTGCAGGCAGGAGACAGCGGCCTTCCTCTCTCTCAACTGCAAGAGTCTTTCCTCTTTGACTAATCCACCTCTGCACAGACCATTTACGGGGGTCAGGCTGGAGGACAGTCATTTCTTTCTCCTCCCATGAGGCCACTTATCAGACTATCACATGGGGAGAAACCTTGGACAATAAGCCTCTTTCAAGGGCAGAGGTCCCTGCGACTTTCCACAGTGTATCTTGCCCCTGGTTTATTGAGACTACAGAATGACGATGACTTTTACCAAGTATACTGCTTGGAAACATCTTGTTAACAAGGCACGTCCTGCACAGCCCTAGATCCCTTAAACCTTGATTTCATACAACACATGCTTTTGTGAGCTTCAGGTTGGTTCAAAGTGGTTGGTTCAAAGTGACTGGGGCAAAGCTACAGATTAACAACATCTCAGCAAAGCAACTGTTGAAAGTACAGGTCTTTCTCAAAATGGAGTCTCTTATGTCTTTCCTTTCTCCATAGACACAGTAAGTGTCTGATCTCACTTTCTTTTGCCTACATTCACTGAACTGCCCTTCCCCTCTGCTGGGCCATGACCACGGAGAACAGGTCCACTGTCCTCCCTGCGTGGTGCACATTGGAGGCTCAGACTCCGTCCTCAAGGCTGGCAAGAAGACAGGGTGAGACATCAGCCCCTTGATACAGGTGACAGGAGTGGAGCCCACAGGACTGCAACCTCACACTGCAGGGCTGGAGGGACAGACTATTTACTATTCTGTGGCCTGGGAGGCTCAAGGCACAGAGCTCCTCATTAGCCAAAGTCGCCCAAGTTCCCCAACCTCTAAGGATTTCCTCATAATATTGCAAGAAGAAGAAGAGAAAAGTGAGTGTCCATAGAAGCTTTGGGGCTCTTCCTCTAATCAGGAGAAAGCTGGTGGGTATTCTTCGCTTCTTTCTTTTCTTTTTAAACATCCAACTGCTTCAATTTTTGTCTTTTATTATGGGAAAATATACCACGTATAAATATTAAAAATTATATATACATATTATTTCATAGAGAAAGGCCAGTATAAACATTTACAATTTCCACTCTTTTTCAGTTAACAGTTTAACCACATTAAGTACGTTCACATTGTTTAGCAACCATCACCGCCATCGTCTCCGGAACAGTTTTATCTTTCAAAATGGAAATTCCACCCATTCACCAAGCTCTCCATTCCTCTCTCTCGCCCGCCCCTGGAGGCCACTTTTCTAGTTTGCAAATCTATGAGTTTAGCTACTCTAGACACTTGATAGATAAGTGGAATCATACCGTGTTTAATTTTTTTGTTTTGCAGACATAGTCTTTCTCTGTCGCCCAGGCTGGAGTGCAGTGGCGTGGTCTGGGCTGACTGCAACCTCCACATCGGGGATTCAAGCGATTCTTGTGTCTCAGTCTCCCGAGTAGCTGGGATTACAGGTGTGCGCCACCACGCCCAGCTAATTTTTGTATTTTTAATAGAGATGAGCTTTCACCATATTGGCCAGGCGGGTCTCGAACTCCTGACCTTAAATGATCTGCCTGGCTCAGCCTCCCTAAGTGCTGGGGTTACAGGTGTGAGCCACTGAGCCTGGGCCTGTTTATCCTTTTGGGATTTATTTATTTCACTGACGATAATGTCTTCAAGGTTCATCCATGTTGCGGCCTGCGTCAGAAGTGCCTGTCTGTTTTTTGTTGTTGTTGTTTTTTGTTTGTTCGTTTGACTTTGTTTTGTTTTGTGTTTCCATGGAGTCTCACTCTGTCTCACAGTCTGGAGTGCAGTGGCACAATCTGGGCCCACTGCAACCTCCGCTTCCTGGGTTCCAGCGATTCTTGTGCCTCAGCCTCCCGAGTAGCTGGGACTATAGGCACAGGCCACCATGCTCACCTAATTTTTTGCATTTTCAGTAGAGACAGGGTTTCACCAAGATGGCCAGGCTGGTCTTGAATTCCTGACCTCAGTTGATCTGCCCACCTCGGTCCTCCAAGACGCTGCGATTACAGGTGTGAGCCACTGCACCGGCCAGAAGTGCCTGCCTTTTGAAGGCTGAATAGTCTTCCATTGTATGAAGGAACTGCAGTGTGCTTTTTCATTCATCTGTCCACGAACCCTTGGGTTGCTTCCACATTTTGGCTCTTGTGAATAATGCTGCTATGAATATGGGTGTACACAAATCTGTCTTCCACTCCTGGCTTCTAATTCTTTTTGGTAGGTACCCACAAATGCAACTGCGGGAACATCTGATCATACTGTTTCTAATTTTTCCAGTAGACGCCATACTATTTTCCCCGTTCCTTCACGGTTTCACATTCCCTCTGATCATATGCGAGCATTCCTATTTCCCTCTAGTCTCACCAATGCCTGTTTGTTTATCATATCCACCCTAATGTGTGGTGTCACATTCTTGGTTTGATTTGCGCTTCCCTATGATGAGTGACTTTGAACATCATTTTAGATGCTTATTGGCCATTGCAATATCTTCTTTAGGGACACGTCTACTCAAGTCTTCTGACCATTGTTGATGGGATGCTTTGGGTTTCTTGTTGTTTAGTTCTAGCTGTTCTTTATATACGATGGCTATCAGCCTCTTTTCAGATATATGCTTAGCAAATATTTTTCCTAATCCATGGGTTAACTTTTCACTCAGTTCGCAGTGTTTTTTCCTGCACAAAAGTGTCTGTCATTTAGATGTAATCCAAGGAATCTAATTTTCTTTTGTTGCCTATGCTTTTGGTGTCATATCCCAGAGAACATTGCCCAATCTGATGTCATGAAAGAGTGGCCAATGTTTTCTTTTAGGCGTATGATACGTTTAGTGCTTGGGGTGAGGTCTTTGATCCAGTTTGTGTTAATTTTTGCACCTGGTGTGACATAGGGTCCACCTTCATTCTTTTGCATGTGGAAATCAAGTTTCTCCAACACCATTTCTTGAAAAGGCTGCTTTTCCACCAATGAGCTTTCTTAGCACTCATGTGAAAAATCATTTGAACCTATAGGTGAGAAGTTATTTCTGGGCTCCAAAGCAAACAAACAACAGACAACAGATAAGGATACAGCATGGGCCGGGCGCGGTCGCTCAGGCTTGTAATCCTAGCACTTTGGGAGGCCGAAGCGGACGGATGATTTCAAGAGCAGAAAGAGAAGAGCTTAAAAACCAGCATAATGAGAAAGTTAGGAAGCTTCTTACCAAAGCATCTGGAAATATGCAAGCAATTCTTGTGAACTAAAGTTTTCATACTGTACTATCAAACACTAGCACTCACTTATTCCATCTTTCCGTATTTTGGGACCCAATTATCCACTTGTCTTCATTCCCTATCCCACCCCTTTTCTTCCTAGCGTCTGCTAAACACCTTTATACTCTCCACCTTCCTGAGATTCCTTTTGTGTGTAGGTGTGTCTGGGATAGAGTCTCTTTTTGTTGCCCAGGTTGGAGTATACAGGCACAATACGGGCTCACTGCAAGCTCTGCCTCCCGAGTTCAAGCGCTTCTTGGGCCTCAGCCCTCCGAGTAGCTGAGACTACAGACACAAATCACCATGCCTGGCTCATTGTTTGTGATTTCCGTAGAGACGGAGTTTCACCATGTTGGCCAGGTGGGTTTTGAACTCCTGGACTCAAGTGATCCGTGCGACTCGGCCTCCCAGACAGCTGGGATTACAGGCCTGAGCCACCACACCTGGCCAAGGTTTCCTTTTTTCTTCCTACATAGAAGTGAGGACGTGAAATATTTGTCATTCTGTGCCTGGCTTATTTCATTTAATATAAAGACCTGGAATCTCATCCATTTTGTCTGCAGCGGAGAGAAGTTTCTTCCTTTTTAGGCTGACTAATACTTCATTGGGTGTATATACCACAGTTTCTTCATTGAAACTAATTTCTGAAGAGCAAATATTTTAAAAATGTCTCGGAATGTGAAACTTCAGGGATACTGTGCCCATTTTATTCTTTTCTATTTCCCATCTTATGTATACGCAAGTGTATAACAAAGCAGCAATCAATGTGTGTATAAATCTATAACTTCAACAAATGTAAAATGTAAATGCTAAGTGGTGGCTGGGCGCGGTCGCTCATGCCTGTAATCTCAGCACTTTGGGAGGCGGAAGCGGGCGGATCACCTGATGTCGGGAGTTCCAGACCAGCCTGACCAAAATGGAGAAACACTGTCTCTATTAACAATACAAAAAAAAAAAAAAATTAGCCAGGCATGGTAGCGCATGCCTGTAATCCCAGCTACTTGGAAGGCTGAGACAGGAGAATTGCTTGAATACGGGAGGCAGAGGTTGCAGTGAGCCGAGACCGTGCCATTGAACTCCAGCCTGGGCAACAAGAGTGAAACTCTGACTCAAAAAAAAAAGGAAAAGAAACAAATAGAAAACGCGAAATGGTAAGAAAAAACAACATAATAAACATTTCTATGGTGTTGATGGACAAAGCATTTGAAGATAATATTTGAAGAAATCATATTACAATTAATTTCTGTTCTTACTCATTGGAGCTTGATGCCTCTAAAAACTTCGTCATTGGAAACACCTCTGGTGCTTTAAAAGAAAAAAAAATCCACACACTCACACAGGTGCAAGGAAATCAGAATCTATCGTATTGAGACCCAGGTCTCATCATTTCTAAGCTCCCCAGGTGATTTAACTCAAAGCCAAGATTGAGGAACGGCGACATGGATTTCTACACAGAACCTGCCTATATAGATTCTCTAGAAGCAGTTTATAAAGAAATTCCACATGAACTGTGGAAGAGGATATGAATTTAATGTACAGTATGTCCTCACTTAACATCTTTGAAAGTCTCTTGGAAACTTCACCCTGAAGCAAAATTATGTACAGTGAAGCCACTTATTTTTCTTCAACAGTACAACTACACAACTTTGAACAACCAATGCTGTTGGAGGACACCCTGTACATTGTTTCCATAAAGTCAGTGTTCAGGGAATTCCAAAATGAAGTGAGGGCTTCCTGTATATAAAAAGATGGTTGTGATTCCACCTGGATGACAGTGTTATTGCGCAGAAACTAAAGGAGGCTGCCTAGATATAGAGGATTCAGTCATGAGGTTTCTGCTCAACAAAGGATCCCAGAATCCTCACCCATTGCAGTTAAAGACATAACAAAGAAAGCAATATTCGCATAGGAAATGCGGAAAGGAATAAAAGCCATCAAGCCACAAAAATAATGTGACTAAGGGGCAGGATTTGCAGATGCAGAGATTTAATGTGGTTGCCCTTTCTCACGCACACAAGAAAAAGGATGGAACAGATCATGAGATTCGACTGTTCTGCTGCGCAGCCTCCGCAGGGCACTTTGTATGTCCCTGTTTCTCAGGCTGTAGATGAAAAGGTTCAGCATGGGGGTGACCACAGCCTACATCACTGATGCCACCACACCATTCCTGGGGGGTGGTGACACGGCTGAAGCCAGGTACATGCCAATGACTGTTCCATAAAACCAGCAAACAACTCCTAGGTGAGAGCCATAGGTGGAGAAGGCTTTATACTTCCCATCTGACGATGACATCCTTAGAATGGAGGGGACAATTTTATAGTAAGACAAAAGGATCCCTGAAATGGGAAGAAAACCAAACATAGTACTATCGAAATATATGAATATGCTATTGATGACGCTGTCAGAACAGGCAAGGTTGAGAAGCTGAGAGGGGTCACAGAAAAAATTAGAGATTTCCACATTCTTGATGATGGTGAATTGTAACACAATCCAACTGTGCAGCTGGGAATCCAACAGGTTAAGGAAAAAGGACACCAAAACGAAGAAGACACAGAGGTGAGGATTCACTATGACTGGGTAGTGCAGAGGGCGACAGATGGCTACAAAGCAGCCATAGGCCATCACAGTCAGGAGCATGCCTTCTATACATGCAAAAAGGACCAAGAAAGACATCTGTGTCAGGCAGCCCACATGAGAGATGACTCTGCTATGCGACTGCATATCCAGAATCACCTTGGGAACCGTGGCCGAGGTGAGACCGATGTCAGCCCAGCACAGGTTGGAGAGGAAGAAGTACATGGGGGTGTGGAGGGGGGAGTCAGAGCTGACAGCCAGGATGCTGAGCAGGTTCCTCAGCACCGTGACCAGATTCAGGGACAGGGACAGGGACAGCAAAGCGAGGACCGACTGCAGTTCTGGATCCTCTGAGAGTCCCAGGAGGAGGAATTCTCAGACACCTGTGAGATTCCGTGGCTCTGTGTGTCTTGGACACCTTGAGAAGGAAAGAGGATTGGAAAAATAAAAGATAAAAACCAGCCCTTAATGCTGGATGCAAGCAATTTACAAGGAACATCTTCACACTTCCGGACCATACATCGCCAGCAATGTTTCTCAGTTGTGACAATTCCAAAAATCTCAGAATTATTACGTGATTTGCTTTTTTGCTATACAAGGCTTTCTGTACATACTACTTTAGAGAAAATCCACGGAAGAATATTAGAAGACCAAAACGTTATATATAACAAATCCCTGATCTCAGTAAAATACAGCCTACTCTTTTCAGGAAAAATATAATGCAATGAAAATGTCCTTCTCTCTTTTAGAAAAAGATCTCAGTCTAATTGAAAGAAATTAAGAAGCCGTGAAATACACTCTACTTTATTCTGACACCGTGCTACAACTTCCATTGATGTAGAATATGTAAAAGGACGAAGCAAGAGCTAAGACCCCATTATCTGAAAACGAAATCGAACCTTAGAGTTCTCAATCGGAAGACCTTTTCACATGCCTGTTACTTTTCATATTTATTATCATCCTTTGGTTTTCTGACATCATTTCTTCATAAAAGTACATGCACACTCAAAAATGGGAGCTGTGTTTCCAAATGAATTGAATATATAACTCTTGGCCCAGCACCATGGCCCACACCTGTAATCCCAGCACTTTGGGCAGCCGAGGCTGATGGATCACCTGAGGTCAGGAGTTCCAGACCAGCCTGGCCAACGTGGTGAAACCCCGTCTCCAGTGAAAATAAAAAAAATTTAGCTGGGCGTGGTGGCGGGTAACCCTAGCTATGACAGCAGAGTGGGTGTACACCCTGATATTATTTGTAATATCCTAGAAAGATATTGCTCCTAATATCACGGTGTCTCTACACCCTGTGATATTAATTGTAATATCCTACAGAGATATTACTCCTAATAATACAGTGGGTGTACAACCTGTGATATTATTCATAATACATTACAGAGATACGACTCCTGATATCACAGTGAGTGTACACCATGTATGTACACCCTGTGATCTTATTTGTAACAACTTAGAAAAATATTACAGCTAATATCAAAGTGGGTGTACACCCTGCGATGTTATTTGTATCTACTAGGTAGATATTACTCCTAATATCACAGGGAGTGTACACCATGTGTGTACAGACTGTGAAATTATTCGTAATACCCTAGGAAGATATTACTCCTCATATCACAGTGGGTGTACACTGTGAGTGATATTTTTTTCTAATATCCAGCGGGGAAGAGGATGATATTGCTTCCAATATCACAGAAGATGTACACCCCCCTGCGATATTGTTCTTAATATACAGGGAAGGAGAGGATTACATTATTCGCAATATCACTGGGGGTGTACCACCTCCCGCCGGGATATTGTTCTTAATATCCGGAGGTGGAGAGAATGATGTTACTCCCAATATCACAGGGGGTGTACACCACCCCTGTTTGTAAACACCCCTTGTGATATTGTTCCAAATGGCCTGTGAAAGAGTACACAGGACTCCCATTATAGCGGGGGGTGTTCAGCCCTGATGATATTGTTTTCTAACATCCAGGGAAGGAGAGTATGCTATTACTTCCAATATCGCATGGGTTGTACACCCTTTTGTGTTTTTGTGCCCAATATCCAGGAAAATAGAGGATGATATTACTCCCAATATCGAAGTAATTGTACAGCACCCCTGTGATATTCTTCCTAATATCCAGAAAGGAAAAGAATGATATTACTCCCAACAGCGTAGGAAACGTATACCCGCGCTGTGGTATCTTTCCCAGTATCCAGGTGGGGACAGGATCATATTACTTCCAATGTCGCAGGGTGTGTACAGCCCCTCTGTGATCTCGTTGCTAACATCCAGGTTTGGGGAGGACGACATTACTCCCAATATCGCAGGGGGTGTACAACCCCCGTGACCTTGTTAGTCATTTCCTGGGTGGAGAGGATGATCTTACTCCCAATATCGCAGGGGGTGTACACCCCCCTGTGAAAATCTTCCTATATTCAGAGGGAGAGAGGATGATATTACTCCCACTACCGCAGGGGGTTTCCACAGCCCTGTGATACTCTTCCTAATATCCACAGGGAGAGAGGATGATATGACTCCCAATATCGCAGGAGGTGTACACAACCCTGTGATATTGTTCCTAACATCCAGAGCGAAAGAGGATGCTATGACTCTCAATATCGCAGAGGGTGTACACCCCTCCTGTAATATTGTTCTGAGTACCCTGGGAGGGAGAGGACAAGGTTACATTGAATATCGCAGGGAATGTGTACCCTCTCCCTCTGATACCCTTCCTAATGTCCAGGGGAAGAGAGGAAAATTTCATTCCCAATATCACAGAGGCAGTACACCCCACCTGTGATGTTGTTCCCAATATGCAAGGGGGGAGAGGATGATACTACTCTCAATATCGCAGGGCTGTTCACATCCCCAGTGACATTTTTTCCTAATATCTAGGGGAGAGAAAATTCTATGACAGCAAAGGTCACAGGGTATGTACATCCCTTCCTGATATTGTTCCTAATATCTAGGGGGGAAGAGGATAATATCAAATATGAAAGGGGGTGTACATCCCCCCCTACGATATTGTTCTTAATAATCGTGAGGGGAGACGATGATATTACTCCAAATATCGCAGGGGTTGTTCACAAACCCCTGTGATATTGTTTCTCATATCCAGAGGGGGAGAAACGCATATTACTTCCAATATTGCAGGTGGTGTAAACCCCACCTGAAATATGGCACCGAATATCCAAAGAGGGAGAGGATGGTATTCACACCAATATCGAAGTGTGTGTACACGCCCTTTGTGATATGGTTTTTAATATCCAGGGGGCGGGAGGATGATATTAGTCCCAACATCCCAGAGGGTGTACACTACCCCTGTGATATTGTCCCTAACTTGCAGAGGGGAGAGGATGATATCACTCCCAATATCTCAGAAGTTCTACATCCCCCGTGACGTTGTACTTCATATCCAGGGAGGAGCAGGATGACATTCCATTGAATTTCGCGACAGGCCTACACCCACCGTGTGATATTGTTCCTAATATGCATGAAGGGAGAGGATGATATTACTCCCAATAAAGCAGTGGGTGTACATCACCCCTGTGTTATTGTCTCTAATATCCGGGGCCAGGGGAGGAGGGGAGAGGATAATATTCCCTCAAATTTAGCAGGTGGTTTGACGCTCCTTGTGGTGTTCTTTTAAATATCCAGAGGGGAAGACAATAGTACTATTTTTGATAGTCCGATTCATCCGCTCCACCTTTCCGGAACTCTGAGGCCGGGAGGTGCCATGCAGTTTCCGTGTGATCCCCAATACCTTTGCCGTCTTCTGTACCAAGGCAGCCAAAAACGCAGGCCCATTTTCTGAGCCGATCTGTAAGGGCGGTTGAAATCTAGGAATCACATCTCGAAGAAGCACAGGGGTTACTTCACGAGCTTTCTCAGTTCGTGTTGGATAGGCCTCCACCCACCCAGAGTAGGTACGCCCAAGAACTAGTACACACTTGTTACCTCCACACTTTGGCATCTCTGTGAAGTCCACCTGGAGACCTTCAAAGGGGGCTGCTCCATAAGCTTCTATGGCGGGCGGAACGGCTGGACCTTGCCTCGCATCATGCTGTCGCAGGTAACACACCGCTGCCTCACCGTTTTGGCAAGGGCTGACAAAGGCGAGATGTAGAAATACCGGCCTAACAACTTTTCCAGTGACTCCTGACCTCGATGGGTGGTTTCTTGCACAGCCAGTACAACTGCGACTCCTAGCAGCTGTGGCACAGCTACTCTCCCATCTGGTAACCGAATCCATCCTTCCTCCATCACTTGTCCTTCCCACTACCTGGAGAAAGTCCTTTTCTTCTTTAGAAGAAGTAGGTCCAAGATCAGGTGCTTGAGGGAGCACTGATGCCCAGAAGGGTGCAGATGCTGCTTTTCGAGCCTCTGAGTCAGCGCGGGAATTCCACAAACCCAGCAAGGTGGAAGCTCGCTGGTGTCTTCTGCAATGCACAACTGCCACCTTGTGGGGTTTCCATACTGCTCCTAATCATTGCAAGATTTCTTCTTGATATTTTCTGTCTTTTCCCCCAGAGTTCAATAGGCCCTTTTCTTTCTATCACGCTCCATGCACTTGAAGGGTTAAAAAGACATACCGAGAATCAGTGTAAATGTTGACAGTCTCACCCTCACTGAGTTCTAAGGCCCGAATGAAAGCAATGAGTTCAGCTTACTGGACTGAAGTGGCCTGGGGCAACGATCTGGCTTCAACAACAGTGTCCAGAGTTATCACTGCATACCCTGCACCTCTCTCTCCTTGGGGGTTGAAGAAGCTGCTCCCATCCACGTATAGTTCCCAGTCTACTGATGCCCAAGGCTGGTCCCGGAGGTCAGGTCTGCTAGAGTCAACAGAGTCCAACACTTCTATACAATCATGATCAACAGGGCTCTCTGATACTGGGAGCAAGGTGGCAGGGTGTAGGGTGTTACAAACTTCAATAGTTATGAGGGGATTTTCGCAGAGCAGTTTGGTACTTGGTGAGTCTGACATTCGTTAGCCAATGATGTCCTTTAGTATTCATTAAAGTCACCACAGCACGGGAGGCCTTTATGTTCAGGTTTTGCCCAAGAGTCAGCTTATTTGCTTCTTATACTGGCAGGGCAGTTGGTGCCAAGGCCCTCCAACAGGGGGGCC
This sequence comes from Homo sapiens, assembly GCF_000001405.40. Classification (NCBI taxonomy): domain Eukaryota; kingdom Metazoa; phylum Chordata; class Mammalia; order Primates; family Hominidae; genus Homo; species Homo sapiens. The sequence goes on from NW_018654717.1 coordinate 5,885,195, forward strand.
ATCGTTTAGAAACCCCGTCTAGTTGTTGAGAGAGGTAGGCCACCGGCCTCGGCCAGGGCCCCACAGTTTGGGTTGAAATTCCAGCTGCCATCTTTTCTCTCTCTGATGCATACAATAGAAAAGGCTTTGTCAGATTGGGTAGCCCCAGGGCTGGCGCTGCCAGAAGTTTTTCCTTTAACTCATGAAAGACTTGCTGTTGTTGGGATCCACATTCCAAAGGTTACCTGTCCCCACCCCCTTTGTGACCTCATACAAAGGCTTGGCTAATAGTGCAAAGTTTGGGACCCACAGTCTACAAAACCCCACGGCTCCTAAGAATTCTCTCACCTGCCTTCTGCTCTTAGGCTTTGCTAGATGGCAAATGACCTGCTTTCTTTCTGATCCCGGGCTGCGTTCCGACCCCTGTCAGATAGTAAATCCCAAGTAACGTACCTGCTGTCAGCAGTTCTGAGCTTTCTTCTTGGACACCTTCTACCCACAGTCCTCCAGGTGCCGGTGTAGGGCATCTTTTCCCTTGGCACACCCGACTGCCGTGGGGTGTCCCAGCAGAAGGTCATCAACCTGCTGGAGCAACACGCAGCCTAGGTCTCTGCTGGGAAACTTCTGGAGGTCTGGAGCCCATGCCTCCCCGAAGATGGTACCCTTGGGGAAGCCCGGTCCAAGTGTACTGAGTAGTGACACCTGACTCTGGATCTTCCCACTGAAAGGCAAACAACTTCTGCCTCTCAGGGGCTAATCTGATAGGAAAGAAACCGTCTTTCAAGTCCAAGCAGGTGAACCAGCTGTCCTCACCTGGCGGCAACCCCAACAATGTGGACGGGTTAGGTACTGTTGGATGTAAAGTCAGTGTAGCTTAATGAAGCAAGCGCAAATCCTGTACCGGCCGGTAGTCCTTGGTCCATGGCTTGGGAACAGGCAGGAGGGGAGTGTTCCATGGAGACTGACAAGGAACAATCATTCCAAAAGTTCTTAGGTGCTTGAGATGGACCTGGATACCTTGAAGGGCTTCTCTGGGGACCGCCTCCTGTTTTTGCCTTACTGGCAGGGCCCCAGTCTTAACTGGCAAATCCCGGAGGGTTGTCTTCTGCCCGTACTCTTGGCCACCGCTTAGCCAGAGCTGGTCTTCTCTCTTGGCCCGGCTCAGTTCAGAAAAGTCTCCATTCCTCCTCTCGGGGGACCGTAAGGGTCATAATGACTCCCGTTCTGGGTAACCTTAGCAACGAAGATCCGTGCTCTGTCAAACAGATAGTGGTTCTCAGCTTGCTGAGCAAGTTCCTTAACGAAAAGGTCAAGGGACAGTCAGGCATGTACCAAAACTGATGAATGACTTTATGTCCTCCTACAGTACAAGTCCGAGGCAAGCAGAAAGCTTGCTTTGCTGAAACCCCCTTGGCTCCGATGACGTCAGTAGTCTTTTTGGATAAGGGGGTGACCGGGGCGGTTACTACCGAATGTTCAGCACCGCTATCTACAAGAAAGTCAATGTCTCCACCCCCGACTCTCATTCTGACCAGAGGCTCAATGGGGACGCTTGAGCCCGGTCTCCCTCAGTCCAAGAACCCTTCTGCCAGGTTGAGCAGGGCCTATTCGTCCTTGTCCAGGGCCTCCTGCTCTGAGTCACCTTGTTTTCTTTTGAGCTCAGGGCATTTGTTCTTCCACTGTCCTATTTCTTTACAATCAGCACACTGGTTACGCTGCAAACTCTGACAGCCAAGCTGAGTTTCTTTCCCAGGGCCCTCCTTCCCTTGCCTCTTTGTTGGGGGGCCCCTCTGATTGATGCAGCTGACAAACAGGTCGGCGTGTCGCCGGGCCTGACTTCCATTCTCTTTGTCGTTTTCCTTACGGCTTACTGCATCCCTGTTTACAAACACCTGGCCAGCTATTTCTAGTAATTGGGATGGATTCATCCCTGCAAGCCCAGCCTGTTTCTGCAGTTTTCTTCTCATGTCTTCTGCGCTTTGACGGACTAAAGCCATGGGAATCATGCGCTGATTTTCAGGGCTATCGGGATCAAAGGGAGTATACATACGATAGGCCTCCCACAGTCTCTCGTAGAATTGTGCTGGACTTTCTTCTTCTCCCTGAATGACCTCAGAGAGCTTGTTAACATTTGTGGCCTTCTGAGCTCCCCTCATTAATCCTTCCAAGAGAGCTTCCCTGTCTCGGTTTAGCCTTGGCATATCCTCTCTTCCATGTGGGTCCAACTGGGGGTCGGTTCCTGGCAACTGGGTCCTTCCATAGTCTTGGGGGTTTTGATACTCAGTTGGTGCATGTTCCTCTAGCCACTTAGTTGCTGCTTGGAGGACTCTCCGCCTTTCTTCGCAGTTAAAGAGGAACATGAGCAACTGGTGCCAATCAGCCCAGGTGTGGTTGTGGGTCTGGATAACAGCTTGGAGCAAATCAATTAGGGATTGTGGCTTTTCGGTATAGGGCGGTGTATTGTTTTTCCAGTTGAGAAGGTCGACGCAGGTGAAGGGCTGGTACCCAAAAACACGCCTCTCCACCACGTGACCATCCTCATCTATCCCAGTCTACCCCTGCTCTATCAGGGGCATTTGTGTCCCGGTTTAGGGTCATAAACGAGCTGCCGAGGGAGGGGTGCAATGGCGCAATGCGACTTGCCGCAATTAATAATCTCAATTATTAATTCACACTAATATTTATCAATATTAATAACCCATAATATAATTTTTAAAATCAATACTGATAATAATGATAATTAATATTAAATATTTATGCTAACGATAATAATACATGATTAATATTAATGATTAATGAGGCCTGATATTAATAACTGATATTGATCTTATTCATTAGAAAACAGTAATATTAGCTCCTAATAATTCTTGTTAATATTAATAATCTGAAAACTATTTATTAGCAATTATTTCTTAATATTAATATTAATATTGGTCATTCATATTGATGTTAATAATAAATGAGGTATAATTCATGCTCATATTACACCCTAATACCTCAGTGGGTGTACACCCACCTGTGATATTGCTCCTAAAGTCCAGTGAGGGAGAGAGTATGATATTAAGTTCAATATCGCAGTAGGTGTACACACAGCCGGTGATATTGATCTGAATATAATCTCCAGGGGGTGGAGTATGACGTTATTCCCAATATAGCACTGGGTGTGCATCCACCCGTTGATTTTGCTCCTAATATTCACCGAAGAAGAGAATGCTGTTACTCCCAAAATAGCAGGAAGTGTACACCCCCGAGTGAGATGGTCCCTAAAAATATTCCAAGGCCGAGGGGGTGATGTGACGACATATACGGCAGAAAGGGGACACCCCCAAGGATATTGTTGGCATGATCCTGGAGGGAAGAGGATAATATTACTTTCAATATCAGAAAAGGCGGACATGCCCCCAATGATATTGTTTCTAATTGCAACGTGGGACAGGAGGACATGACACCCGATATCCCAGGGAGTAGAAACAGCCCTGAGATACTGTACCTAATATTCAGGGAGGAAGAGGATGATATGACTCCCAATACAGACGAGTGTACAACTTCTGCACATCCAGGGTGTACACAGGTCTGTGAAACAGTTCATAATCTGCAGAAGGGGAGATGATATTACTCACAATATGATAAACAGGCTGTGAGACCACCGCGGATCCTAAGAGCCAGGCGGGCAAGAGGGGCTGGCTCTTACTCCCCGCATCGCGGGAGGCGCCTCACCCCCCTGCCATGTGGATCGTCATATCCAGGAGGCGAGAGCGGGGTGATATGGCTCCCCGCATCGTGGGGTGCTCCTCACCCCCCTGCGATGTGCTTCGTCATATCTAAGGCGGGTCGTGGGGAGTGATATTGCTCCCCGATTTTTCCTTGGATTCTTTCTGTACTGCCACCCTCGTTTCACGCCCTGGCCCATTATCTTCCATATTCTCGCAAGATGCGGCTGCTAAAGTCGCAGGGGCTATACACCCTTCAATATTTTTCGTAATTTTGTTGGGGATTGTTAAACCTGATATCACAGGACTCTTTACACTGTGATGTTATTCCCAATATCCTAGCGGGTCATTAATAATAATGTCACAATGTGTGTACACTTTGTGATGTTACTCTTGTTCTCCTAAGCGGAGGTTACTTTTATTGTCACACGGGGTATGTTCCCTTTGATAGTATTCATAACATCCTAGAGGGATGTCACTTCTTATGTCACAGGGTTTGTACACCTTGTCAAATTACCCGTATTATCCTCATAAGATGTCACTGCTCATATCACAGAGGGTGTACACTCTGTGATCTTGTCGTCGTATTCTAGGGACATGTTACTTTTAATGTCACAGAGGGTGCGCCCCTTCTGAAATTATTCGTTATAATTTTGTGGGATGTTACCTCTAATGTCACACGGCGTGTACACACAGTGATGTTTCGTGCAATATGCTATGGAAATGTTACTCGTAATTCACAGGTCCTGTACACCCTTTAATATTCTTCGTAATCTTCTAGGAAAACGTTACTTTTAATGTCACAGGGCCTGTAGACCCTGTCATAATATTTGTAATATCCTAGCGAGAGTTCACTACTAGTTTCACAATGCGTGTACACCCTTTGATATTATTCGTAATGTCCTGAAGAGATGTTACTACTGATGTCCCAATGCAGGTACGTTCTCTGATTTTATTCGTTATATCCTCGGGGGATGTTACTTCTAATGTCACACGGGGTGTGCTCCCTGTGTTCTATTTCGTAATATCCTGGGGCAATTTTACTTTTAATGACACAGGGGGTGTACACATTGTGATTTTATTTGTGGTAATCTAGAAAGATGTTACTCCTAATGTCAGAGGGCTGTACACCCTGTGATATTATTCATAATTTCCCAGGGGTCTATACTCCTATTGGCACCGTCGATAACACCCTGTGACATTATCCGTTAACATTCTAGCGAGATGATACTCCTCATGTCACAGGGGGTGTACACCCCGTGTTATTATTCTTACTATTCTTGGGGGATGTTACTCCAAATGTCACAGGGATGTACACCCTGTGATATTATTCACAGTGTACCAGAGGGATATTAGCACTAATGCCATGATGCGTGTCCACCTTGTGATGTTATTTGTCATATCCTAACGTCACAAGGGGTGTGTTCCGTGTGATATTCTTCCTAACATCCTAGACGGATATTACCCCTAACGTCACAGGGTGTGTACACCTCGTCACTTCATTCACAATATCCTAAAACTACGTTATTCCTCAGCTCACAGGGGGTGTTCACCCTGTGATATTTTTCCTCATAGTTTTGTAGGGTGTTACTCCTAAAGTCACACGGGGTGTACACAGAGTCACACAGTGATATGAGTTGTAATAGTCTATAGACATGTTACTCGTAAATCACAGGGGCTGTACCTGCTGTGATATTATTCATAATATTTTATGGGAATGCTGCTACTATTGTAACGGGGGTGTACGCCCTGTGATATGACTCGTCATATCCCAGAGGGATGTTACTACTGATGTCACAATGCCTGTACAGCCTGTGATATTATTTGTCATATCCTAAAGAGATGTTACTACTAAAGTCACAATGCATGTACACCCTCTGATATTATTCGTTATATCCTCGGGGGATGTTACTCCTAATGTCACACGGGGTGTACTCCCTGTCATATTATTCGTAATATACAAGGGGGATGTTATTTTTAATGTCACCGGGGGTGACATTACGCATTAAAAATGTGTATTCCACGCCTGTGACACTATTCCTAATAACCTAGGGGCATACTCTTCTGAATGTCACATGGGGTGTACACCATGTGTGTACACCTGCTGTGATATTATTTGTAATATCCTAGGGGAATGTTACTCCTGATGACACAGGCAGTGTACACCATGTGTGTACGCCTCCTGTGTCATTATTCACAATATCCTAGGGGGATGTTTCTTTTAATGTCACAAAGAGTGTACAAAACGTCATAGGAGGTGTACACATTGTGACGTTATCTGTAATACCCTAGAAAGATGTTACTCCTAATATGTCACAGGGGCGTACACAGTTTGATGTTACTTATAATCTCATAGAGAGATATTACTTCAAATGTCACAGTGGATGTACACACACAGTGTATACCCTGTGATAGTATTCATAATATCCTAGGGAGATACAACTCCTGATGTCACAGTGCGTGTACCTCGTGTGTGTACACCCTTGATATTAGTCGTAATATCCAGGGTAAATATTACTCCTCATATCACACAGAGTGCACACTCTGTGATATTTTTCATCATACTTTAGGGAGATATTCCTTCTAATATCACAGTGAGTGTACCCCATATGTGTATACTCTATGACAGTATGTTCTATATCCTAGGGAGGTATTACTCCTAATATCACAGTGGGTGTTCACCCTGTGATATCATTCTTATTTGACCTTGCTGCCTTTTTTAACCCACACTACAAAAGGCATGGAACAGATAAGGAGATATTGACATTAGACTGTGCTGCCGTGCGGCCGCCGCAGGACGCTTTTAATATCCCTGTTTCTCAGGCTGTAGATGAAGGGGTTCGGCATGGGGGTGACCACCGTGTACATCACTGAGGCCACTGCAGCCTTTCCCGGGGAAGATGACACATCTGAACTGAGGTACCCCCAAAAGCCTGTTCCATAAAATCAGCAAACAACTGACAGGTGAGACCCACAGGTGGAGCAGGCCTTATACTTCCCACCTGATGATGAAACCCTCAGAATGGAGGAAACAATCTTATAGTAAGAGAAAAGGGTCCCCGAGATGGGAAGAAAACCAAATATGGCAGCAGGGGAATACATGATTATGTTATTGGTGAAGGTGTCGCAACATGCAAGATGGGGGAGTTGAGAAGGTTCCCAGAAGAAATTAGGAATTTCCACATCCTTGAAGCAGGTCATTTGTAAGGCAATCAAGTTGTGCACCTGGGCGTCTAAAAGAGACTGAGAAAAAAAAGACAACAAAACTAGAAAGCCACAGAAACACGGGTTCATGATGGCTGAATGATATAGAGGGTGACAGATGGCTACAAACGGGTCATAGGGATCACACTCAGGAGCATGTCTCTCTTCCATGCCTCCAAAAATGGCAAAGAGAGACATGGGAGTCAGGCAGCCTGCCTAGGAGATGAGTCTGCTGTGAGATTAGATGTCCACAATCATCTTGGGGACCATGCTGGAGGTGAAACCGATGTCAGGCAAGGACAGGTTGGAGAGGAAGAGGTACATGGGGGTGTGGAGGTGGGAGTCAGGGCTGACGGCCAGGATGATGAGCAGGTTCCCCAGCACCGTGACCAGGCACATGGACAGGAACAGTCCAGCGAGGACAGGCTGCTGTTCTGGATCCTCTGAGCTTCTAGGAGGAGGAATAAAGAGACATCTGTTAAATTCTGCGGGTATGTAGAGATTGGACACCTTTTGCCTAGGAAAGAGGGTTCAAAAATCGGAAACAAGTAAACCAACACCCAGCATCGTGTCTGCACTTTGGATAGAAGCAATTCACAAGTCATGTTTTCAGATTTCAGAACAATCCACACTCAGCAATATTTTGCAGTTCTGACAAACTTAATTGTCTTCTAATGCTTTCATCATTGATTTCTGTGTTATTCACTTCTTGCTGTACACACCTGTCTTAGAGACACTAGATTCAAGAATGTTCCAAGAACCAGATCATAATATAGAACAAATTCACAATTACTAGAAAATACAGCCTATCTTTTCCGAAGAAAACTCTGTAATGGAACCATTTTCCTCACTTTAAGAAAAAGGTTATTCTAATTAAAGGAAATTAAGATCTCATTTTCTTTGATTCGAATACACTGATACAAATTCCCTTGATGTAGAAGATTTATAAGCACTGTATAACAGCTGAGACGATGCCATCTGGAAATGAAATGAAAGTTGATAGTTCATAAGCAGAAAATAGTTCCACAGGCCAGATAGGTCCTAGTGATTTTGTCATTATGTTTTCTGACTTTTCTCCTTCCAGAGAGTAATTGCTTCCTCAAATCGGTGGGTCTTGTTTTAAAATTCATGGAAGCTCTAACTCCTGTCCTTACGTTAGGTGGACTTAGAGTTTTCATCAGAACATTTGGCTGGACGCGGTGGCTGATGCCTGTAATGCCAGCACTTTGGGAGGCCGAGGAGGGCGGATCACGAGGTCAGGAGATCAAGACAATCCTGGCCAACGTGGTGAAACCCCGCCTCTACTAAAAATACAAAAACTTTGCCCGGTATGGCAGCGCGTGCCTGTAGTCCCAGCTACTCGGGAGGCTGAGGCAGGAGAATGGCTTGAACCTGGGAGGCAGAGGCTACAGTGAGCCGAGATCACACCACTACACTCCAGCCGGGGCAACAAGAGCAAAATTCCATCTCAAAAAACAAAAAATAAAAAACACGCACTCTGTCACACTGATGTCACACTGATGACAGCCAATTTTTGTGAACCAAGGAAGTGTCAATTCAATAATTCACATAGATTTTTACTTTTGCTGTCTCCTGTATGCCAAGCAAGATATCGGCTCTGGGGAATCAGAAACAAAAGAGACTCACTTGTTCCTCTCACAGTACCCAGTACTTACTGAGAGAAGGACAAAAAAAATGTCCTGCGTGGAATACAGGGAAACCAGAACTTCAGGTCAGGGGATATTTCTGTTGGACTGTGTGGAGTTTAAGCCTAAAATATTAACGAAGGGCACCGACGATCTGTTTAATCATCGCTCAGTTCTATTGGATCAACTAGAAATCAACTCAGATGAGAGTGCTGAGTCCCAGAGGATGGACATCTCACCCCTTGCCATACAGATAAGTAGAAAGGGTGGTACTGAAAATTAATGGCCAGACTCTAAGTCCCAGGTACTATACTTGATGGTCTCCCAACTCTCAAAAAGTTGTGGGGTTTTTTTGGGGGGTTTTGTTTTTGTTTCTTTGGGATGGATTCTCGCTCTGTTGCCCAGGCAGGAGTGCAATGGACAGATCTCGGCTCACTGCAACCTCCGCATCCCAGGTTCAAGCTGTTCTCTTGCCTCAGCCGAACACCTGACCTTGTTATTCACCTGCATCAGCCTCCCAAAGTGCTGGGATTACAGGCATGACCCACCGCGCCCAGCTTCAAAAAGTTTTAAGCAGAGCTCAGAGGTCTTAATCACAGGCACATTGGAGGAGCATTTTTGAAATGGTTTCCAGCTTCCTCAATATGAATGGAAGCCAAACTCTGAATTGATGACCCCTTTGAGGAAGCCCAGAGCTGTAAGGAAAGCCAGGAACAGGGGCAAGGGAGAGAGGCATCCCGAATGATCCTGTGCCCATTCTTTCTGGAATCTTTGATGTGATCTCAGCTACCCTTTCCATACTTGACGCAGTGATTGTGGCACCCACTGCTCTAGCTGTGTTCTACAAGGGACCCCCAAAGGGAAGGGCACAGGGAGCAGGGGCGTCGGCCTGAGTGACAAGGATTTCAGAAGGCAGGTTGGATGCAGGGAGAGAACTGGCCAAATGTCATGTGTCTGGACTTAGACTGCCTGGTTCAAATTGGACTTCACCCTTTTTGACTTCACGATCTGCTACAAGTTCTATGAAAATGCGTTGCTCCTTTTCTAGTCTGTAAAATCATCATGAAATGTGCACTAATAACGTGGAGACTATGCAGATGAAATGAAACAAGCTGCATAGAGCACAGAGCTCAGAGCCTGGCCTTCAGGAAACCCTCAGTAAGGGTTCATGATGCCATGGTGTCCGTCATCATCGTCTTTATCCTCATCATCACCTTCATCCTCTTTTTGTTGTTCTGATGGATTAGTTTAGAGGGACTCATTCCCTGCTATCATGGGTGAGATGTCTATGAAAAGGATAACCAGTTGGGGAGGAAAGCAACATTTTGAATGAGATTTCCGAGAGAGACACCCCCCACCATAACCAAGAACAGAAACTCCACAGTCTGCTGAGCTGACAGTTTGCACATTGGTCTCCTCCCATCTGCCCACGGCACTCTCCTGTTTGTCCTGAGGAGGAGGAAACCAAACAAGGCTCCCGACCGTCCCTCAGCACTCACGGAACCGCCCTTCCCCTCTGCTGGGCCATGACCACGGAGAACAGGTCCACTGTCCTCCCTGCGTGGTGCACACTGGGGGCTCAGACTCCGTCCTCAAGGCTGGCAAGAAGACAGGGTGAGACATGAGCCTCCTGATACAGGTGACGGGTGTGGAGCCCACAGGACTGGAACCTCACATGCAGGGCTGGAGGCACAGACTGACTATTTACTATTCTGTGGCCTGGGAGGCTCAAGGCACAGAGCTCCTCATTAGCCAAAGTCGCCCAAGTTCCCCAACCTCTAAGGATTTCCTCATAATTATGAAAGAAGAAGAGAAAAGTGAGTGTCCATAGAAGCTCTGGGGCTTTTCCTCTAATCAGGAGGAAGCTTGTGTGGATTATTCGCTTCTTTCTTTCCTTTTGCAAGACCGAAGTGCTTTTGTTTTCATCTGTTATGATGGGAAAATATACCACGTATACATCTTAAAAATTATAAATATATATTATTTCATATAGAATGGCCAGTATCAACATTGACAATTTCCACTATTTTTCAGTTTACAGTTTAATCACATTAGGTACATTCACAGTGTTTAGCAACCATCACCGCCATCATCTCCAGAACAGTTTTATCTTTCAAAATGGAAATTGCACCCATTAACCAAACTCTCCATTCCTCTCTCTCGCCCATCCCTGGGGGCCACCATTCTATTTTGCAGCTCTATGAGTTTAACTACTCTAGACCCTTGATGTAGGTGGAATCCTACCGTGTTTAATTTTTTTATTTGTTTGTTTTGGAGACAGAGTCTTTCTCTGTAGCCCAGGCTGGAGTGCGGTGGCATGGTCTGGGCTGACTGCAACCTCCACATCGGGGATTCAAGCGATTCTTGTGTCTTAGTCTCCCGAGTAGCTGGGATTACAGGTGTGCGCCACCACGCCCAGCTAATTTTTGTATTTTTAATAGAGACGAGCTTTCACCTTATTGGACAGGCTGGTCTCGAACTCCTGACCTTAAGTGATCTGCCTGCCTCAGCGCCCCAAAGTGCTGGGGTTACAGGTGCGAGCCACTGAGCCTGGTCGTGTTTATCCTTTTGGGATTTATTTACTTCACTGACGATAATGTCTTCAAGGTTCATACACGTTGCAGCCTGTGTCAGAACTGCCTGTCTGGTTTTTTTGGTTTCTTTCTTTCTTTCTTTCTTTCTTTCTTTCAGTCTCTCTCTCTCTCTCTCTTTCCTTCTTTCTTTCTTTCTTTCTTTCTGTCTCTCTCTCTCTCTCTCTTTCCTTCTTTCTTTCTTTCTTTCTTGGTTTTGTTTTGTTTTGTGTTTACATGGAGTCTCACTCTGTCACACAGGCTGGAGTGAAGTGGCACAATCTGGGCTCACTGCAACCTCCGCCTCCCGGGTTCAAGCGATTCTTGTGCCTCAGCCTCCTGAGTAGCTGGGACTATAGGCACATGCCACCACGCTCGTCTAATTTTTTTGCATTTTCTGTAGAGACAGGGTTTCACCAAGACGGTCAGGCTGGTCTTGAATTCCTCACCTCAGGTGATCCGCCAATCTCTGTCTTCCAAGATGCTGGGATTCCAGGCCTCAGCCACCACACCTGGCCAAGATTTTCTTTTTTGTTCCTACATATAAGTGAGGACATGAAATATTTGTCATTCTCTGCCTGGCTTATTTCACTTCATATACAGACCTGCCATCTCATCCATTTTGTCTGCAGTGGAGAGGATTTCATTCCTTTTTAGGCTGAATAATACTTCATTGTGTGTGCATACCACAGTTTCTAAATTGAAACAAATTTCTAAAAAGGAAATATTTTTAAAATATCTCGGAATGTGAAACTTCAGGGATACTGTGCCCATTTTATTCTTTTCTATTTCCCATCTTATGTATATGTGAGTGTATAACAAAGCAGCAATCAATGTGTGTATAAATCTCCAACTTGAAGAAATGTAAAATGAAAATGCTAAGTGGTGGCTGGGCGTGGTCACTCACGCCTGTAATCCCAGCAGTTTGGGAGGCTGAAGAGGGCGGATCACCTGAGATCGGGAGTTCAAGACCAGCCTCACCAATATGGAGAAACACTGTATCCAGTTAAAATACAAACATAAATAAAATAAATAAAAAATTAGCCAGGCATGGTAGCGCATGCCTGTAATCCCAGCTACTTGGAAGGCTGAGACAGGAGAATTGCTTGAATATGGGAAGCGGAGTTTACAGTGAGCTGAGATCATGCCATTGCACTCCAGCCTGGGCAACAAGAGTGAAACTCTGCCTCAACAAAAACAAAGAAAAAGAAAAAAAAATAGAACATGCTAAATGGTAAGAAAAAACAGCATAATAAACATTTGTATGGTGTTGATGGACAATGCATTTGAAGATCATAGTTGAAGAAATCAGATTACAATTAACTTCTCTTCTTACTCATTGGAGCTTGATGCCTCTAAAAACTTCTTCATTGGAACAACCTCTGGTGCTTAAAAAAAAAAAAAAAAAAACCACATACTCACACAGGTGCAAGTAAATCAGAATCTCAGGTATTGAGACCCAGGCCTCATCATTTGTAAGCTCCCCAGTTCATATGACTCAAAACCAAGATTGAGGACCAGTGACATGGATCTCTACACACAAACTGCCTAAATAGATTCTCTAGAACAGTTTATAAAGAAATTCCACATAAACTCTGGAAGAGGATATGAATTTCATGTACAGTATATCCTCACTTAACATCTTTGAAAGTCTCTTGGAAACCTCACCTTTAGGCAAAATTCTGTATAGTGAAACCACGGATTCCTCACCAATATTATAACCAAACAACTTTGAACACACCAATGGTGTCGGAGGACCTTCTGTACATTGTCTCCATAAAGTCAATTTTCAGGGAATTCCAAAATGAAGTGAGGACTTCGTGTGTATAAAAAGATGGTTGTGATTCCACCTGGATGACAGTGTTATTGCGCAGAAACTAAAGGAGGCTGCCTAGATATAGAGGATTCAGTCATGAGGTTTCTGCTCAACAAAGGATCCCAGAATCCTCACCCATTGCAGTTAAAGACATAACAAAGAAAGCAATATTCGCATAGGAAATGCGGAAAGGAATAAAAGCCATCAAGCCACAAAAATAATGTGACTAAGGGGCAGGATTTGCAGATGCAGAGATTTAATGTGGTTGCCCTTTCTCACGCACACAAGAAAAAGGATGGAACAGATCATGAGATTCGACTGTTCTGCTGCGCAGCCTCCGCAGGGCACTTTGTATGTCCCTGTTTCTCAGGCTGTAGATGAAAAAGTTCAGCATGGGGGTGACCACAGCCTACATCACTGATGCCACGACACCATTCCTGGGGGGTAGTGCCACAGCTGAAGTCAGGTACATGCCAATGCCTGTTCCATAAAATCAGCAAAGAGCTGCCAGTTGAGAGCCATAGGTGGAGAAGGCTTTATACTTCCCATCTGATGATGACATCCTTAGAATGGAGGGGACAATTTTATAGTAAGATAAAAGGATCCCTGAAATGGGAAGAAAACCAAACATAGTACTATCGAAATATATGAATATGCTATTGATGACGCTGTCAGAACAGGCAAGGTTGAGAAGTTGAGAGGGGTCACAGACAAAACTAGAGTTTTCCACATTCTTGAATAAGGTGAATTGTAACACAATCCAACTGTGCAGCTGGGAATCCAACAAGCTAAGGAAAAAGGACAGCAAAACTAAGAAGACACGAAGGTGAGGATTCATGATGACTGGATAGTGCAGGGGGTGACAGATGGCCACAACTCTGTCATAGGCCATCACAGGAGCATGTCTTCCATACATGCAAAAAGGACCAAGAAAGATATCTGTGTCAGGCAGCTCACATAAGAGATGACTCTGCTATGCGACTGCATGTCCACAGTCATCTTGGGAACAGTGGCCGAGGTGAAACCGATGTCAGCCCAGCACAGGCTGGAGAGGAAGAAGTACATGGGGGTGTGGAGGTGGGAGTCAGAGCTGACAGCCAGGATGATGAGCACGTTCCTCAGCACCGTGACCAGATACATGGACAGGGACAGCCCAGCGAGGATGGGCTGCAGTTCTGGATCCTCTCAGAGAGAGTCCCAGGAGCACTTTTCAGACACCTGTGAGATTCCGTGGCTCTGTGTGACTTGGACACCTTGAGAAGAAAAGAGGATTGGAAAAATGAAAAGATAAAAACCAGCCTTAATGCTGTGTGCACATTTTGGATGCCAGCAATTCACAAGGAATATTTTCACACTTGAGGACCATACACCATCAGCAATATTTCTCAGTTGTGACAAACCCCAAAATCTCAGAATTATGACATGATTTACTTTTTTCCTCTTCAACTCTTTCTGTACATACTACTTTAGAGAAAATCCACTGAAGAATGTTAGAAGACCAAAAGGTAATACATAAGAAATCCCTAATCTCAGTAAAATACGGCCTACTCTTTTCAGAAAAAACAAAATGCAATACAAATGTTCTTCTCTCTTTAAGAAAAAGATCTCAGACTAATTGAAAGAAATTAAGAAGCAGGGAAATACACTCTATTTTATTCTGACACCGTGCTACCAATTCCTTTGATGTAGAATATCTCAAAGGATGATACAAGAGCTAGGACCGCATTCTCTAAAAACGAAATGGAACCTTAGAGTTCTTAATCGGAAGACCTTTTCCCATGCCAGTTACTTTTCACATTTATTATCATCCTTAGGTTTTCTGACATCATTTCTTCATAAAAGTACATGCACACTCAAATATGGGAGCTGTGTTTCCAAATTAATTGAATATAGAACTCTTGGCCGAGCGCGATGGCTCACACCTGTAATCCCAGCACTTTGGGCAGCCGAGGCTGATGGATCACCTGAGATCAGGGGTTCCAGACCAGCCTGGCCAACGTGGTGGAACTCCATCTCTAGTGAAAATAAAAAAACATTAGCCGGGCGTGGTGGCAGGTAACCCTAGCTACTCGGGAGACTGAAGCAGGAGAATCCCTCAGAACCTGGAAGGCAGAGATTGTACACCCTGTGATATGATTTTTGATATCCTAGGGAGATATTGCTCCTGACATCAGAGTGGTCGTACACCATGTGATATTATTTGTAATCACCCAGGGAAATATGATCCCTAATATTACAGTGGGTGCACACTCTGTGATGTTATTTGTAATGTCCTAGGAACATATTATTCCTAATATCAAAGTGGACGTACACTATGTGTGTACACTCTGTGATCTAATTCGTAATATCCCAGAAAGATATTTCTCCTCATATCACAGTGAGTGTACACTCTGTGATATTATTCGTACTATCCTAGAGAGATATTGCTCCCAGTATGACAGTGGGTGTACACCCTGTGATATGATTCATAATATCCTAGAGAGATATTACCTGTAATATCACAGTTTCTGTACACCCTGTGGTGTTATTTGTAATATCCTAGGGAGATATTATTCCGAACATCACAGTGCATGTACACCATGGGTGGACACCCTGTGATGTTATTCATAATATCCTAGGTGGATATTACCCTTAATGTCACAGTGCGTGTACACCAGGTGTATACACACTGAGATGTTACTCGTAATATCCTAGGGAGAAATTACGCCTAATGTTACAGTGGGTGTACACCATGTGTTTCTACTCTGTGATGCTATTCATAATATCTTAGAAAGTTACTAGTCCTAGTGCCACAGTGGGTGTGTACCATGTGTGTACACTCTGTGATGTTATTCGTATTATCCTAAGGAGATAGTTATAATATCACCGTGGGTGTCCCTCATGTCTGTACTCCCTGTGGTGTTATTGGTTACGTCCTGGGTTGATATTACTCCTAATATCACCATGGGTGCACAGCATGGGTGTACATTCTGTGATGTTATTCGTAATATCCTAGGGAGATATCACTCCTTATGTCATAGTGGGTGTACAGCCTTGTGATATTATTGGTAGTATACTTGGGATGTATTACTCCTGTTATCACAGTGGGTGTACACCCTGTGATAGTATTTGTAATATCCTAGGGAGATATTACTCTATACCCTGTGATATTATTTGTGACCTTTTAGGGAGCTATTTCTCCTAAAGTCAAAGTGGGTGTACACCCTGTAATATTCTTCCTAATATCACTGTGGGTGTACACCATGAGTGATATTTTTTCTAATATCCAGTGGGGGAGAGGATGATATTGCTTCCAATATCACAGAAGGTGTACACTCCCCTGTGATATTGTTCCTAATATCCAGGGAAGGAGAGGATGATATTATTCCCAATATCACTGGGGGTGTACCACCTCCCGCCGGGATATTGTTGCTAATATCCGGAGGTGGAGAGAATGATGTTACTTCCAATATCACAGGGGGTGTACACCACCCCTGTTTGTAAACACCCCCTGTGATATTGCTCCAAATGGCCTGTGAAAGAGTAAATATTACTCCCATTATCGCAGGGGGTGTTCAGCCCTGCTGATATTGTTTTCTAACATCCAGGGAAGGAGAGTATGATATTACTCCCAATATGGCAGGGGTTGTACAACTTTTTGTGTTATTGCGCCCAATATCCAGGGAAATAGAGGATGATATTACTCCCAATATCGAAGTAATTCTACAGCACCCCTGTGATATTCTTCCTTATATCCAGAAAGGAAAAGAATGATACTACTCCCAACAGCGTAGGAAATGTACACCTGCGCTATGATATCTTTCCCAGTATCCAGGAGGGGAGAGGATCATACTGCTTCCAATATCGCAGGGCGTGTACACCCCCTCTGTGATTTGTTGCTAACGTCCAGGTTTGGGGAGAACGACATTACTCCCAATATCGCAGGGGGAGTACAACTCCCGTGACCTTGTTAGTCATTTCCTGGGTGGAGAGGATGATCTTACTCCCAATATCGCAGGGGGAGTACACACCCTTGTGAAAATCTCCCTAATATCCAGAGGGAGAGAGGATAATATTACTCCCAGTACTGCAGGGGGTTTACACAGCCCTGTGATACTCTTCCTAATATCCACAGGGAAAGAGGATGATATGACTTCCAATATCGAAGGGGGCTTATGCAACCCTGTGATATTGTTCCTAATATCCAGAGCGAAAGAGGATGATATGACTCTCAATATCACAGGGGGTATACACCCCTCCTGTACTATTGTCCTGAATACCCTGGGAGGGAGAGGATAAGGTGACATTGAATATCGCAGGGAATGTACACCCTCCTCCTCTGATACCCTTCCTAATATCCAGGGGAAGAGAGGATAATTTTAGGCCCAATATCGCAGAGGCAGTACACCCCTCCTGTGATGTTGTTCCTAATATGCAAGTGGGGACAGGATGATACTACTCCCAATATCGCAGGGCTGTTCACATCCCCAGTTTCATATTTCCTAATATGTAGGGGAGAGACAATTATATGACAGCAAATGTCACAGAGTCTGTACATCCCTTCCTCGTATTGTTCCTAATATCCATGGGGGAAGAGGATGATATCAAATATCAAAGGGGGTGTACACACCCCACCCCTACGATCTGCTCTCAATATTCTTGAGGGGAGACGATGATATTACTCCAAATATCGCAGGGGTTGTTCACACCCCCCTGTGATATTGTTTCTAATATCCTCGGGGGGGAGAAAATAATATTACTTCCAAGATTGCAGGTGGTGTAAACCCCACCTGAAATATCGCACCGAATATCCAAAGAGGGAGAGGATGGTATTCATACCAACATCGAAGTGTGTGTACACGCCCCTTGTGATATGGTTTTTAATATCCAGGGGGCGGGAGGATGATATGAGTCCCAACATCCCAGAGGCTGTACACTACCCCTGTGATGTTGTCCCTAACTTCCAGAAGGGAGAAATTGATATCACTCCCAATATCTCAGAAGTTGTACATCCTCCGTGATATTGTTCGTCATATCCAGGGAGGCACAGGATGACATTCCATTGAATGTCGCGACAGACGTACACGCACTGTGTGATATTGTTCCTAATATCCACGAAGGGAGAGGATGATATTACTCCCAGTAAAGCAGTGGGTGTACATTATCCCTGTGTTATTGTCTCTAATATCCGGAGCCGGGGGAGGGGAGTAGAGGATAACATTCCCTCAAATTTAGCAGGCGGTTTGACGCCCCTTGTGGTGTTGTTTTAAATATGCAGCGGGGAAGACTTTAATACTATTTTGGATAGTCCGATTCACCTGCTCCACCTTTCCAGAACTCTGAGGCCAGGAGGCGGCATGCAGTTTCCGTGTGATCCCCAATACCTTTGCCGTCTTCTGTACCAAGTCAGCCACAAACGCAGGCCCGTTATCTGAGCCGATCCGTAAGGGCAGTCCAAATGTAGGAATCAGATCTGGAGGAAGCACAGGGGTTACTTTATGAGCTTTCTCAGTTCGTGTTGGATAAGCCTCCACCCACCCAGAGTAGGTACACCCAAGAACTAGTAAATGCTTGTTACCTCCACACTTTGGCACCTCTGTGAAGTCTACCTGGAGATCTTCAAAGGGGGCTGCTCCATAAGCTTGTATGCCGGACGGAACAGCTGGACCTTGCCTCGCATTATGCTGTCGGCAGGTAACACACCACTGGGGCACCGTTTTGACAAGGGCTGACAAATGCGAGATGTGGAAATACCAGCCTACCAACTTTTCCAGTGACTCCTGACCTAGATGGGTGGTTTTCTGCGCAGCCAGTACAACTGCAGCTCCTAGCAGCTGTGGCACAGCTACTCTGCCATCTGGTAACTGAATCCATCCTTCCTCCATCACTTGTCCTTCCCTCTACCTGGAGAAAGTCCTTTTCTTCCTTAGAATAAGTAGGTCCAAGATCAGGTGCTTGAGGGAGCAGAGGGGCTGTGACTGATGCCCGGAAGGGGGCAGATGCTGCTTGTCGAGGCTCTGAGTCAGCACGGGAGTTCCCCAAACCCACCAAGGTGGAAGCTCGCTGGTGTCCTCTGCAATGCACAACTGCCACCTTGTGGGGTTTCCATACTGCTTCTGATAATTGCAAGATTTCTTGTGGTTACTTTCTGTCTTTTCCCCCAGAGTTCAGCAGGCCTTTTTCTTTCTATCATGCTCCATGCACTTGAAGGGTTAAAAAGGCATACAGAGGATCAGCGTAAATGTTGACAGTCTCACCTTCACTGAGTTCTAAAGCCCAAATTAAAACAATGAGTTCAGCTTTCTGAGCTGAAGTGCCCTGGGGCAAAGATCTGGCTTTAACAACAGTGTCCAGGGTTACCACTGCATACCCTGCACCTCTCTCTCTTTGGGGGTTGAAGAAGCTGCTCCCATCCACCTATAGTTCCTGGTCTGCTGATGCCTAAGTCTGGTCCCAGAGGTCAGGTCTGCTAGAGTCAACAGAGTCCAACACTTCTATACAATCATGATCGACAGGGCTCTCTGATACCGGGAGCAAGGTGGCAGGGTTTAGGGTGTTACAAACTTCAATGGTTATACGGAGATTTTCACGGAGCAAAGTTTGGTACTTGGTGAGTCTGGCATTCGTTACCCAATGACGTCCTTTAGTATTCATTAAAGTCACCACAACACGGGAGGCCTTTATGTTCAGGTTTTGGCCAAGAGTCAGCTTATGTGCTTCTTGTACTAGCAGGGCAGTTGCTGCCAAGGCCCTCAAACACGGGGGCCATCCTTTCTGCCAGGGCCCCACAGTTTGGGTTCAAAGTCCAGCTGCCATTTTTTCTCTCTCTGATGCATACAATGGAAAAGGCTTTGTCAGATCAGGTAGCCCCAGGGCTGGGGCTGACATAAGTTTTTTCTTTAACACATGAAAGACTTGCTGTTGTTGGGATCCCCATTCAAAAATTCCTGGTCCCCGCCCCCTTGTGACCTCATACAAAGGTTGGCTAATACTGCAAAATTTGGGATCCACAGTCTACAAAACCCCAGGGCTCCTAAGAATTCTCTCACCTGCCTTCTGCTCTTAGGCTCTGCTAGATTGCAAATGACCTGCATTCTTTCTGATCCCAGGCTGACTTCCCCCTTTCGGATAGTAAATCCCAAGTAATGTACCTGCTGTTGGCAGATCTGAGCTTTCTTCTTGGACACCTTCTACCCACAGTCCTCCAGGTGCTGGTGTAGGGCATCTGTTCCCTTGGCGCACCCGACTGCCGTGGGGTGTCCCAGCAAACGGTCATCAACCTACTGGAGAAACATGCAGCCTAGGTCTCTGCTGGGAAACTTCTGGAAGTCTCCAGCCAACACCTCCCCGAAAATGGTGGGGGAGTTCTTGAACCCTTGGGGAAGCCCAGTCCAAGTGTACTAAGTAGTGACACCTGACTCCAGATCTTCCCACTGAAAGGCAAACAGCTTCTGCCTCTCAGGGGCTAATCTGATAGGCAAGAAAGCATCTTTCAGGTCCAAGCAGGTGAACCAGCTGTCCTCAGCTGTCAGCAACCCCAACAATGTGGACGGCTTAGGTACTGTTGGATGTAAAGTCAGTGTAGCTTGATGAAGCAAGCGCAAATCCTGTACTGGCCTGTAGTTCTTGGTCCGTGGCTTGGGAACAGGCAGGAGGGGAGTGTTCCATGGAGACTGACAAGGAACTCTAATTCCAAAAGGTCTTAGGTGCTTGAGATGGACCTGGATACCTTGAAGGGCTTCTCTGGGGACCGGGTCCTGTTTTTACCTAACCGGCTGGGCCCCAGGCTTCACTTCTATGAGTACAGGGGCTTGGTTGACTGCCAGCCCTGGAGGGTTGTCTTCCGCCCGTACTCTTGGCCATCGCTTAGCCAGAGCTGGTCTTATCTCTTGGTCCAGCTCAATGAAGAAAAGTCTCCATTCCTCCTCTCGGGAGACTATAAGGGTCATAACGACTCCCGTTCCAGGTAACTTTAGCAGCAAAGAGCCGTGCTCTGTCAAAGAGATAGTGGCTCTCAGCTTGCTAAGCAAGTCCCTTCCCAACAAGCGCAAGGGACAGTTAGGCGTGTACAAAAACTGCTGAATGACTTTAGGTCCTCCTACAGCACAAGTCCGAGGCAAGCAGAAAGCTTGCTTTGCTGAAACCCCCGTGGCTGCGATGATGTCAATAGTCTTTTTGGATAAGGGGGCGACCGGGGTGGTTACTAGCGAATGTTCAGCACCAGTATCTACAAGAAAATCAGTGTCTCTACCCCGACTGTCGTTCTGACCAGAGGCTCTTTGAGGACACTTGAGCCCAGTCTCCCTCAGTCCAATAACCTTTCTGCCAGGTTGAGCAGGGCCCCTTCCTCCTTGTCTGGGGCCTCCTGCTCTGAGTCACCTTGTTTTCTTTTGAGCTGAGGGCATTTGTTCTTCCAACGTCCTATTTCTGTACAATAAGCACACTGGTTACACTGCAAACTCTGACAGCCAAGCTGAGTTTCTTTCCCAGGACCCCCCTTCCCTTGCCTCTCTCAGGGGGCCCCTCTGATTGCTGCAGCTAACAAACAGGTCGGTGTTTCCCCGGGCCTGACATTCATTCTCTTTGCAGTTTTCCTCACGGCTTACTGCACCCCTGTTTACAAACACCTGGTTAGCTATTTCTAATTATTGCGATGTATTCATCCCTGCAAGCCCAGCCTGTTTCTGCAGTTTTCTTCTCATGTCTTCTGCGCTTTGACTGACTAAAGCCATGGGAATCATGCGCTGATTATCAGGGCTATCGGGATCAAAGGGAGTATACATACGATAGGCCTCCCACAGTCTCTCGTAGAATTGTGCTGGACTTTCTTCTTTTCCCTGAATGACCTCAGAGAGCTTGTTAACGTTTGTGGCCTTCTGAGCTCTCCTCTGTAATCCTTCCAAGAGAGCTTCCCTGTCTCAGTTGAGCCTTTGCATATCCCCTCTTTCATGTGGGTCCCACTGGGGGTTGGTTCCTCCTAACTGGGTCCTTAGATAGTCTCGGGGTTTTTGATAATCAGCTGGTGTATGTTCCTCTAGCCACTTAGTTGCTGCTTGGAGCACTCTCTGCCTTTCATCTCTGTGAAAGAGGAACATGAGCAACTGGTGGCAGTCAGCCCAGGTGAGGTTGTGGGTCTGGATAACAGCTTGGAGCAAATCAATTAGGGCTTGTGGCTTTTCAGTATAGGACAGGGTATTGTTTTGCCAGTCGAGAAGGTTGGCAGAGGTGAAGGGCTGGTACACAAAAATGCGCCTCTCCACTACGTGACCATCCTCATCTATCCCAGTATACCGCTGCTCTCTCGGGGGCATTTGGATCCCCATTTGGGGTTGTAAAGGAGCTGCCAAGGGAGGGGTTTCTCCTAAGTCCTCACCTCCTCTCTTGTCTACTCTCGGTGGCCTAGGGATATGCTTGTCTTGCGGAGGTGCAAGCACTGTGGGCTCAAGAGTGGGGAGCCTCTTTCCCTGGTAAGGGGAGGGCACCACTAGGATCACTGGTGCCATCTCCTGCAATGCATCTTCTTATGCTGGGTGGAATAGAACTTCAGGAGTTGATTTCCCTGGGCGGGTGGAGCAGGATCCTTCCTTAGGTATCTGTCCCTTTGCTACTAGTACTGTTGCTGCCTGCCCTCTTAGCCACTGTGGGAGGGTCTAGCACCAGCCGTCACCAAGTGTCTATGTATACGAACTGGTCTAGGTATCCTTTACCAGTTACCTTGTGCCACACCTTAGAAACAAGGGACCTGTCCAGGCTTCCTTCTGATGGCCGACCCACTTCTAATGGTGGGCAATCTAGTTCTGACAAGGTTCTAAGTTCCCCTGGTGGTCTAGTGGTTGGGATTTGGCGCTCTCACTGCTGCTGCCCGCATTCGATTCCTGATCAGGGAACCAAGAAATCAAATAGGAGAAGCAGGGGACCAAGTCCCTCAGACAGCGGATTCAAGAAGAAAGAGGTTTTTTGTTCAGCCGGGAACGTCGGCAGACTCGCATCTTAAGAGCCCAGCTCCCTGAAGGAAGACAGAGTTCCTGGCCCGTTTAAGGGCTTACAACTCTAAGGGGTTCCACGTGAAAGGGTCGTGATGGATTCAGAGCACATGTGCTTAGAGTGGGGGGGCGGGGGTTAATCTTTTCATCTCAGGCCGGCTCATCATTGCCACCAGCTGGTCTTGCCACCGACTTCATTCCTGTTGTTTTTCCAGTTTTACTTCCTCCTCCTCTTCAGAGACAAGAGACAGTAGAGAAATGGCTTCTCTCCTCAGGGCGACAGGATGATATTACTCCCAATATCGCAGGGGGCGTACACAGCCCTGTGATATTGTTCCTAATATCCAGAGCGAAAGAGGATGATATGACTCTCAATATCGCAGGGGGTGTACACCCCTCCTGTAATATTGTTCTTCATACCCTGGGAGGGAGAGCATAAGATGACATTGAATATCGCAGGGAATGTGCACCCTCCGCCTCTGATACACTTCCTAATATCCAGGGGAAGAGAGGATAGTTTTACTCCCAATATCGCAGAGGCAGTACACCACCCCCCGCCCCGTGATATTGTTCCTAATATCCAAGAAGGGAGAGGATGATACTTCTCCCAGTCAAGCAGTGGGTGCACATTACCCCTGTGTTATTGTCTCTAGTATCCGGGGGCGGAGAGGATAACATTCCCTCAAATTTGGCAGGTGGTTTCACGCCCCTTGTGGTATTGTTTTTCATATCCAGCGGGGGAGACAACAATACTACTCTCAATATCACAAGAAATGTGCATCCCCCTATGATATTGCTACTAATATCCAGGGGTAGAGAGAATGATGTTACTCCTAATATAGTCAAAGTGTCCACCCCCTTCTTTGCTATTGTTCTTCATATATGGAAGGCAAGTATGATATGACTCTCAATATG
The DNA here is from genome assembly GCF_000001405.40 of Homo sapiens. Lineage (NCBI taxonomy): Eukaryota > Metazoa > Chordata > Mammalia > Primates > Hominidae > Homo > Homo sapiens. The sequence continues at coordinate 5,908,997 of NW_018654717.1, forward strand.
AAAGGAGAAATACACGCCCCTGTGATATTGTTGTCAGTAGGCAGTGGAGGAGAGAACGATATTACCCCCAATATCGCAGGAGGTGTACACCCCTCTGTGATCTTGTTCATAAGGTTCAATGGAAAAGATGATCTTGCTGGAAATATGGTAAATACGCTGTGTGTCCACAGTGGCTGCTAACATGCAGGGAGGGAAGGGGGTTGATATTACTCTGCGCATCAGCGGAGGGTGTCCACGCCCCTGAGATGTGGCTCCTAATATCCATGGGGAAGGGGGATATGTATTACTCCCCACATCACTGGGGGTGTCTACCCCCCCGCGATGTGGCTCGTAATATCGGGGGTGGGGGGGGTGATATTTCTCCCCGCATCGCGGGGGTCGCCCGCCCCCGTGCGATGTGTATCGTAATAGCAAGGGAAGGAGAGGGGGATGATATTACTCCCCGCATCGTGGCAGAGTCTATCACAGATCAGGATACTATCCACCCCCTGGGATATGGGGAGTACACCCGCTGTCATATTGGGAAAAATATCATACTCTTCCCCCCTGAATATTAGGAACAATATCATGGAGGGGGTGTTCATCCCCTGCCATATTGTGAGTCACGTCATTTTCTCTACCCCTGGACATCAAGAACAATGTCACAGGGGTGGTGTACAACCCCTGCGAAACTGGGAGATATATCTTCCTCTCCACCTTTGGATGTGAGGGACAATATCACAGGGGAGGTCTACACCTTCTGGATTATTGGGATTAATAGCGTGCTGTCCCCGCCCGGATATTAGCAACAAGATCACAGATATTAAGTGGAATGGCACGATATTACTTATCGCAATTAATAATATCACTTTTAATATCAATATTACTTATCGCAATTAATATCAATTTCAATATCAATATTACTTATCGCAATTAATAATAATAATAGTAATGCAATTAATAATTAATAATCTATAATATCCATTTTAATATCAATATTACTTATCGCTATTAATAATATCAATTATTAATTGATACTAATAATTATCAATATTAATAACTGATAATATAATTTTAAAAATCATACCAATAATAATGATAATTAATATTAAATAGTTATACAAATGATAATAAATGATTCATATTAATGATTAATAACGCCTGATATTAATAACTGATATTGATCTTATTCATTAGAAAACAGTAATATTAGCTCCTAATAATTAATATTAATATTAATAACCTGAACACTTTATTAGCAATTATTTATTAATATTAATATTGGTAATTCATATTCATGTGAATAATAAATGAGGAAAGATGAATACGAATCTTACACCTAATATCTCAGTGGGTGTACACCCACCTGTGATATTGTTCCTAATGTCCAGGGAGGGAGAGAGCATGATATTCCGTTCAATATCGCACTAGGTGTACACCCACCCGGTGATATTGATCCGAATATAATCTCCAGGGGGTGGAGTATGACGTTACTTCCAATATAGCACTGGGTGTGCATCCACCCGGTGATTTTGCTCCTAATATTCACGGAAGAAGAGAATGCTATTACTCCCAGTATGGCAGGAAGTGTACACCCCTTCTGTGACATTGTTCCTAATATCCGGAGGGGGAGAGGGTGATATTACTCGCAATATCGCAGGCTGTGTACACCCACCCTCTAATGTTGTTCCTAGTAGCCCGGAAGCGAGAGGACGATATGACTCCCCACACAGCAGGAGGTGTACACCCATCCGGGGATATTATTCCTAATATCCATGGAGAGGAGAGGCTGATATTACTCCCAATATCGCAGGGGGTGTACATCCAGTCTTGATACTGTTCTTAATATTCAAAGGCGGAGAAGTTGATATTACTCCCAATATCACAGAAAGTGTACAAACCCGTGTGATATTGTTTCTACTATCCAGAAGAAGAGAAGATGATATCACCCCCCCCCCCCCATCACAGGAGGTGTACACCCACTCTGTGATATTTTTTCCAATGTGCAGGGCAGGGGAGGATAATATTCTTCTTAATAGCACTGGGTGTGTACAGCCCCACTGTGATATGGTCCTTAATATTCCAAGGCGGAGAGGATGATCTTACTCCCAATACTGCAGAAAGTGTACACCACCCCAGTGATATGGTTCCCATGATCCAGGAGAGAAGAGGATGATATTACTTTCAATATCGCACGGGGTGGACACACCCCCAGTGATATTGTTCCTAATTTCATCGTGGGAGAGGATGATACTACACGGAATGCCCCTAGGGGTAAAAACACTCCTGTGATATTGTTCTTAATATCAAGGGGAAAGAGAATGCTATTACTCCAAAGAGTGCAGAGGATGTGCACCCGTCGGTGACATAGTTGGTAATTTCCAGAGGCGGAGAAGATATTACTGACAATAACGTGAACACGCTGTGTGACCACCGAGGATCCTCATATTCACGGGGGGAGAGGGGGTTGATAGGACTCCCCCCTTTTTCCTGGGATCTTTTGTCTACTGCCCCCCTTGGTTCACACCCTGGAACATTGTTTTCCATATTCTAGCAAGATGCCACTACTAAAGTCACAGGGGATATACACCCTGCGATATTATTCGTCATATTGTAGGGGAATGTTAATCCTGTTGTAACAGGACTCTACACACTGTGATGTTATTCCCAATATCCTATCGGGTCATTAATAATAATGTCACAATGTGTGTACACCTTTTGATGTTATTCTTGTTCTCCTAAGCGGAGGTTACTTTTATTGTCACACGGGATATATTCCCTTTGATAGTATTCACAACATCCTAGAGGGATGTCACTGCTTATGTCACAGGGTTTGTACACCTTGTCAAATTACTCGTATTATCCTTATAAGGTGTCACTCCTCATATCAGAGAGGTGAGATTCTAGGGAATTCTAGGGGATTCTAGAGGTCGTATTCTACGGAAATGTTACTTTTCATGTCACGGAGGGTGTACACCTTGTGAAACTTTTCGTTATAATTTTGTGGGATGTTACCCCTGATGTCACACGGGGTGTACACAGAGTGATGTTACGTGCGATATTCTATAGAAATGTTACTCGTAATTCACAGGTCCTGTACACTCTTTCACAGTCCTCGTAATAGTCTAGGAAAACATGACTGCTAATGTCACAGGGCAAGTAGACCCTGTCAGAAAATTCATAATATCCTAGCGGGAGTTCACTTCTAATTTCACAATGCGTGTACACCCTTTGGTATTATTCGTGTTTCCTGAAGAGATGTTACTACTGATGTCCCAATGCAGGTACGTTCTCTGATATTATTCGCTATATCCTTGGGGGATGTTACTTCTAATGTCACATGGGGTGTACTCCCTGTGTTCTATTTCGTAATATCCTGGGGCAATTTTACTTTTAATGACACAGGGGATGTACACATTGTGATATTATTCGTGATATTCTAGAAATACGTTATTCCTAATGTCACAGGGGTGTACACCCTTTGATAGTATTCATAATTTCCCAGGGGTCTATACTCCTATTGGCACAGAGGATAACACCCTGTGACATTCTTCATCATGTTCTAGCGAGATGATTCCCCTAATGTCACAGGGGGTGTACCCCCTGTGATATTATTCTTACTATTCTAGGGGGATGTTACTCTTAATGTCACAGGTGTGCTCCTTCTGTGATATTATTGAAAATATGCTAGCAGGATATTATGACTAATGTCACAATGCCTGTATACCTTGTGATATTATTAGTAATATTCAGGGGGGATGTTACTCCTAACATTACAGGGGTGTACACCGTGTGATATTGTTCCAAGTATTGTAGGGGGATGTTACTCCTAGTGTCACAGGGGGTGTACACCCTTCGATGTTATTTGTAGTCTTATAGAGAGATATTACTTTAAATATCACAGTGGGTGTACATACATGGGGTACACCCACTGGCATATTATTTGTAATATCTTCGAGAGATATCACTCCTAATATCACAGTGGGTGTACCCCATGTGTGTACACCCTGTGATATTATTTGTAATATCCATGGTAAACATTACTTCTAGTAATCCACAGAGGGTACACCCTGTGATAGTTTTCATAATATCATAGGGAGATATTGCTGCTAATAACACAGTGGGTGTACACCACGTGTGTACACTCTGTGACATGAGATAGCTTATATCCTAGGGAGACAGTCCTTCTAATATCAAAGTGAGTTGACAACCTGTGATATCATTCGTAATCTCCTAGAAAGATGTTGCTGCTAATATCACAGAGGGTGTGCCCCCAGTGACATTATTCTTAATATCCCAGGGAGATGTTACTCCTAATGTCACAGGTGGTGTTCACACTGTGATAATATTCGTAATATCCTAAATGGATGTTACTGCTGATGTCACCACACGTGTACATCCTCTGTATTTGTTCGTTATATCCTCGGGCGAGGTTACTCCTACTGTCACATGAGGTGTACTCCCTGTGATATTATTCCTAATATCCTAGGTGGATGTTACTCCTTGTGCCACAGGGGCTGTGCGTTTAGTGATATTATTCACAATATCCTAGAAAGACGTTACTCCTCAGGTCACAGGGGATGCACACCCTGGGATATTATTCGTACTACCCTAGGGGACATTACTCCAAATGTCACAGAAGGTGTACACTCTGTGATATTTCTCATAATGTGTCAGGGAAATGCACTCCTAACGTCACAGGGCATGTGCACCATGTGTGCACAGCCCTTATGATGTTATTTGTAATGATCTCAAGGGATGTTAATCCTAATATTCCATATGCTATTAACCATGTGTGAACACCTTTGTGATATTCTTCCTAACATACTAGAAGGATGTAACTCCTAACATCATATGGGGTATATGCCATATGAGTACACATTCTGTGATATTACTCATAACATCGTAGGGAGATGCTACTCCTAATTTCACAAGGTGCGTACATGATGTGTGTACTCCCCCTCTGATGTTATTCGTAATATTCTAGGGGAATGTTGCTGCTAATGTCACAGGGAGGGTACACCATGTGTATGCAACGCTGGTAATATTATTTCTAACAGCTTGAGGAGATGTTCCTCCTAATGTCACCTGGAGTGTACACAATGTGTGTACACCTTCTGTGATATTATTCGGAAATCACAGAAAAAGATTATGCCTAATGCAACAGGATGTGTACACCGTGTGCGTCAACTGCCTTTGATATTATTCGTAATATACCAGGGGGTGTGACTTTTCATGTCACAAAGGGTGTACAAAATGTCACAGGGTGGGTATGGCTTATGATATCATTCCCAATATCCAGAAGGATGTTACTCCTGCGGTCACAGGGGGTGTACACCCTTCGATAATATTTGTAGTCTTATAGGGAGATATTACTGTAAATCTCACAGTGGGTGTACACTATGTACACTGTGTTTACACTCACTGTGATATTATTTGTAATATCTCAGAGATATTACAGAGTTATAACTCTCTCTGTTATATTAGAGAGTTATATCTCTCTAAGACAGTACAAATAATACCACAGTGGGTGTACCTCATGTGTGTACACCCTGTGATATTATTTGTAATATCCATGGTAAACATGACATCTAATAGCACAGAGTGTGTACTCCCTTTGGTATTTCTCATACTTTCATAGGGAGATATTGCTTCTAATATCACAGTAGGTGTACACCATGCACGTACATTCTGTGATATGATACCTTCTATCCTAGGGAGATATCTCTCCGAATATCACAGTGTGTGTACACCTTGTGATATTATCCATAATGTCCTAGAAGGATGTCACTCCTAATATGACATACACCCAGTGGTATTCTTCGTAATATCCTAGGGAGATGTTACTCCTAATGTCACACGGGGTGTACACCCATGATATTCTTCGTAATATTCTAGGGGGATGTTACTTAAAAAGTCACAGGGGGTATACACCCTGTGATGTTGTTTGTAACATCCTAAGATGTTACCCTTAATGTCACATGGGGTGTACACCCTGTGATATTACTCGGAATATCTTATGGGGATGCTACTCCTAATGTCACAGGCTGTGTACACCCTGTGATATTATTCGGAATATCCACAGAGACGTTACTTTTGATGCCACGACTGGGTCCACGCTTTGATATTTTTTGTCATATCTTAGGGAGGTATTACTTCGAATATCAGAGTGGTTGTACACCCACTGTGATGTTATTCGCAATACCCTAGGGAGATATAACTTTTAATATCACCGTAGGTTTACACACTACTACACAGTGGATCCAATAGGGGAGGGAACAGGTGGGAGCCCCACCCCCTACTGAGTTGGCAGGGCAGGAGCCCCACACTCATGGATGCAGTTGCAGCCACCCAGCTATGGCTCCAGACCTGGGCATGCCTGCACTCCTGGAAGCCCCCCCTGGCCCCACAGGCTCAGAAGTGCCTGCTCCTGCTTCTCCCCTCTCCTGACACCTGCTCCAATTCTGGAGCAAAGTTGAGGCTGAACCCGGGTGCTATCTCAACCTGGCTGGATGTGTGTGTGCTAGGGGTGGTGCTGACACACCAGTCCCACCACCTTGACCCCCTTTGAATTTTGGGCACCAACAAGCAGGGGCGGGAGGCCAAGGGGGCCCTGAGGGCGGTTTGGCACAAGCCTGCCGGTGCCTCTTGGTAGGAACAGCCTGGTTGCTGTGGATGGCATGTTGATGGTGGCAGGATGGAAAAGGGTGGGTCCTGGTGAAACCTCACCTTCAAGCCAGGGATGGCCTGAAGCCTGGGGCCTGAGCAGCCAGTTCCAGCTGGAGTCCACTGCCTGGAGTGAGTACATATGGAGCTTTTTCCCCAGCCCACCCATGGCCGCCCATGGACCGATCAGCACACACTTCCCCTCCTGAGCCCATAAAAACCCTAGAGTCAGTAAGACTCAAACAGACCCTCAGGACTACCAGCTGCAGGAAGGAGCTACCCATTGTGAGTCTCCTTGACTCTTCTGGATGACCTGCTTGTGGAAAACAGCTACCCACTTCAGGTCTCTTCTCTGCTGAGAACTGGACACTCTATGGGATGACCTGCCTGTGGAAAAGAGCTACCCACTGAGGGTCTTCTCTCCACTGAAAGCTGGACACTCAAATCAGGAAGACCTGCCTGCAGAAAGGAGCTACCCACTTTGGGTCTCCTGAGAGCTGTTCTATCACTCAGTGAAGCTCCTCTCTGCCTTGCTCACCTTCCAGTTGTCTGTCCACCTCATTCTTCCTGGATGCAGGGATAGAACTCAGGACTTGCTAAATGGTGAAACTGAAAGAACTATAACACAAACAGGGCTGAAACACATACCCCCCTTGCACCCCAACTCACCACATTGTGGGTGACAAGAAGAGCTACAGCTATTTGGGGAGTCCAGACCTAAAGGGTGCCTAAGCCAGGGCTGTGACACCCTCTTTGGAGCTCTGTGGTTCCTGGCATCTCCAAGCTTCTGGGTGCCACAGTGTTCCCCTTGTCCAGATGTGGGTGCCTGCAGTGGAAGCCACGTGGTGCATCTGGTCCAGCTGCAACCTCGCATGAAGGTGCCCACCCCAACACAGCAGCTGGTGTGCCTGGCTGTGTGCAGTGTCTGGACCCTGCATGCACTTGCCCACACACCCCTCGCTGCTCCGTGCCTGGTTCGCTCTTGGCAGGTGGGGGATCTGGGCTGGTAGCAAAAGCCAAGCACGGCCTGCCAGGCTGAGTGGCCAGAACAAGCCCAGTGGGCATGAGCATTACTCAGGCAGAAGGCACCACCGGCCACAGACATTTCTGGCTGGCAAAGTGCCACCCCAAGGATCCTGTGACAGGAAAATCACTTGAGCCCAGGAGTTTGAGGCTGCAGCAAGTTATGATTGTGCTACTGCATTCCAGCCTTGGCCATAGAGCAAGATCCTGTCTCTAAAAAAAAAAAGATGATTGACTGACATTTGCAAAATCCTAGCTGAGGAACTGGGGGCAGAAACAGTCCAGTCTGTGTAACCAAGAGAAGTCTCAAATGGTGAGGCATCAAAGAAAGAATTTTAGCCTTACCCTAAAGGGACATGGATTTTTAAAAGGTTGAAAAATAGTGCTTTAGGGATGGTTCCGAGGCCTAAACCCTCAATAAATTGCTTTTTTTTTCTCAAAAAATAAAAATGGCCAAAGTTTTTGGAAACCATAGCATATATCTAATGCCACCAAACCATAAGCAAAACTCATCTGTTCTTTAACATATGCAGTTTGGTTCTTCTACTGACTTGTTTTTATAACACTGACCTACAATTTAAGAAAAAGTATTAGGAATTTAGCTTTTATTCAAAATTAAATAAGCAAAAGCAAAAATTTTAAGAAACTTTTACAAATTACTTACATAAAAGAAAGTTAATAAGGACAGTCACAAATTTGCAACAAATAATTACAAAAGTTTCTAGGGCAGCATGAATATAAACCATGTTGCAGCATGGTGATCTAACTGTGATATGAATAAGGCATAACTAACATTTGCACCGAGACCAGAATTAAAAACAAAAACAAACTTTAAAAGCTTAGTTCTATATTAAACTTCTTCTCTTTTCCCAGATCCTTAATGGGTTTATACTATGCATTTTTTTTTAAAACAAACACATCATGTCAAACTATAAATTACACAAATGGGCAGTTAATGTGAAAAGCCCCCTAAAATGTACAAACTAACTGGTACTGAATTGAGTTCTCCCTTTACCTTTATGTACAATTAAATGTAAACCATATTTTCACAGTTTTGAGTGTTTTATGAATAGATGCACAGTACCATGTCAGGTTTACAATTGTTCCTGAAAACTGGCTCTAGGTTCTGCATCCAATGCCTGTCGGCCACTGTGATGCAAGTATTTACATAAATAAGAAACTGTGTCATAGTCAATGGTCAAGACAGTTCAGCAAGAGCAGTATTTCCAACAAAGAATGATCCTCAACACGATATTTTACATACTTGTGCAAATATAAGCATTAGGACAGATATATCTGAGGCAAATTCAATTTGCAAAAACTTGTATCGCTACTCTTGTAAACTTGGGCAATAAATGACCCTCGGCAAGTTCTGCTCTCTATGGCTTTTTTGTTTGTTTGTTTTAAAATTTTAAAGCCAGAGAAAATACACACACACTACCCAACCCCCACAAGCACACACGCACGCACACACACACACACACTCTCTCACAGACATAAAGAGTTCTTATTTCATTTTAGAGTATGGTACATAGTGCAACTTCACAATGTAGAGGTTCGACACACATTCAATGCGTGTTTTTCTGTGCAAGTTCTTAGTGGTCTAAATCCTAGTTGAAGGTATTCATTTGCAGAACCACATGATTCAGGAGGTCGAAGGAAAAAGAAAAGTTTCATTAAATTTCTGAAACCAGCACTAGATGTGCAAAGGCAGCAGACAATCTGGCCATCAATGCAGCCAGATTAGGGTCACTTTAAAGGGAGATCCAAAGAGTTAGTTACTTAGATTGGTCTCTAGAAAAATAGGTCAGTATATGCTGTATCTTGGTCAACCGTTCTTTCAAAGACTTCATTGACAAAACCGACAGCTGGTATCGTGGGTCTACAGGGAGAACTGCAAGAAGCCACCAACACCATGCAGGTCCATTAGGGGCTGCCTAAAAACAATGGACAGTTTATAGCATTAATAAAACAAGGATTTATGTAACAACAGTAGCAAACCACCAAAAAATTACTATTTATTGAGCACTTGTACTATGTGCCAGGTGCTATCTCCAATGTCCTTAACAATTATGCAAAGTATAAAATGGGAGAAACTGAAGCTCAGCAATGTAATGCAAATTGTCCAAGATCTCTTGGCTCTTATGTGGCAGAGCCGAGATTCAAATCTAGACCTGACTCCCCACAGTCAACACACGCTCTTTCCTCCTATTACACTAGCAAGGCTTCTCGACCTCAGGCTACTGACACTTTGAGCCAGATAATTCTTTGTTGCATGTGGCTGTCCTATGCACTAGAGCACATTCAGCAGCACCTCTGATCTCTATCCACCAGATGCCAGTAGCACCTTCCCATCCAGCTGTGACAGCCAAAAATGTCTCCAGGTAATGCCAAATATCCTGTGGGGGCAACATGCCCCTAGTTGACAGCCACTTTCTTGAGCTATAGATTTAAAGCATTAAGAAATGTTAATTGAGATTTAAAATTTCCTCAAAGTATTATGGAACCCTTGGAAAGACAGAAGAAAAAGGCCCCAGCTTCCAATGTTGTTCAAAAAAGAAACATATCTCCAGTGAAAAGGTCCTGGTAATGCTGTGAGGGCTGACTATTGGCTATTGAAACAACTAGAAATTTCCATAAAAGGACTTGTAAGCCACCTTCACTGAACCTTAAATTGCTATTTATCGGACTTAAAATATAAAGCTTCAGAATGACAAAAGGAGCTACGACATCAGTGCTGATCTCAGTAGGCCCCTCTAGAATCAGATTCGGTTTCTATATTTGTGTATTGTCCGCTGTCAACTAAGCATTGCTACCTCTTCATCTGCATTCCACAGACATTACAAACTGTCTCCTAAAATCCCCTCTGCCATAGGGTTCCAGGTTAGAGTTGGCCGATGAAAGGCACTCTTGTTGGGTGTGGAAGCTGGAAGAGAAGCCATTATCCTCTGAAGATTGTTGCAAAGTGTGGGCAGGAACTTTCCAGAGAGCTCCTGGAAACCCCTTTCTCCACTGCTGTAGACTGAGATAGTGGTGCGGACTTGCTGGGATTCCTAAGAATTATAGCCACTTCCCCACTAGTTCTTCAGAAGCACGCTGTTGGCTGTTTCTGATGCAGGATCTCTGGTGGCAGATTCCCTGACTTCTGTAGGTGACATCCCTGACCTTCACTCCCACAGCTCTCCCAACTACTATACAAAGTCTACATCCTACGTCAAACCCTTCATTCTGGGAAAATGACGGGTGGTTGCTTTTGCTTTCCTGCCCAAATCCTAACTCACACAACACTGCTAACAGAAAGCAGTGATACAGGACAGGATAATAAAAGGCAAGGGTGGTGAAGGTGATGGAAAAGTTATGCTGAATTTTTCTATAAGCTGTTTTGTTATTTAAAATTTCTTATTCAATATTGTTCTTATCAAAGCCCATTTCTGTGATGTTTAATCAGATTCAAGTAATCAGTTAAAACAAATAGATGGCAACTGATAATATGCTAAACAGAATGAATACTAAATTTGGAGATGGCCTAATGTTGGTGTTTCAAGTTCAGGTGAAGGATTCAATTGGGATTCAGACAAATGTAGACCAACCCTTGAAAACGGGAATGAGGCAGTGTGCATTACAATGAGATCTATTATCTCTCCATCTTCACATATTTACTGACAGCCATTCCTTTGTAAAATCTATCACCTTCTGATCAAAAACATTTAGTTCAATTCAAAATGCTACGATGCCTAAAACGTAGTGCTTTAGTAAGTCTATGATCAGATTTTCCAGGAGCCAGACCCTTCTTTTATGCCTCCTGCAGTTTTGCTTGCACAGAAAGTGCCAGATACACATTCATTAGACTAAGCTTAAGTGTAAACCCTAAGTACCAGCAAGACTAAAAGAATAATAGTTTCATGAGAAGCGAGGTATTAAACATGAAGAGACAAAAATGAATTGAAGTGGTTGGGTCAAATGTTGGGAGATACAAAGAAAGGTGAGAAAAGATGTTTCAAATGTATAGAAAATGGTAAGTCTCTCTGCTGTCAAAGAATAACAGCAACAGGCGATGGGCTCAAAGGCATGGTTAGTTGTCCCACAGTCACAGTTTCTAGATAGTAACATCCCGTTTTTAATTCCTTACCCACTCCTAAAAATCCTCTTAAGGACTTGCTCCCTTTCTGGCACTCTCTCCTACAGGCATCTCAGCTGACACGTATTTCCAGCCTCTATCTGTACGGAATGTAGTGGAGACCACTGCTCTAGAGAACTCATGATTGCAAAGATGAGGTGGGGCTGGTGCGGGGGAGGGGACAGTCAAAGAAAAAGTAGTGCAGAAAGGACAATGAGAAAACAAATGTAGAAGTGTGCAAATTTGGGTTTATAAAAAAGTGACTTTTGGAAGAACAGAAAAGCCACCATACCTGAAGGTTTTCCTCCCTCTCGGGCATTGATCCGAAATGCTGAAGAATTTGGCTTCGAAATCTGTCTCTTAAATTCTGAAACCAGCTGCAGGCTTGAGAGTAAACCAAATCATGAAGCTCTCTGAGATTCTTAATCTCATCTTCATTCTCAACCTAGAAATACAATAGTCAGTAAGACTTCTGTGTCTAATCCCCCGTCCATATGCCATATGCCAACCGACACAAATGGAAAAAGGGATCAGAAGAACAGGGCAATACCTGTTTCAGTGCTGACGTCCCAGAGAGTATTATTCCTATGCTTTAATACATATTTCTGTCTCATATAGGGCTGACCAGACTAAAGAAAGACAACAAGGCCTGACCTATGCCTAACCTTGCTGACTTAGCAGTGCAATATTGCAGAACCCTACAACAGCCCCCAAGTGGGAAGAGTAAGATTGAGAGTGAGTTCTGGTTCAGAGGTCTAATTTGGAATTCCATTTGTCTTTATGGATCAATGGTTTTTGAAAGCAGTGGAACAAAAAAGTGGATGATAGTTGCTACAAAAAAAGAAAAGATAAGTAGTTAGGGTGTAGATGACATGACAGAAAGTAGTAACAGGAGGAGTCCAGGCACAGTTACATCTTTTACTAGGGAACTGGGTCAAAACACAAAAACAAACAAAAAGCTACAACAAATAAGTTAGCATATAAAGCCAGTATGTCAGAGAGTCAATTACACAATGATGAGCTTCTGCTGGCAAGGCCCAAGGCTATGGCTACCTCTGGAACCCCTCAGTGTATTCTTTAGACTACTGGGTCACCAAACTGCAAATGTAAAATTAATTGCATCAGGCTTCCAGCCTGAGATAGAAGAGCAGTCTCAGAGAACACAGGTGGGAAGATCTAAGTTTAACTCATCCATCTTATACTGATTTCTTTAATGCACACTTACATCCCACTTGCTACTTGCCAGGTCGTGCTCTGTCTCATATGCACAAACTCATCTGAAAAAATACCAGGCCTGACTCAGCCTTTCATACTTCAAGGATGACTCATTTAAAAACAACAAAGGGACTCTGAAAACATTTCGAAATATAAAAATAAGACTACAGCACACCAGAGACAAAAAAGCAGACTTTTTACTTTTGAAAGATTTGAAATGAAAACTAAAGTTTAAAGAGCATCTGTTTTTTGCATAACAATGTGAATGTACTTAATGCCACTGTGTGCACTCAAAGATGGTTAAAATGGTAAATTCTATGTATATTTTACCACAATAAAAATAAACTTTTAAAAAAGGTAGAGGAGCCACACAATTGAAGAATTTTGGTCCTGAAATGACTATACATGATTCAGGCCCCTGCTAACATACATTGATAGGAGCAAGAAACAAACTTATGCCTTGTTAAATCTTTTTTTTTTTTTTTTTTTAAAGCATCTGCTTTGCACCCTCACAAAATTCAAGAAAACAAATGACAGGCTCTGGTAAACAAGGAATGATAACAATTATAAGCGTCAGTGATGAAAAACGGAGCTGGCCAAAAAGCAGGCAGAGACGCTTTTAAAGTCTCTGCCTGCTTTTTGGCCAGCTCCATTTTAAAAGCAAGCTTTTAAAGTCAAGGAACTTTACTGTGATAATTTTAACAGAACTTAAAATTTCATTAGAAGTCACAGAAAACAGAATTATTATAAGAAGAGGAAAATTTGCCATATAAAACAAATTTGAGAAGGTTTTCCAGAATGGACAAGAAAATCATTATATAGATGAAGACATTATGATGAGAAAAGATTACTAGACATTCCGAGGACCAAAGAGGACTCGTTTATAAATATCATATCTGTAATACTTTTAGAATGTGATTCTATTGCCTACATGTTTGTAAGTATTAATACATATAGTCATGTAATTTAGCCATATACTCAAGTGATTTTGTCATCAAATCCAATATGTGAAGACATAAATTTACACAAAACTGAAATATGGTTATTAACTTTACAAAGAAGAACCTTTAGCAAGTGATTCCATTAACCAAGTATGCCTAAGGCACAGATTCTATCAATCAACTCAAAATTTCAACTCACACAATACTTTCGGCCAACTGCACAAGACAAAGTACCCCCATAGCATTTTTATAATAAGATAGGACTGCCAACGTCAGACTAATCAGGTTTATCAACAGAGAGCCAAATGGCATAGTGATAAAGCTCAAAGTCTGAGTCAGAGAGTTTGCTTTAATCATTTTTGTTACATTATCTATAGGCTCTCAGGCAAATTAATTAACACCTCTGAATTGTACTTTCCTCATCTACTATTTCATAGAGTTGTGAAAATTCTATGAGTTAATGTTTGTGAAAATACCTAATGCCAATATCCAATAAATGCTGACGAAATGAAGGGCCTAAACAGATCAATGAATAAGAGAAGGGATAAGATCTATGTTTTTATAATGCCTTTCCAAAAGAAATTGCCTTCAATTTGGTATTTGTAGCATCATAAGTCACTTTTCCGGTTCCTAAACTAACTGCAGTAGGTAAACTGGGTATTGCAAACATCAAAAGGGCCACATTAACCCTATTCTAGAAAGACATCACAAAAACCCTACCCTGTTAAGATATCACCAACATGTACACTGGCAGTGCTTTCTATGTCTGCCCCAGGGTCTTCACACAGCATTCAACTCTATTTTATCATTAAGGTTATCTTAGGCACAAGAACAATCTTAATATATAAAACAATTCTTATAAGATTTGATGTGTTTACATTTACATCAAATTTCAATCTACTAATTCCATCGGCTTCAACTACTAATACATTCAATAAAACAGGGCAGAAATGTAAACCTTTCAAAACTTAGATGGGTTGGAAGTTCAACTTATTCAACCACTATTGTTAAGTACCTATCACGTGTATACACACATGCACATGTGTACATATACACATACATTCTAGGCACTGGGCTGGTTGTTAAGCCTGCAGAAATAAAGAGAATCTATGTTCTAGTCTTCCAAGTTCTCTTAGAATGTGCAACAGTTTCAGAGCAAGATACGAAAAAGGTAACTTGGAGCACATTCTCATCACAGTGGTAAGGCTGTCTGATAAGAACTGGTTCATGCACCTAGAAAATAGCCTGCATGCCTGTACCAATCCCTGGAACAGGATATACGAAAGTATGCTGGCAAAGCACATTTTAAAATACCTTAACATCTTCCAGATATTCAATGTCGGCAGTGCAATATCCATCTTTCATTCCTCTTTTTAAAACCCTAAACCGCTTTCCTCCAACTGTATCAACCACAGACCTTCCGTCCGGTAAGAAATGCACGTTTCTAATTTGTAACATACAACCATAATCTGCAAAACTAAAAGAAAACCTTGATTAGTAACAAAGTTGAAACATAAACATGCAAGTTCTCATCCATATTGAGAGGTCTAACATAAATACAAATATTTAGGTTCACAAAAAGCATACCTATTTTGTGTATCACTGACACACATGCCAAACTGTTTGGTTCCAGTCTGTATACTTCTTCGAATCATCAATCTGTATCTTGGCTCAAATACATGGAGAGGGCAAGGCACAGTGGGGTAGGCCATAGTGCAAACAAATATTGGAACATTCTTGGTCAAGCTAAGGGAAAAACAGTTTAATTATTAGAATTCATACAAGAAAAATATTACCGAACACATACAAAAAATGAGTGAGGTTTATAACAGTAATGAACTAATGTAAAGCAAAAAAAGAATTAGTTCTAAATAAGGTGGTTTTTATTCTTGGCAAGAACAAGAATCAGCACCCCGTTCACTAAGCTCACACTGATGAAATATTAATACTGAAAATCTGCTGTGATCCTCTTATTTATAAGAGTAAACTGAATTTTAAGACACCAGATTATCTTACAGAGCTAAGTATGTTTATGAATCAAGAGAATTTATTATAAGTAATATTTTATATTAAAATCTGTTTTAAATATTTATAACATGACAATAAATACCTTTTATCCCAAACACTCATAGTTACTCTTAGATAACAAGAAAAAGTGAACTCCCACAACAAAGAGCAAATACTTAAAAATTCTCAGCCATTATTTTCAAACGCAAGGATAAGAAAACATATTTTGATGAGATAACATTTTTTCCAAGTAATTAAAATGATATAACATTTTTCATTGCCAGATTGGTAGAAAGAAAGAGAAGGATAAAGGCAATGCCCAGTTCTGTCTGAGGTATGGGAAAAATGGCAGCATGGGGGCACTCTGAAACAGCACAGGCACGCTAAAGAACATGGCTACAGACAGCAGAAACCTTACGTTGTTGGCAGGAAATGTTCATGTTCTTGGAACCAACCAGCTTATTTTCAGACATAAGCAGGCAAGTGCTATATGAATGTTCACTGTAGCAATGTGGATAGTAACCAAATTGTAGAATCATAAAGAGGAGACTAGTAAGATCAATTATGGTACATCCATAAAACGGAATACTATGTTTCCATTAAAAGATGATGTGTATGAACTGAATTAGAAGAAATGCTTATATTAATGAGAGGAGCAGGTTTTAGATACTGATCATGAATAACATGATCCCATCTTTGTTTAAAGCCTATTTATACATACTACATTCAAGTTTGGAAATATGTATGCCAAAATGCCAATAGTTGATTCCCTTTGAGTTGCAGATTATGGCTTTTTTTAAAAGCTCATTTGTATTTTTGAGTTTTTTTCAAAATGACCATCAATTACTTATATAAACATAAGGTGAAACATGTTTAAAATATGTGTTTTAAGAAACAGCCCCATTAGTAAGCAGCTGGACACCCTGTCGCTTCTCTTCTCTCCAATGCGCAGCTCTCTGTGTGTCTCCCTCCTCTGTCCTTTGAGTCTACCACTCTTCCGTGGGCTGGCTGGTTGTGTCACCATGTTTAAATTTTCAAAAGCAGAAATGCAGTTTTCTTAAATCTAGATGCTTCAGCACTGATCAGAAAGGTTCATAATTGTCATATCATTTTATAAACCACACAATAAAATATCAATTCTGTGAGAAGACAAATCAATATCTATTTCTATAAAGAGTGGCAATCTTTCTTCTGTGGAAGGCACCTGGCTCACTGAAGACATCTGATGGGCACATGTTGATAAAGGAGTCTACAAGCACAGCTTTTCTTAGAAAGTGACATACAAAATGTTCAATTTATATTTTGAAAATCAATGGAAACAAAAAGTTGTTAAATAAAACAGCATATACAAATTATAATTTTGTTTTTTAGTGTGTTCAATTAAAAGAGAGTAAAAGAAATAAAGAAATTAAAAACCCGTTAATAAAATTTAAAGAGACCCAAGTGACTGCACAAGAGGGAAAGACATTTAGGGAAAAGAAAGGGAGAAAAACGGGAAAGAAAAACAGAAAAGGGACAACAAGCAATGCCTGGCCCTGCCTACCCAGCTCCATCAGCTGCTGTGTTCTTTGCAGAGTGGCCTGCCTTACCGAATCCCAAAGTTGCCTCCGAGATTTTCACCCTCCCGACACCAACTCAGTTGTGCTCCCAGTCAGTATCTTCATTAATTGAGGATTTGGCCCTGAACACCCCTCTTCCAATTTCAATCTCAGATCTCAAAGTTTGGAAAGCCCCCTTCCGGGCCTCCATGTGACAGAAAATCCCCTGCTAATCTAGGCTACTGACCCTCAACCTTCCTCTTGCCCTACCACGACACATGAGAGCCGCCATCACCACCAATGTCACTGTCACCAGCGCCCCCTCTCTATTTCCCATTCCACTGCCTGATGGCACTGTAGGAAATTCCTCCCCCGCCCAAAATACTGCTTCAGCCCACAGAGCTGAGTCAATAACTCCCTATAAAACATCCGGATGTTACCAAGTGAACTTTTATAAGATTCTGTCTGTTGAGGACCACGGAAACAGACCAATACTTCTTGACTAGACTGAGATGAACTAAAGACAGGATCCAGCTTGCGGTGAGGTTTTTCCTTACTATTAAAGGGTAGTAGTTCATAATTTTTTTTATGAGAAGAAACTTACTGTGAGAGTTCAGCAGTTTCTTCATCATATATTTTTTTTCTCTCAGACAGTTCATCAGGCAGATACTTCACTATTAATTCTTCCAACAGCTGTGTGACACAGTACCTCCTATCTGCTAGATACTAAAAGACAATATTATTTTACATTCCAGCAGTGGTTTTCCTACAGTATAAAACAGGCAACACAGTTAACTGATATATTAAAGCCTTTATTACATACTTATACCATCAATTCTGGATTAATTAGTGAGGGGAACATTACAATGGATGATGCTAAGCAAAAAAACCTGTCTGAGGCTTTGCACAAGAGCAGTAAAGATAGTTGGCTGCAACCTGAACCAAGCCCTGTACAGAAGAACTGCTTCCTGCTGTGACCACAGCTTC
Organism: Homo sapiens; assembly: GCF_000001405.40. NCBI lineage: Eukaryota > Metazoa > Chordata > Mammalia > Primates > Hominidae > Homo > Homo sapiens. The sequence continues at coordinate 5,927,470 of NW_018654717.1, forward strand.
TCTATTAGCCGCAGAGGGCCCTGCCCTGCCGTCTTCCACAACAGAGGCCCTTTTCCACCTGACAGCTCATGGGCACTAAACTATCATTTTAACTGAGATACAAAAACGGGATAAGGAATAAATAAAATAACACATTTGCCTTATTTAAGAAAAGCAAAACATCTGTTTTGTTCCCAATTTCAGACACAGTCTCTAGATAAATTTTCTTTCAGATTTTTCTTCCATTGTCACCCACTATTGAGTAGAGGAGCAGACCTCAACTCTGTCCTTGAGTGACCCAAGGAAGGTGCGTTTCTTGGGACACTATCACTCAGACCCTTATCAAGATATTGCTTTTCCTGTATGATCCATCTACCCCAGCTCTATATAAAATCTTACATTTGCGCTGACCCCTAAATACTCTGAAAAAGTACTATCCTCATGCATTTTTGTGTTATTCTCTATTCCAACTTACAAAAGCCATCTCTCTCACTCCTGCTTATGCAAAACATCTCTATCCTTCAAGGTCTGACTCCAATTTTACCTTTTTCACAAACTCTTCCTTAATTATTTTTTTCTCTCCCAAGAACCCATATTTTACTGTTTTTACCACATAGTAGGCATTGTAGCGTGTAGTATATGTACACAGATATATTACATCTCTGTAGTTAAACTAAAAATTGCTTAGGGTAGGGCCAGGGACATGGTCAGGGTGTATGCACAGAACTTTGTACAAAGAAAATGCCCAATACATATTTATTTCATAAAATTAGTGAGGAAAACCTCCTGGGAAACTATCACAAGATGAAGCCATCCTTGAATCTGCAGTCAGTAAAAGCAAGGGTTTTGTCATTATCCAATGAAGAGTAGATGGGGAAATGCGAGAGGTTGGGAAACTGGTGGTGGTTTTCAAAGTTTAGCATGAATCGCGGCTTGTTAAAATACAGACTACTGAGCCCCACGCCAGAGTCTCTGAGCATCTGGGGTAGGGTCCAAGAATCTATGTTTCTAACAAGTTGTCAGGTGACAGATGCTGCTGGTCAGGGGAGCATGGGGAGAGGTGGCCTTGGGCAGGTAGTATATACACAGATAATAAGTGTTTATCACAAAATTAATCAAATTAGCTGTCATAAAAGCAATTCCATTATCATTTTCTATTAAGTTAATAAAGATGTTTAAACATCTAGGGAAATACAGCCACTCTTACGTTACTGATAAAAATCTCAATAAATAACATTTCTGGGGATGAGGCAATCCAACAATTGGTTTTAAGGGCTTCATAAATATATGGCTTTTGATCCAATAATTCACCTCCCAAAAATTTAACCTAAGGAAATGGTTATTGCCTTATTTAAGAAAAGCAAAACATCTGTTTTGTTCCCAATTTCAGACACAGTCTGTAGATAATTTTTCTTTCAAATTTTTCTTCCATTGTCACCCACTACTGAGTAGAGGAGCAGACCTCAACTCTGTCCTTCAGTGACAGATATATAATATCTGTCATAATATCTTCGATTACATAAAGATGCATAAAATCATTCATTTTAAATGATGTTGGCAAAAGCATAGTATATAAAAAAGAGAACAAGAAACCTTATATATCCAACAACAAAGAAATGTTAAATCACTGGACTATTATGCTGCTATAAAAACAATGTATCTAAAATAGATGGAAATGGAAAAATGAGCAAAATAAAATGACAAGTAGGAAAAATGTAAAACTGAACAGCATACCAATCTTTTTTAAAGTATATGTATTTTGAATTTACAAATTATATTACGCAGGGTATCTTCAAAGTTGGAAACAGGATATTGCTAAATAGTATGTTAGTTATACTTTCAAAAAATATGCTTAGTATATATTTTTCAATCTCCAGACATTTTTTAAAGAGGGAATATCCCTAATCAAAGCAATAGATCTAATATTATGCCAAAAACCACAATTACTTTTGCACCAACCTAACAGTTAATCTGGAAACACAAGCATCATAGTTATCCTGGGGGGGTATTTAAATGAAGTCTGGAAAAATAGCATGTTTACAGTACTTCATCTAAAAACATTGAGCATATTAGCTAAAAATGTAACTAACAAACTCTTTTAAGAATAAATGTATCTGATGTTTCCTGACTTTGAGAAAATTCTAAATATGCTTTTGTTTTACATTATCAGCTTGTTATATATGTAAGACACATATCAAATGTAATAACAGACATGCTATTATGACATCCGTACTGAGTTGTTTTCTATACAGGAAATACTGTATGTATATTCATAATGGTTTTATGAATTTTTCAATTCATATTTGGAAGATACTTTTTTTTAAGCAATCCTGTCAATCATCAGAGACAGAATCACTTTCCCCAATCAACGCTACAAACTGCAATTGCCTCTCAGAATCACAGGCTTTAGCCTGACAGTAGGTGATCTGCAGTCACTCAAGCATGATTAAGAGGGTGCTCTCTTCTCATCAATTAGAGAAGACATCCACTGAGATCTAGCTACTTTCCTATCACAGGTTATTAGCACTGATCACTGACTCTACAAGAAGGGGAATAGGAAGCTGTACCTCCCTCTCTTCTTTCCAATCTACCACTTTTCTAGAGCTGCATTGCCCAATGTCGCAGCCATTAGTCACATGTGCCTACTTAAATTTAAGTTAATAAAATGTAAATATAGTTCCTCAGTGACACTAACCATATTTAAAAGCTTAACAGGCAAACATGGCTAATGGCTAATATATCTGACAGCAAAGATATGGAACATTTCCATCAATGCAGAAAATTCTATTGAACAAAGTTGTTCTAGATGTTGAGGAAGCTGAAACAGTCCTCACATCTGGCTTATTATTGAGGGTTGGAGGCAGGGCAATAGGGTTTCCCCAGTATAGTCATCACCAAAATTGAACTTATCCCTGACCAGATAACTAACCATACCCACTTTTGTTTAAAAAAAAAAAATTAAGTACAAGGGGGTTGGTCTTCAGCATCTGTCTTCTTTCTCCCCATCCTCTTCAACCTCACTTTTCTCCAACATTAGCATATGGGTAATAAAACATTATCCTTGTTAGTCACTCAGAATATAGAATGTAATTCTGAACGTGATCATCACTATTTCTATGGCTGAACAGAAATTAAACCATGCTGCCAAACTTAAGACCAACAAACAGACACATATACAAATATTTACCTCTTTTAAGCTTTCTTTGCAAAGAGGACAATATGGTGCATGATCTAAACAACGCTCAAGACAATTCTTACAGAACGAATGTCCGCAAGGGGTTGTTACTGGCTCAAAAAACAACCTGAAATCAACCAAGATACATGTTAGTTTTCACATTAAACTATCCAATGAAAAGCTTGTACTACTTTAGAACCATAACACTAATCTCTATTTAAAGGAGGAAGAAGGAGGGCCCAGCAGGCAGGAGAGGAGAGAAGGGGCAGTGATAAGTGTAACCATACCCTCCAGAATGTTTTAAAATTCTCCATCAACAAAGGCCTCCTGCCAAAGGCCTAGAGCCAAGGGCCTAGAGCTGTCCTGACTAACGCAACAGCCCCTGGACACTATGGCTACTAATCACTTGAAATGTGGCTAGTACAAGCTGATATGTGCACTGAATGTAAAATACATACCAGATTTCAAAGACTTTCTGCAAAATAAATAATGTAAAATACATCATTAAAAATCATTAGTTAGCTTTTGTATAGCCTTTAGATTCCCATTTTAATATCAACTTAAAAATGATTCCTTAATAGGTTTACAAGACCCTTATGATATAAAACTCATAAAAAGAATGACCTAATAAATAATGCAGTTGAATTCTAATGTTAGACTTAATACTAAATGTATTATTCAAACATTACAGAACAACTAGTTTTACTTATTTTCTGAAACATGATAGTTTTGAATTTGCTAGAAATAGATTTAGAGGTACTTTAGGGACTGTTTAGTATAATCCCCTCACTTCACAGATGAAGAAACCAAGGCTCAGAATTAAGACTTGCTCAGGAACGTAACTGCTACCAGCCTAGTGTGACCAGCACTAGGCCTCCTGACCCCGTATGAATCTTTTGATCCTACACAATTCATGTAAATGAGAAATGTTATTTCAAAACATTTAGTCTTTTAGAATTATAGCATTCTGAATAATGGAAATCCTTATCCTTATGTTACTTTAAAAAGACTTTATGGTTAATATACATTAATAAGATAGGATCATATACATAAAATACTAATTAGAATTCATACCCAAATTTAAAACCATGGAGATAGGTAAGTTTCAAAAATAATATCATCTATAACTTTCTTAGTACTTTACAATTTCCCAGATTCCTTTTATACTGAAGCCATGTGATTCTCACAACAATGAGATGTAGGCCATGCAAAGCTTGATCCCACTTTCTAAATTAGGAAACCTGAGGTTCAGAGATTCAGTTATTTGCCCAAGGCATGAAAGGTAAACCCAGGACTAAAATTCATGTCTTTTGATTTTTATTCCAGCATTGTGTTACTTTACATTGTCTATTATTACCTTTATCTACACGGTATTTTATGTATACTAACATAAAATATTCATCTTCTATAAAGTTTTATATGCTTACCTCATGCAGAGAGAACACTCGAAATCTGAGACATCGATTAATTCTTCTGGAATATCACCATAAGCTAAGGAAAACATACAGACTTCATTGGGAGTTTCTATTAAAACAAAGACATGGGGTTTTCTTCCTTAGGAAAAACTTTAAAGACTATTCTGACTAAATAAATTTATTTTATATAAGTGTAGAGCAAAATTTTTACCTCCTTGTTTTTTCAGCTTATTTCTTCCATCTTCATTTACAATCACATCCTGTTCTAAAAGAGACAACTTTCTTTTCAGCAGAACACCTTTTTCTTGAACTGACAGAACAGGTTCTGGGGACACTCTTTTTAAACAGTCCTCTCTGGCAGGCATTTCTGTTGAATTTATAGACTGTGCTGACTGAGCACGGTTTAAGCTTCCTTTGACAGGCTCTGAAGTGACCTCTGGTATTTCTTCACTCTACAAAAATACAATAAACAAAGGTAACTGTATTTCTTTACTATCCTTTATTCCTCTCACCAAGAATCAAACTGAAATGAAATTTCAATGCCTTATAATGCTCATTTTAATGTTCATTTAATAGCACTAACTTGATTCCAACACTGTGACAAGTAAATGATTTTTGCCAGCACAGTTGGCCCTCCGTATCCACAGGCTCTGCATCCGTGGGTTCATCCAACTGGGGATAGAAAATATTCTAAAAAAAAGCCTGAACATATATCGACTTTTTTCTTGTCATTATTCCCTAGACAATACAGTATAACAACTATTTACATAGTATTTACATTGTATTAGGTATTATAAGTAACCTAGAGATGATTTAAGTATACAGGAGGATGTGCATAAGTTATATGCAAATACTGTGCCATTTTATTAATATATCAGGGACTTGAGCATCCTTGGATTTGCTATCTGTGAGAGGTCCTGGAACCAATCTCCCACAGATACAAGGGATGACTGTACTTACACAGCCCTAGAAATCAAGGTGACTTATGTTATAATGAGGTTTAAAAGTAGTTATGCTATAACACAGCTGTTACTACCCTGAGGAAACATAAATGCAATGTTCTATACATATTTTTAAAGAACTAAAAGTTTTCTTTCACGCGACCTAAAATTGTGATTCATTAGCAAATATTTTACATAAAAGATTTTAGTGTAAAGTAAAGGCTATGGAAAAAATTCTACTATGATAACTAACCAGGTTAAAAGTACTTAAGTAGGTGCTAGTACTTGAAACTAGGAAAGTGAAGCTCTTAACTCGTAAAGAAATGGATACGCTAAACTCATGATAACCTTGTCTCACCCCGTACCTGCTTTGGGCTAGGTTCATTGAGAGACTGAGACTCTTCCATCACTGAATGAAAATCAAAAGGTCTGTTTTTAGTACATGGTAATGAACTCCAGGAAGATTCCTTCAGGCCTTCTTTTAAGTTTTCAGGTAATAATAAATCACATAAAATCTGTAAGAGAAATATTAAAAGTAGTAGAAAATATAAAATATTTGGTTAAGGATAATTTTGTATAAATTTACCTAATAAAGAATATGTAGAAAGTTTGTAGCAGACATTTTTTTAATGAGCAGGAGGGGAACAAGGTAAGCAACACTGTAAGTTCAAAAGTCTTGCAAAATTAGGTGTGCCTCATGGGGTCAAATCACCCGCAAACAAATGATTCAAAACTTTGAAAGGAAAGCATGGGAGTAGTAAGACTCAGGATAAAGGCTGATCTTTCAACACAAAGACTATAAAAAGATCTTAAAAGACATATTAAATATTTATCTCTGAATCTTAGTGAGCCCTATGCTATCAAAATAGTTCATGGTTCACCTCAATGTATATTTACGAAGTTGGCCTTGGGGCACTTATGTGAACTACACTTGGACTTCTAACTACAAAACTACAAAATTCCCTGTACTTACACTCAATTTAATTTCTCACTGAATAACTAACCTGTGTGGGCAGTTACTGCTGCCCAATACTTGGTTAGAAGCACCCCATGGCAGCTTCCCTATAATAGCGAGGAAATAAGCTGGGAGACAGCTGGAGAATCAAATTTCTGGGTGCTTATCTCAGGAATATGCCTAAAACTCCAACAGAAACAGGTTAAGATAGGGGAAGAACATGGCTAGAATGAAATGAAAGGGATTCTGATATTTTTGGTGGTCAAACAATCTGTATTTATAGGTATAGCACATATTAAAGTCTAAATTGGAGGTTCGGTTTTTCAGCTGTTATCTTTCAAATACACAAAAATCAAAATAAATCACAAATCATTTATGGAAATATAAACAATGTAGATAAAAGCACGTATCTTTGGTAGGTGCTCAAATACTCCATTTAATAAGCAAACATTTAAAAATCTGTATATACACATTTACATTTCCTCTGTTTTAAAAAATAAATTAAACACACATCCACCCTAGAACCCAGCAATTCCACTGCTAAGTTTTTGCCAAAGGGATGTAAAAACATATGTCCACAAAATGACTTGTACAAGAATACTCATAGCAGCTTAGTTTATATCAGGAAAAAATACTGGAAACAATCCAAATGAAAATCACTACTAACTGAAAACCACAAATTCCATTATGTTCATATAATGGAATACTTTAAAAAACAATAAAAAATGACTAGATGTATCTAAAAAATATGTTCAGCAAAAAAAAAAAAAAAAAACAAACCCAGACACAAAACAGTATATATTGTATGATTCCATTCCAATGAAGTTCTAGAATAAGTAACACTACTCTACAGTGGCAAAAATCTGAACAGTAGTTGCCTCTAGGAGCAGGGGATGGAGGATTTACTGGAAAGGAGATGAAGGTACTTTCTAGGGTGATGGAAATATTCTCTGTTTTGATTGGGATGCTGTTACACAGGTACATACATTTTTCAAAACTCACTGACGTGTAAAATCCATGCATTTTATTATATGTAAATTATACCACAACTTAGAAAAAGTATATTGGAGAAAAACAAAATATTCTAAAGCATTATTTGTTTTGCATCTACCTGATCCTATTAACCAGCAAACAAATAGTTACAGAAATAGAAGGATGTCTGGCAGCATGCAAAATGCAGAAACACATGCTCTTAAAATTAAAGTTTGCAGTCTTACCAAGAAGATAACACTAACGAACATGGAACAGTCAGAAAACAGACAATAGTAAACATTTTCTTCTTAAATCAGTGGGCTAGAATGTATATACAAACAAACCTCATAGAGGCTATACCAATGCCAGCTGGATTCTTAAGGCGGCTGAGATCTGAGAACAATCTCAAAGTTCTCATGCTTCAGGGTACAAAAACATCTCCTGGGATGCTTCTTAAATGACTGCTCCAATTTTAGAGATTCTGAATCAAAGACTTGTAGTTGGTGGGCCCAGGACTCTTTAGGTTTAACATGATCCCCACATGATTCTGACAAAAAGCCACACTCTAAGAAACACTGATAAATAACGTGGCATGTTTTGAGTATGTGCAGGAAAGCATCATGACTGGGACCCTGAATTTGTATTAGCATAGATTTTCTCAAAGAATTTTTCGAAGATATTCTGTGAATAAGTCTTGCAAGAGCTGAGTGCTATTTTATTTCATGCTGGCATATCAAAAGCTATGAAACGTTCTGGAGAAACCTAATTAACTTGGCTTAACCCAATGCTTCCCAAAGTCACTTCATCAGACAGCTCCCTTCCTTCCCCCATCTCCTATCTTTAAAAATTAATTACTAACACACCACAAATAGAACAAAGTATGGAAAGTGACATATGGAGTATTGAAAAAAATAAGGCAAAACAAGTGGACTGAGCAATACTATTGGCAATCCTGCGGAGTAAGCAAAGGTTAGACCTGAAGTAAAAGGCAAAAGGCAGGTCAGTAAGGCTTCTGAGCAGGAACATCGTGATAGTAATGCTTAATTAAGGACCATCAGTCTGGCTCCGATTGAACAAACTATTAGAATACTAACCAAAAAAATGCATTGAAATATCTGTGAACGAAATGTTTCGATTTCACTAAGAACTCAATATAATACGTACATGAACCTGAAAACCACTCAAATTATCACATTTGTTCCTAAGTTAGATTTATTTACTACTTATGTTCTTATTCCAACTTTTATTAGCTTTTTTTTTTAAACCTGTCTGCCTCTTAGCCCTACCATGAACTGTAATTGTTGGTAAACTGATTACCTTTTGTACTTGCAGCTTTGCAGGTGCAAAATCTTCATCAAGGGCTAAGCACTGAAGAAAGAGTTGTAAGGCATCACCTAAAAAACCAGCATCGCAGAGTACTTTTCCTTTCCTGAAGTAGACCTTTAATAAAAGCAGATATATAAAACCTTTGTGTTAAGAATTGCTTTTTAAAAAATCATTATCAAGTAAAGAAAAACAATAGTCTGCTCAGCAGTGCCGATTTTGGGCCGGGTGCAGTAGCTCACGCCTGTAATCCCAGCACTTTGGGAGGCTGACAAAGGTGGATCACTTGAGTTCAGGAGTTCGAGACCAGTCTGGTCAACATGGTGAAACCCTGCCTCTACTACAAATGCAAACATTAGCCAGGCATGGGGGCATGCACCTGTAATCCCAGCTAACTGGGAGGCTAAGGCATGAAAATCACTTGAATATGGGAGGTGGAGGTTGCAGTGAGCTGAGATCACACCAATGCACTCCAGCCTGGGTGACGGAGTAAGACTCTGTCTCAAACAAACAAAAAAAGGAAATGCAGATTTTGAAATTCTGAATAATTGAGGCCAAAGCATTTTAAAGGCATACCTACACACCACCCTGGAGAAGCACTAACAGGGGAACTGAGGCCCAGACAATGACTTTTTCACCAAAGTTCCACACCAAGTCAGAGCTGGGCAGGATCAGAAATACCATGTCCCCACACTTTAAGGAAATTACTGATTTAAATATTATTGATTTAATTTGAGGGAAAAGGAAATTATACGTAAAATTATACTGACTAAGAATCCATCAAAATTAAAGAAATATTAAAATGTGAAAAAAATTTTGTCTTAGATTTAGGGCAGTATGGTAAATTTCTTCCAAGTTATTAGGAATGTATAATTGCCCATGCAATTTTTTAAGAAAGTACTTATAGACATGACACTTTTCATAAATCCCTTATTTTGTCTTTCACTTTTCTCCTTCATAATGTGAGTTCAGCAAACTCTATGACAAAAATTAGAGTCCTACTAATTATCACTGATAAACCCAAAATTCAGTCTGTGGGTTGGTCCACCAACAAAGTATCAACTGGTAAGCTTTAAACGTTCCTTGCTTATGTGATTAGAATGAAACAGATTCTTAGTATTAAATAATATCAGAGGAGCCTAAAGAACGTTCTAGCCAAACAGTTTTTTAGCTACCACTTTAATGGCTGAAGAAAACCTTTCTGATTACATCACTTCTGTGGCAAATCCAAAAGATTCCTTTTCAATAGTTTTAAAGCCATGCACACTGACCACTGCCCTCTTATTCTGAATACATTTACTTTGTACTAACCAGTCATGCCATCATGAGATTTCGTATCATTTCTCTAATTAATTTATACTTTTTAGAGCAGCCTTACTACACTGTCCTCAAAGACACAGTTTTGAATGGAGGGAAAAGGTCACTTAAAAGAGTAACTTATATCTTAAAGAACACATTTGGACTAATTTGCCTTGACAATTTGATAAAAAGGAGAATCTGTAAACTGACTGTATGTTATACACATTCCTAAGTCTTTTTAAAAGCCACATGGGCAAGGCAACTTCCTTTGTCCCTATCTTCTGAATTAAATCACTGCCTAATCATCTAGTTACCATATAATACCTCAAAAAGTTTCCAACTTTAAGAACCTATTCTCTTTCCATTAATAAATCTCATTCAATGAAGTCCAGTTTGTATCCATCTTCACAATATGGCAAGTTGTATTTCTTTGCAGACATTTTGTATAATAAAGTCTTTTTTTTTCCTGTACCATGAATTGTTTGTTCCTTATTTATGAAAGAAAAGTCTCTTATAATTTAAAAAATTGTGAGATGATACTCCTCCACTCAAAATATTGAACCTAGATTTTTTTTTGAGACAGGGTCTGACACCAAGGCTGGAATGCAGTGGCACTTCAGTGGCACAACCTCAATCTCCAGGGCTCCAGTGACCTTCCCACTTCAGCCTCTCGAGTAGTTGGGACTACAGGCACAAACAACCATGCCAGGCTCATTTTTGTGTTTTTTGTAGAGATGGGGTTTCAACATGTTGCCCAAGCTGGTCTCAAACTCCTGGGCTCAAGCAATCCGTCCAACTCAGCGTCCCAAATTGCTAGGATTATGGAAATGAGCCATTGCACCTAGGTGAACCTATATTTCTAGAGCACTAGATATTTTATTTGGAGTCAACCATCTACTTTGTTAAAATTCCTAACTGTGAATGAATGCATGTCTCTTATAGTTAAAATTTTACAATTTATGCAAACATAAAACAGTAATTTTACCTCAGGCCAATCTGGAAGTTGAAAAAGAACTGCATTTAAATCTTCTATGGCTGCTTTAAACTCTTGGAGACCAGCATATGATTCCGCTCTGTAAATTTTTACAATCAAGTCACTGGGTTCTGAAATAAATATTTTATAAGGATATGATTATTTTTAAAAGATTATTACATAATCTACAAAATATGATCATACCAGATTAAGAAATGACTTAGTGATTCCAGGGTTAATAATCACCAAACTAAAGTCTATAAGCCAAAGGCAGTATAGGCACAACCCATTTTACGTGTTGAATCTTATCTAGAAGTTGTATCAAATCATTGTAAGTAGATCATTTTAGTGGAGGAAACTGTTTTCCAGAATACTGTAAATACTTTTATAATATGAATAATCACTCCTAAGAAAACTTTTTTTTTAACAAAGGGTAGTCTATAAAGATTTTAAAGACATATTTCTTAGATGTTTAGATTTGCCTTTTTATAGTACATCTTATATTTTTACCCTACTTTCTAAATCTTCATTTATAAAAATAGCCATACGTGTAACTATTACATATGGAATTCCCACGGTGACAAGGGACTGATAAAGGCTCAATCTTATGAGCATACACAGTAGTCTTGATTCTGGAGGAAATGGGTTAATAAGAGTCAGCTTTTAAGAGATCGAATTTTAATTCCTGCCATTAGCAAAAACAGTATGGCCCAATTCAAAATATATTTAATTTAAAATACTCCTGAGAAAAAACGCTTTGTGATTCATTTCACTATCATCCACATCTGTACTTAAGAAGCCAAATTATTATCCTATGGCATTCAGAATTTCAGACACTTAGCTGGTTCACTGATATTACTGCAATCAATTACTACAGGTACACAGATTCTAAAACTGATGTCCAAGCAAGACATTAATTTATAATATAGCAACAAATGACATTAACTTGACTCTTATTTTAAAGCTATCTTTGAGATCTTTAAAAGCATAAAGTATTCATTGTAAGATGGGCATAAAGACCTTAATGCCTCTAAATAAAATTTAATAAAATTTATCAATAGCTGCCGGGTTTACTCTAGTTTTTAGATGATTGCTTTTCTATTGAAAACTCTCACTTGAGCAATTAATTTAGGAAGGCCTCTTTCAGTTGCTGGTGCCTGAGAACTGGGATTACAATGTTCTCAGAATTTTATATCAACGAAAACATTTAAAGAATAAAATTAATATTTTATAAAAATGTTTTACTTGTTAAAAAAAGACATGTCTAGAATATTGTGTCTTGTGCTTCTTAAAGCAATGAAAAATTATCCCTGAACAAAATGCATAAGAATTAAAAGTTCAATATGATTAATCAATCAAGAATTAAGAGTTCCTAGCACAAACCTAGACCCTGTAGGTATTCAAAAATGTTTTACATTATTCCTGTTTTTGAGGAGCTTATAATCTAGCTAGAAAATTTTACTGTCAAACAGCATCATGCAATACTGACTTGTCAAGTACAACTGGAGGTGAGAAAACAGAGCAGCGTATGGCAAAATAGTCTAAGAACAAGTAGTAAAAGCATCAGCATCAAAAACTCCAGGCTATAAAAGACTAGGCTCAGAAAGTGCAGTTTTCCACCCACAGCTGGGGTGCTTCCAATAGCATCCTTGAGACAGACTCCGCTCTAGTACCTCCAGCGAGGAGTTCACTACTGCAACAAGCAGCCCATTCTTGGATTTTTATTTTTTTTTAACTTCCATTTTTTCTTATACATCAAGTTCTCACTCCTTTATATTTGATGACATGCACGTTCAGAACTGCTGAATATTTCCCCTTTTATCCATGCCTTCACTGCTCAATCACCTTTATACAGTTTCTTTACGGCAGCAGTGAAAGAACTGACTCAGAAGACCCGTCTTTGAAAAAACAAACTATAAAATGTATCCACTCTGACCAAAGCAAAAAAAGACATATTCCTTCCCCTCTCCACACAGAAAAATTCGGGATATTGAGATCTCCCTAAAGGAGGTCCTAAAAAGTCAGTATATGTTGGGGTAAGAAGAGAAGATGCACGCCCTAAGTAGAGATAAAAAGAGCCAGATTTTAAAACTCTTTGTTCCCTAACTCCTTGTATGTAATGCTCTTATTGAAAATGTTAACCGATTATTTTGAATGATTATTTTTTTGGAAAAAAAAAAAAAAAAAAACCAACCCCATCAGGTGAGTTCAAACTTCCAATACTTTTAAAAAAAGATTAGGACCATCACACTTACTGATCTCAAATTCTTAAGCGCCAAGTGCGCTAAATGAGCCCCTTTGAAAAGCATACACAAGGTCTGCCTTCCACGTAAACTTTCAAGAAAGACAACAAAATGGCTATCAGTCCTGACTGTATCATTAACTTAAGTTTGAAAGAGTCAACAAGTATTTACTGTATGCTCTCTACGTGACCTTGAGGACACTACAGACGAGTCACCTCACTGCACACGCCATCAGGGAAGATGCTGGTGCTCACTCCATTACTGCAGGTATCTGTATTGCCCAGGAAGTGCCTGGCATATTATGTATTTTCCATTTTTGAAATCGACAAAATTTCAAAAGTTGTCAAAATTTTGACAACATTGACAAAATCCAAAGACAACATGGTTTGGGTTAATTGTATTGAATATGACTGTGGTACTTAACTCTGTGACCTTATTCTAAATCACTTAATATCTCTGGTCTTGTACCCATATCTACCAGAAGCAGGGACAGATGTGCTAGTTGTCATGATTTAACTCCCTGATCTTTATCTTTAGTCCTGATTTTTCACCCTAACTTCAGATTCATCAAATTTCCAACTGCCTGCCATAATTTTTCTAAACTCAGCATTCTTCACCAAAAAAGCATTTTTCATTGTATTCTCTATTATTGACACCACTAACTTCCCAAATCAGAATCAACTTTGTAAATGTCACCTCCTATGATTTTCCTCAAATCTCCCCTTTTCCAATCCTATCTCTAGTAATCCTGGGTTAGGCTCCCCAAATCTCTAATACTATTGCAATAGCTTGCTCACTGATCTCCCTGCCTTCAGTTCTACTCTACCTATATCCTTACCATTCACAAGGTAAAACAGGTATTATTTAGTACAAGTTCCTCCATGCCTGGCTCCTGCCCATCTCTCCAGCCTTAATTATCATTATGAACCTTCCCACTCACTCAAAGTCCCAACCATACCTAACTACCCACACTGCCCCATGTACACCATTCTATTTCATGCCTCATTCCTGTGCTGAGCTCCTCCCTTACCATACCATTCTTTATCTTGATAACTTTTTATCATCCAGCAAGACAGCTCACCAGTCTCCTCCCAAGATGCTTTGCTTTGGGTCTTCCTCCACAATTTATGATAACCACTAAGAGCACGATCTGGCTCTTCCACCCACTCACTGTGACTTGGGGTAAATTACAAGTAATCTCTGTACTTTAATTTCCTTAGCTTTAATATTCCGGGGCTTTTAAAACATTATTAACACCACTATGTGCTGTTCTAAATGATTTACAATCTTCAGCACAATTCTACATGGATCTAGGATTGTCCACATTTTTATAGAAAACAGTGAAGAGTATATGCAGCTTGCCCATGATCATACAGCTAGTAATTGGTGGATTCGAGATTCTAACTCAGGAAGCCAGCTCCAGAGTTCTAGCTGTTTACCTCCATGCTATTAATATGTTGGTAACAGTCTCTACCCCAAGGCTTACTCTAGAGAGTAAGTTAATGGGTGCATAGTACTTAGAACAGGGCTTGGTACATTGAAAGCATGGCGTGTTTGCTATTATGATTCTGTGCCTTCATCGTATATGTACATTATTTATTAAAGTAATTTAATTCAAAGATGTTTGAACTCCCTCCGTTATTTCCTGCCTTTTATCCTCAGATCCTGGCTTTGATAAATGTTTCCTGAATTAGAAAAAATTCATTAAAATTTGATTCCTTAAGCTCAATTCATGTTCCCATTTTCTCCTTTTATACCCAGTATTATTTGTAAGTCATTCAGCAAGTAAAAAGATTTAAATAAGACTCTGCTCCACCATCTGAGGAATCTAGTCTTCGGCTGTCCAAAGCATTTATTTCATGGGTTGAAGAGAGAGTTTTCTATTCTAGAGTCATGGTTTTCTATCTTTGTTCCAATCATTAGAGATCCATGGTTAGTAACAGGTCTTAAAGTTGTTTCTTTAGTTCACCTTCAAGAAAGTTTTTTTCAAATCACAAAAGCTTAAAAAATGTTTACTCATACAATTTGAAAAATATAGAAATAAGAGGTAAAAACTATCTTTTACCCATCACAAAGAAATAGCCAGTGTTGGTGTTAACAAAAGAAAAAATTAGCACAAATTTAAGGTTCGAATTGACTTTTATTTGTGATTCTAGGAATGGGCAACAGCTCATTCTATAAAATGGGTCTTCTAATGAGCTAAGCAGAGGAGGTTAGCCTTCTGGCAGAAAAGGTTTAAAGAAAGCAGAAATAAGGGACAAAAAGTAGATTGGTTGTTTTAAAGTTGAAAACTTTCTTTACAGGTTAAAACAGAGAGGACTGTCTTATTTCACTAACTCAGGTTGACTGAAATCTCTTTTTTTCTTTTTTTTTAGAAAACTGGCTCATTTCAGTTCAAATTCAAAGTTCAGTTTGATTATGTGGCACTCAGCACAAGGGCCTCCATTCTAATTCTGTCTGGTCTGCTGGTGCCTAGTGCAGGTCAGTCTAAAACAAACGGCCTCCCATACATTTTTGTTCTTTATGTGTAAAGTACATTTTTAACATGTAGTTTTATAAAATATACTATATATGCTGTTTATAATCTGCTTTTTTTCCCATGTAATACTAGTCCACATGATTTTTAATAGTTGCAAAATATCCTACTATATATACAACCTATTTAAAAATTTCCTACTCTGCAATTAAGTTACTTCCAACTTTTGGCAGTATAAAAAGTATAACAAACGTCTATCTTTATGTACCTGCTTGCCTTTTTAGTTATTTGCTATACAGTATGTAGAAAGTTATTTATTGCTTGTACTTTATTTATTTGAGAAAAGATCTAAGATCTCACTCTGTAGCCCAGGCTGGAGTGCAGTGGTATTAACATGGCTCACCGCAGCCTCGACCTCCTATGCTCAATAGATACTCCAGCCTCAGTACCTGGGACTCCAGGTGCATGCCTCCACACCTGGCTAATTTTTAAATTTTTTTGTACAGATACGGTACCACTATGTTGCCCAGGCTGGTCTCAAACTCTTGGGCTCAAGTGGTCCTCCCTCCTTGGCCTCCCAAAGTTTTGGCATTATATGCATGAGCCACCATGCTGGGCCTAGAAAGTTATAAAGATATACAACATTTCCAACACATTCTGCCAACCCTTCTTTTATAAAGACTTTATTTTATACTCCCACAAGCTGTGTTTCTTCTCTTTGCTAGAAATACATAAATTAAAAATAGCATCGTAATTTTAACAACCTCCATTTCTTCATTAAGTTTGACCTTTAAAACTTTGTGTTTATTCAGTATTTGGGCTGTGTATAAAGTTCTCTATTCATATTCCTTTTCTCATTTTTCTGAGTGTCTTTTTCTGAGATTTATATATCAAGCTATCGAAATTTTCAAAGGCTAACCAGAATATCAATTTTTTTTTTTTTTTGCTTCTATTGCTTCATTATGTTCAGTATAGTATGACTTGGTTACCAGGGTTGAGCTCAAAGCTGCCAAGTGATAAGCTGTTGATCATTGATTAAGAATGTTCAGGAGTAGGAGTTTGGGATAGTAAGATCATTAACACTAGATTCAGAAATTGGGTTCAGATCCCCTTTTGGTAGTTTAACTCTTTGAACTCTCCTGACCTATAATATGCTTACCTCTAAAACACCTACATTTTATAACTGCTGTGAGGATTGAATAAGATAATGCATGTTAAACAGTTAACACCAAACCTAAGACATACATGCTCCATCTATAATAATTGTTGATAACATTCCAAAATATCTCAAAACAAAGTGATGAAGACATTAGATTAACCCTTGATACAAGATACAGAAGAGTATTTTCTACCTTGTCTTTTACCCACATAAATGGCAGCCTAGATAAGAAACATCTTTAGGGATCAGGAGAGCAGACTGGACAACAGACAGCACAAAGGTGGGTCAAGGGGATGGGAAGCAAAAGACCTTACCAAAGGGAAAGAAAAAACCAAACAGAAGCTTCCATCTTGCATTTTAGAGTTCCCTGAAGTCATTCAACTTCAATAATAAAACAATTCCAATTTTGAGAAATACCTTTGGAAAGAGGCAGAACACTATACAAATTCATTTAAAATTTTACTCGAGATTTTCCAAGGCTCTTAGAAATATTCCAACAAACAGAAAAATGATTCTGAATAAACAAAAAGTTAATATATAAATAACTAGAAATCTAAGATAATTCAGTTTTGGTAAATTCTGCATTTGATGAATGAAAAACAGTTAAAAAACAAATTATTCATTTGAAATGGGACACTTGAATCAGTTTTTTTATCATTTATATCAAAAGCCATTACAGTTGATCTTTTTAATAACCCTGAGGCACTAAGAAAAAAAATCCTTAAAGTACCTTATGAATCAAAGAAAATAATTAGAGATATAGTCTTGGTTAAGTAGAAGCCAATTAAGCAGTAAACCCCATTTTCTAGGGATTTTCAATTTGCTGCAATTACAAAAGAAACAAAAAATACAAACTCTACAAGGACAGGGACTTTATTTTACTCCTTTTTTATATTTCTAGCACCTAAAACAATGCCTGGTATATAGTAGCTACTCAATAAAAATTTGCTGAATAGTAAGAATATTTTAGATTTATGTTTTGCGTGCTAATTTTTAAATCAACTTTGTGTTTTGAATCAATATGCACATATTTGGGTTCTGCTTTCAGTTTTAACTTGGTCACTTACTTCCCTTAAGAAAGTCACCTAAAATTCTTGCAACTTTTCTTACATCTGTGAATTAGGGATATTAATACTTGCCCTCCTATCTCACATGAGTTTGTGTATGGATCAATTACGATAATAGAAATGAAAATAATTGTGAACTATAATCACCATACAGACATCAGTGTTTACTGTTTCAAGTCCTCTGCACAATAAGTAAGGACATAAATAAGTTAGCAAGAGCCTCCCTTTACCCAAGGGGGATACGTTCCAAGACTCCCACGGATGCCTGCAACTTCAGATAGTACCAAGCCCTATATATACTATGATACCTGTGATAAACTTTAATTTATAAATTAGGTGTAGTAAGACATTAGCAACAATAACTGATGATAAAATAGAACAATATAACAATATGCTGTGATAAAACGTACATGAAAGTGGTCTCTCAAAATATTTTATCATACTGTACCATGTGGGTAACTGAAACCACAAATAAGGGGAAACTACTGTATTGTTTAAATTCAAATTTCTTCATTTTAACCTAGTTGAGTTACTAAAGATAATAAAAACCCTCTACATTTTCTTTAAATGTATTCAGTATTTACCTATAATTTGACTGATCTTCTGATAGCTAAAGCTTTTAAGTATCTATAGTTTATTGATGAATGCTAAACTGCTAGTTAACATGTGTAAACTAAAATCGGGAT
This sequence comes from Homo sapiens, assembly GCF_000001405.40. NCBI lineage: Eukaryota > Metazoa > Chordata > Mammalia > Primates > Hominidae > Homo > Homo sapiens. Next base: position 5,946,133 of record NW_018654717.1, read on the forward strand.
GTAATTGTTACTCTCTACCAAGTGATAGAACAGAACAGGATGTAAAATTGCAAGGTTTAGATTCCACTTTCAGCAAAATCCCCTTCTAGCCGTAACACACTTCTACATTTTAAAAATATTGAATTAATATTTACTGGGCATTTACTCTGTGTCAGGCACTATTTAAAGCACTTAGCATGTTTTGACTCATTTGATTCTCACAACACCCTATGAGGTAGAGACTATTCTCATTTTTCAGATAAGGAAACCAAAACACAGATAGGTTAGGCAACGTGCACAAGGTCGGAGAGAGGCGAGGGCTGCGTCAGGATTGGAACCCAGGTGTCAGCTTCCAGCATGCAGAGCTTTAATCACTAAGCCACACTGCATGTCTATCCATAGATGCCTCAGTTTCCCTCTGAGGATAATATTACAGTACTCCATAGAATTCTCTGTGAAGATCAAATGATATTAATATAAATAATGTAAAAATACTGGGTAACAGTCAAGGATTATATTTTTATTTTTATGTTTTTTTTTTGTTTGTTTTTTTTTTTTTTTTTTTTTTTTTTGAGACTGAGTCTTGCTCTGTTGCCCAGGCTGGATGGAGTGCAGTGGTGTGGTCTCAGCTAACTGCAACCTCCACTTTCCGGGTTCAAGCAATTCTGCCTCAGCCTCTGGAGTAGCGGGAACTACAGGCATGCACCACCACGCCTGGGTAATTTTTTGTATTTCTAGTAGATACGGGGTTTCACCATGTTGGCCAGGCTGGTCTCGAACTCCTGGCCTCATGCGATCCGCCCGCCTCGGTCTCCCAAAGTGCTGGGATTACAGGTTTGAGCCACCATGCCTGGTCAAGGATTACAGAATTAATATTAAAGACAAAATTTTCCTTACCCAAATATTTTAAAACAAAATATCACCCCCCCATCTTACAACCTTTTTTTTTTTTTTTAACCTGTACAAACTGTAAATTATACTGTTCTGTTGTCTTCCTCTGGGGGAGAGGTGAACACACGAAGGAGATAAGTCAGTGTAAAAAAACATTAAACACAAAAGGCAGGCAGCATGGCTTAGGGGGATCATTTCAGTAGGCTCAAGCACAGAGATTCAGTGCAGGAAAAACTTTACATAATATCCCTGAATACTAAAAAGACAGAAAGTTATGAAACATCTGAGAGTTAATACCAAAAGATCAATGGTTTAAATGTTATCTAAATATATTTCAATTCAACAGAAACTTATGTAATCTAAATGGGAAACTTCTGATTTTGGCAAAGGTTTTCAAGCTTTCTTTTGCTGCTGGCAGAGATAAGTTTGGATGTGTGTGGGCTAACTGCAGACTAGATTTTTTCTAGTTAATAGTATTTACTTGTTTCATTATAAGAATTATACGAAGAAATTATAGTGAAGATCTTTTTTCATTATCAACAATAATGACAAGATCATTAATAACTACAACCGTACAGTTATATAAATACATGTCAAATGCCTAGCTTGCCAATTCCAAAGAAGTTAAAGCCTAAGGATTGTACAAACAGCTTATGACTGTACTAGTTAACATTTTGATTTACACCCATAAATTGTGAGACACTTATAAATCGGCCCTTTACCAACTCTAATTTGTTAGCTCTGAGATTTTTTTCCTGTTAGTTCACATTAAGAATTCAAAAGATTAAAAAACTTATCCTCATTACTGCCATTCAGACATTTTCAAGCATGGAATTAATGATTCTTGAAAGAACTAAAAATGAGGAAAAAATAAGCTAATGCAGTGAAAGTCAGAAGACTTGGGTTCTATTCCTGCAAAAGTAGAATGAAGTTGCTAAGTGGGCAAAATCCTCATGTGCAATCTATGCAACTTGAAAAAAAGAGAGATTACATCTTTCAGAGCCTTTTCCTGTTAAACATAATATCCTCGATCCAAGAACCAGAATCTCTGTTAACTAAAATATTATTGGTCACAGAATGTTAAGCTAGACCTCAATTATCAAAAGTGCTCACTGTTCTTCCATGGACCAGGACCTGGATTCTTGTGAAACCCCTAATTCAAGGTCAGATCACTAAATCAGCAGTACTGTCCATAAGGTTCAGCCTCAGTGACCAAAAAAACTTCCTTGGATATGTATACTAAACATGTGCTATAAGGCAGGATGAACCCTAGACCAACGTTTAGGAGAAGCGGAAGATACAGCACTGCCTCTCTACCAGTTAACAGTGTGACGGTGTGCAAGTCTTCACTGCCTGGCATCTGCTTCCTCGCTTTAAAAATCACACCATGGTCAGTTACTAGGTGGTCTGTACAACTGAGTCCAGTTTCTCTTCTCTTTATTCACCCAGAGAGGCAGAGTCATGTGTATCAGAATTCTGTATTCCAAATACTTTTTTTTTGTTCTGAGCCTACCTTTCTATTTTATACCTGCCTACTCCTCACGAAGGCACTGAAAGAATACAAAAATCTCCGGGGTTTGTGCTTCGAACTCTAAAGATACTAAACAACACAAGATCTTGACATTAGCTCAATATGACTAAGCACTTGGGACAAAAGATGACCCGAAAGATGATCCTTTCAGTTACACAGTCTATAAATTTACCTGTAATACCTAAAGTCAGTTGCTATTCTAGATGTCTGTTTTCTTGGGGATTATTCCCCTATCATTTCATGCCAATGGATAGACACTAAGATCTTGAAATACGCGTAACACAAGGTTTATCAACAGTGGCACTTGGGGCCTGATAATTCTTTGTTGTGGGAATCCTGCTGTGCCTAGTAGGATGTCTGAGCAGCACCCCAGCCTCTCCCACTAGATGTCGGTACCAGCACCACCCCCACAAGAGGTGGCAACCAAAAATCTCTCCAGATATTGTTCTAAATAATGCCCCCTGAGAGAGGGGAGATAAAATCCCCCTGGTAGAGAACTACTGATTTATATAGAACAACTCTTCCTTTTACGTAAGAGAAGCTTGAAACTGCCCCCTTTCAGCGCCTAAAACCACCTTAAGAAGAAAGTGCTAACCTAGGTTAGGAGGCCGAGGCTGCTTCTTGGAGACTAAGAAATGCACTCAAGACCTATAAGGCCTTTCCCCACAGCCTGATCCTAAGTGGAAAGGCCAGGAGAAGCGTGGCAGAGAACTATGGATCAGGCAGCCCCTCTCATCTTTACCATAAGCTAGGTGCACTGCAAAGTACATAGGAAATAAGCAGGATCTGAAACAGGCCAGCTGAAACTTTCAAGAGGAACCAGTTCAGGCATTTCCAGGTAGCAAGGGACCACCCTGGGCAGCTCCGCCCCAAGCCCCAAGCCCGGCGGCCTGCAGGGCCTCCCGGGGCCGGGCGCCCGCGCGGAGCTCCCGCCACGCCCACCGGACGTCACCCGTTACACAACGCCCCCCGCCCCCAGCTTATGCAATTCTGCCCTCCCGCGGTTCCCAATTGTCCCGGTGACTTTTGTGGGTGAGGAAGGGAGACGCCGCCTGCCCGGCCTAGTTGCCCTCGCGGGGGATTCTCTCCCCGCCCCGGCAGTCGTTTCCCCGCGGCGGGCCCGGCCCGAGAGCCAATTCCCGGAAAGCGCGCGGCAGGAAGCGAGCGGCCGCTCGGGATAGCCCAGCTACCACCCATCCCGCGCCGGGGCGGCCTCGGTCCAGGTCACCCACTCCGCGCCGGGAGCGCGCGCCCGACAGCCAGGCCGCGGCCGAGGGAACCCCGCGCCGAGCGCCCCTCCCCGCGCCGCGTCACAGTCGGCTCCCAGGGCGATCCCCATTATGACCGAAGCACCCCGGGGCGCCGCCCCCTCCCACACCCCCCAGCACCCCGAGACCCGACACGCCAGCGGCCCAGCGGCCCCGGGGAAGCAGAGGAGACTCTCGGGGCGCAGACAAGCTCCGGGTCCCCGGCCCTCGGGGCCAGGAGGGTGCGGTCGGCCCGGCCCCGCCGCATCCCCGCGCGGTCACCTGCTCGCAGCGCCTCGCAGGCGGCGGCCAGGGCCTCCCGGTAGCGCCCCTGGTGCAGTAGCTCCCCGAGCCTGCCGGCCGCCCGGGCCCGCTCGCGCTGGCCCGGAAACCACTTCTCGGCCAGGTGGTTGAGGACGACGCTGGTTCTGAAGTCTGAAGCGGCGATGGCGGCGGCCAGAGGCGGCGGCCGCGGGGCGGTCCCTTCAGCATCAGTGGCACTGGCGGTGGCGGGCGGCAGCCGGTCCCGGCAGAGGCGGCAGCGGGCGCGGAGTTCCCTCCGCAGGCAGCGGCGGCAGTAGCTGTGGCCACAGGGCACGGTCACCGGCTCGCTCAGGAAGCCCCGGCAGCCCAGGCATCTGAGGAGCCCGCCGGCGCCGCCGTCAGCGCCTGCAACCGGGGCCGCGCTCCAGCCCAGCCCGTGGCGGAGCCGGTAGTTGAACACCAGGCAGTCCACCAGGGCGCCCAGGCACTCGGGCCTGGCCGGGGCCCCGCGGCGCAGCGCCGCCGCGAACGCCTCCAGCGCGCCCTTCAGGTGGCCGCCCAGCGCCAGCAGCTCCCCGCGGCGGAGCAGCAGCTCCCAGCGCTCCGACTCCGCGGCCGCGCGCTCCAGCCGATGGCCGCTGCCGCCGCCCACTTCCCAGAACCGGCCTCGGCCCTGCGGCGCTGGGGCCATCTCCCGACTCCCTCCTGGGGAGGTCCTCGCCACCGCCGGAGAGGACATGGCCCGCGGAGGGCTGCGCCGCCGCCGCCCGCCGCCACGGTCCCGGAGCCTCCCGGGCGCGCGGCTCCGCACGCGGCCCGCGAGCAGGGGGGCGTGGCGCGCGGACACGGCGGGGCTGCGCGCGCCCGGGAAGCCCCGAGGGCGGGGCCTGGCGAGGGCGGGGCCGGGCTCGGCGACGGCGCCCGGGACTCCCCCACGCCGCCCGCGGCCGCGCTCCCGAGGAGCCAAGCGCTGGGCCCCGCCCCTTCCGAGCCCCCTCCGGGTGGGGGACGCAGGTCGGATGATTCCTCCGTCGGAGATCTAATTGGCTTCTCCGGAAAGGAGGGCTCGGCTCGTGACGGAACAAAGCCGGAAGGACCCCGGAGCTTCAGTCCCCGCTTGCCTGTCTGCCAACGCCGCCACCTGCGGTGGCCCTCGCCCCTGCCGGGGGTTGGGGGACGCTCCCCTGCCGCGCGGGACTCCGGGTCACCACCCCTCCCCCGACGCCCCCGCCCAGGCCGGACCTGCCCCAACTCCTGGCGGGCGGGGGTCTCCCCGCGTGGCCTCGCGCTTGTGCGGGTCTGCATTTTCATAGCTCTACGCCCAGGTTCCAGGTGGGCGCGCCCAAGCAGGGGGCCTGGGAGCGCACCTTCGGCAGATGACTGGGACTCTTCGGTTCTAGAGGACTCAACTTTAAATATGAACAAAAAACCCACGTTCCTGGGGCGACTCCCTCCAGAGGGCAAGGAGTTTTTCCTGGTGCCAGGTGACTGCTTGCCCGTCTTGCTTAAAACTCATCGTGGGCCCACCTCGAGGGAGAAAGCCCACAGCTTCCTCAGGTGTCTCCACACCTCAAGCACTGCCTTACAGCTGGTTAAGGTCTATATTTGGCAGTTTTAAAAGAAAACACCAAGAAACATGTTTCACATGGCGGTCACCGTATTACTACAACCCAAGCTGGCTCTGCAGTTTTGCCGACAGAAGAAAATGATCGGGTTGATATATAATGGGTGCTATTTCCCTTAAACTTCACAGCAGCAAGTTTAAAGCTCTCAGCTGAAAATACAGATTTGATGATAGGGTATTAGATCGCTAATGTTGGAAGTCACTTAGGACTTTTAGTCCTTTTTCAAATGATTGGAAACACAGGGAAAGTTATTTGTCAAAAATCACACAGCTAATACAGATTTTAAGATCACGTCTATTCCACTACTACTACGTTAGACTAATATGTAATATTTAATAAAATATGTAATATTTCATAGAAATATATGAGATTTTCAAAGTAAAAGAAGTTGCTAATTGGAAAGTTCACCTGAGCATGCTATGTTTGAAATTGGTAAACGTTTAATATTTCTCTTTATAAGGAACAGGCAATTAAGGCTAAAAAATGTTTTGAGTTCATGTGTTTTCACTACACAATCAACAAGTCGTGTAACGTCAGAAAAGATAGAGTTATATTACCCTAAAGGGAATGAATAAAAAGGAGGTGCCTGAGAAAAAGCCAAGCCTCCTGTTCCAACAGGATGCAGACAGAAACAAGTTCATTTATCACTCACATTGCACCTGAAGCAAATTGCAGCTAGATCCAAGGAGCACCTCCTAAGCATTTGGCATGGGAAGCATTGGGATTAAGTCATGAGCATAACCTTAAATCCAATCCTAACCCCTAAATTACTACCTTAACAAGCAGAACAGTGACTTTCAGCTGATGTCCACATACTCCCTTGAGACTTGAAATCACAAACAAATATCCATGTGTACACGCACATTCATTTTTGTAACGCATCCTTGTTCTTAATGGCATGTTGCAAAATTTACAACAGTAAATATGTAATCAATGTGTTCATGTTTATTACAAGGAGCATAGTAAATTAATAAACACTCATAAACTTCTTTTCAAATATAAAGTCAGGTTCTATTATGGGATTTCTGCCAAAAGTACAATATGTGGTTCAGAAAATAATGTGAAGTATTATTTGTCCTTTGGAGTTCCTTTCCCTAATAAATATGACAACCACATCTGATTCTGATGTGAAATAAAATGGCACAATTATGATAATGTGCGGGAGAAAAAAATGGGACCGTAGGAGGAATCTTACCGTGTTCTCCTTGGCATTTGTGAATGGTTATAATTCATGTTTGCTGGTTTATGCATTTACATAACTTGTTCTCATTTATGTAACTTATTTATGTAAGAGGCTGTACTGCCGCTGTGGCCTTTGTGTGCTGCATAACTTCCCTTTGAATCAGGAAGTCTAGGCAAAGCAGTCACTGGCACTGTCACAGGTCACCCTTCCATCATTCTCTGCCATCCAAAAGTTGCACAATAATGTGACTGCTTGTTTAAATTCAAAGGCGAGAAAAATTAGTGTCCTTCTTCGTTCATTTCCTAAAATTTAGACAGGTCTCTGAGTCACCCAGCAGGCTGTGATGGAGAAGAGGGAATCCTGCTAAGCTGCCCCTGGCTAGGAGAAGTATAATGGAGTGAAGAGCTCTCCTTTTCCTTCCGCATTACTTGCTCGTGTCATACTTTGCTAACAAAGTAGTAAAATCATGAGATTTGTATTCTGTTTCGGTTTTTGAGTGTTGTCTTCTAAAATAGATCAGTTATGTAAGAGAGTCAGAAGAAAAGCGTATCTGTTTCCTAATTTGGAAAATGCTTATCACCATCATTGCCTGCTTATCCCTGCCTCCCACTGCCACACCATAAGACTTTTCCTGATATAGTTTGGTAAACTCCTATTTAAGAGTAACATAACACAGTGCTTTTCTTATATACAACTCAGCTGAAGATGTGTATTTGAACCTCTTTTTTTTTTTTTTTTTTTTTTTTTTTTTTGCTGTGGGTGAATTTACCATTTGTTTCTTTACATTCTTATTAAAAAAGAAACTGAATTTGTCAGTCCAAGCAAAATATGTCCCATTCCTGATTCATTTCAGTTGATAATGTTCTATTCAAAGAGAGTAAACTATAACGTTTTATATAAACAGTACCTAGCCAATAGATTTTTTTTTTTTGACACAATCTAACTTTGTCACCCAGGCTGCAGTGCATAGTGAGTATATAGCTCACTGCAGCCTTGACCTCCTGGGCTCAAGCAATCTCCCACCTCAGCCTCTCCGAGTAGCTGGGACTACAGACGCATGCCTCTCTGCTCAGCAATTTTTTTTTTTTTTTAACTTGTTGTAGAGGCGGGCCCCATTATGTTGCCCAGGCTGGTCTCAAACTCCGGGCCTCAAGCAATTCCCCTGCCTCAACCTCCTAATGGGCTGGGATTAGAGGCATAAACCACCACGCCTGGTCCCCAATAGCATTTTTGTACAGAATACACAGATGGAGGGGTCTCTAGAGACCACCTTTTCATACCCCTCTCTCTCTCTCTCTCTCTCTCTCTCTCTATATATATATATATATATATAAGAAAATTGGGATCTGAGAAGCTGCTAGTTTCATAGAAGTCATACCAGCGAGGGAATCCAGACACCTGGTGTTGACTGTATTTATGCCTCTATGCCAGGGAAGAAGTCACCTGGGTTCCCTAGGCCTCATTTGCTATCTGTAGAAAGAGGGAACTGCAACTACCTCTAAGGTGCCTTCTGCCTCTGGAGCCAAGCCCCAGGGCTTGGTTTGAACACAGTAAGAGGAGGCAGAGCATCTCCCAGACTGAGGAACACAGCAATGTGATACCTGCTGAAAATGTAACAGCAGATGAGGGCTGAGAATAGAAGAGAAGGGTATCAAGAACACATTTTGTTGGTACATACTCATCCCTGTTTAGAGAGGGGGAACCAGTTTCTGAGACCTGAACACCTGCAGTCACTGTACAGGGATCCCCTATTGCACTCACACCTCCTTGCCCCTACTGTAAAACTGTGGGAAGCTGAAAGAAAGCCGGGGGTGGGGGGGCCGAGGGAGAGCTGATTATATAACTTGGGCATTTGTGCGAAAGTTTATATAAGATGCTAAAAATACCATATATGATTGCTATAATAGCGTTCCAAATGAAAAGCCCTAATGAGGACAACCTGAGTAGGTTAAATAGAGCTGATACGAAGTGTAAGTCTAAAGCCAATTGCCTGCAAGGACTACCATCTAACCAAGTACCATTTACTGCTCATTCTTTGTTATCCCTACAGGGTGCACAAAGTGCGCAAGGGCCACTACCCTTACAAAGGGTGCTATGCTTCATTCTTCATTTCTAATACTCTGAAGAATCTAGAAGTACTAAGTGTGTGACCCATGGCCTATTTTGCTGGTAGTCAAATTGATTAAATGAATACATTTTCCTGTATCAAGCTGTTTAAAAAGTAGACATAGGAATAAACCCCATATATTATTTAACAAATTCTAAGAATTTAATACATATGAATCCCCCTGGTACTTTCCATCCTCCTTCCTTGCTGCCCCCCCACCGCACACCCCCCCACCTTTAGTACTTATCATCTGACGTATTACATACATATTACTTGTCTCCACCCTCCAGAATGTAAGCTCCTTGAGATTTGGGATTTCTGTACATCTTGTTCACTGTCATGTCTCTAGCACCTAGGCACCAAGAAGACACTAGAAAATCATTCTTAAATGAGTCCACCCACAAAGATATCATGTACTATTTTTCATTCTTGTTAGTGATAAAAATCTGGTGGGGCACGGTGGCTTGTGTCTGTAATCCCAGCACTTTAAGAGGCCAAGGTGGGTGGATCACCTGAGGTCAGGAGTTGGAGACCAGCCTGGCCAACATGGTGAAACCCCATCTCTACTAAAAATACACAAAAATTAGCTGGGTGTGATGGCACACTCCTGTAGTCTCAGCTACTCTAGAGGATGAAGCATGAGAGTCACTTGAACCTGGGAGGCAGAGATTGCAGTGAGCCAAAACTGTGCCATTGCACTCCAGCCTGGGTGACAGAGAGTCTGTCTCGAAAACAACAACAAAAATCCACTTACCATTAATGCCTTGGGGCAATTTATTTTCTTTATTTCTCCTCTGTTATGGATTGAAGGTTTTTGTCCTCACAAAAATTCATATGTTGAAACCTGATCCCCCGAGTGATGGTATTAGAAGGTGGAGCCTGGTTGGAAGTAATCAGGTCATTAAGGTGGAGCCCTCGTGAATGTGATTAGTGCCCTTATAAGAAGAGGCCAGACAGCTAGCTCAGTCTCTTTCCATCAAGTGAGGATACAACAAGAAGTAAGCAGTCTGCAACCCAGAAGAGAGCCCTCGCCAGAATCTTACCATGCTGGCACCCTGATCTCAGATTTCTACCCTTCAGAACTTTGAGGAATACATTTGTTGTTTGTAAGCCACCCAGTCCATGGTATTAGGTTGGTGCAGAAGTAATTGCAGTTTTTGCCATTACTTTTAATCACAACTGCATCAACCTAATACTTTGTCACAGCAGCCCAAGCTGACTAAGACGTCCTGTCTTTCTCTGATACTTCCCATTCGGTGTGTCAGACAGTCCTCTTGACCACTCTTACCCCTTCTCCCCCACCACCACCCTGGCCCAAGACAGCAGTATCTCTTGTTTTATTTATTTATTTTTATTATTATTATTTTTTGAGACAGAGTCTTGCTCTGTCAGCTGGAGTGCAGTGGCACAATCTCAGCTCACTGCAACCTCTGCTTCCTGGGTCCATGCAACTCTCTTGCCTCAGCCTCCCAAGTAGCTGGAATTATAGGTGCCTGCCACCACACCTGGCTAATTTTTGTATTTTTAGTAGAGACGGGGTTTTGCCATGTTGGCCAGGCTGGTCTCGAACTCTTGACTTCAAGTGATCTGCCTGCCTTGGCCTCCCATGTGCTAGGATGACAGGTGTGAGCCACTGTGCCCAGCCCACATCTCTCGTTTTAAAATTAAGACAAGTTTGGGTATTCTTTAGGTTTGACCTGGAAGTCGGCAGTTAAATGTGCCCTCACCCTGCAACCTCACCTCTGGCTGAAAGCCCCAGTCTTCACTAGTGTCCAGGCACGCTGGCCTCTCCTGGGCCTTTGTCTTTTCTGTTCTCCTTGCCTGAAACGCTCTTCTGATACACAGCCCCAAGCCTCCTTCCTTCCTTTAGACTTTTGTGCAATGCCACCCACTCTATGGCGACTTGCCTGGTCTCCCTATCTCCTTTCCTGTCTTTTCATCTTTAGCCTCTATCCCTAATATACTGTATATTTAATTTATACTATATATTTGGTTTTGTACATTTTGTATATTTGATATTATTTATTATTTGTCTTCTCCAAATAATATAAATTTCACAAGGGATTTTAACTTCTTTGTTCACTGCTGAATATTTGATGCTTGGGACACATAATTGATCCTCCATTTAAAAAACGGTTGTATGAACAAATGAGAAAAGGGCTGTGGTGCTACACACAGAAACGTGTTTGTTTTGATGCTCAGCACCTGACTGTAATGGTTGTGGTCACTTGTGCCACAACTAGAAGGGAGAGTGAAGCCCGTGGAATTAAGGATGTGGTCTGGAAGCTCTAACATGGTTTCCTAGGACAGGATCTAACAAAATGTTAATTATTTGTAAGAGAGATAGGTAGAAATAAAGTGGTAATATCCAGCTTCTTGAAAAAAAAATCACTAGCTCTAGTGACCAACACTAAGTGACTTTACTGCTTTGGAAAGTTCCTGAAGATAGTGGCAATCAGGTAAATCCCCCATGCCCGTCAAATATAGAGGAGCCCCTGCCACTGTTCTCCTCCCATGTGGTTTTGTTTTAGACAGTCCTAGGATTATACAGAGGGTTGGGCTGTCACCTAGTTTAGAGGGCGAAGGCATGCAGTGCAACTTTACCTGGTACATTTTCAGCTCCTGTGTTATTTTTAAAACTCTGAGTTATGCCGAGCACAGTGGCTCACACCTATAATCCCAGCACTTTGGGAGGCCATGGTGGGTGGATCACAAGGTCAGGAGTTCGAGATCAGCCTGACCAACACGGTGAAACCCTGTCTCTACTAAAAATACAAAACATAGCCGGGCATGGTGGCATGCGCCTGTAATCCCAGCTACTCAGGAGGCTGAGGCAGGAGAACTGTTTGAACCCGGGAGGCAGAGGTTGCAGGGAGCTGAAATTGTGCCACTGCACTTCAGCCTGGACGAAAGAGTGAGACTCCGTCTCAAAAAAAAAAAAAAAAAATCTGAGTTGTTAGGTAAATTGTAAAAGGATTCAGGATTGCAGTTCATAAACTAATGAGTGACATGGATAAGATAAATACATCTATCATTTTGTTTAAAAGACTGGAGTAAGTTAATTGGGTGGGGAGGATGTTTGGTGAAGGAAGTCAAGCATGTTAAGTAGAAAAACACCTGTGACTAGGTTAGACTAGATGATCTGTATTCCAATATGGCCTACAAGTTCAGTGCCAAACAAGGAGACATGATGACTTCAGATGATGGAAGAGTTCATGACCAGGGGATGAAATTGTATAGATCACAGTCAAGACCAGGAAGAAATGGCAGAACAACCAACCAGGTTAGCAGCTTAGAAAGTCAAGAGAAAAAAAAGGAAAAGCAAGATGTAAAATACATCAAGTCAATGTGCATTACAGATGAGTTTTAGTCAGTGTCTAGTACATGTTTTAGGACAGGTCTTAACTGTCCTAAAACAGTTAAGGCACAGGTCTTGGACTAGAGAAGGACCTTGGATGAAAGAGAAGGACACACATCTCTTTTTCCGATTCTGAAGTAGCTAGAGGAGGGGACGTTATTTTCAAACTTAAGTGAAATTAATTAGGTAGAAAACATGAAGAACTCTTTTCTCTAGCATGGAACACTAATGTCTCTATTTGGATGGCTATGACAAAAATACCCTAGACTGGGTAATTTATAAACAACCAAAATTTATGGCTCACAGTTCTGGAGGCTGGGAAGTCCAAGATCAAGTCACCAGTAGATTCTATGTGTGGTGAGGGCCTATTTCCTGTTTATAGAGGGTGCCTGGTTGCTGTATCCCCACATGGAAGAAGGGAATGGGAGGCTCCTTCACATCTCTATAAAAGAGGCATTAATCCCATTCAAGAGGGCTCCACCCTCATGACCTAATCACCTCCCACACCACTACTCTTAATACTGTCACATATGTAGGTGCCAACATATGGGGGACGCCAACATTCAGATCACAGCAAATAAATATCACAAAAGTTAACAAGATATAAAAGGGTTCCAAGGAATAATGGAAACATTAAAATACTACTAAGGGGACGGGTGCGATGGCCACACCTGTAATCACAGAACTTTGGGAATGGGAGGTGGGAGGATCACTTGAGTCCAGGAGTTTGAGGCCAGCCTGGGCAGCATAGTGAGACCCCGTCTCAACACAAAATTAAACAATTAGCTGGGCATGGTGGCTCATGCCCATAATCCCAGCTGCTTGCAAGGCTGAGGCAGGAGGATCAACTGAGCCCGGGGAGTTGAGGCTACAGTGAGCTATGATCACACCACTTCACTCCAGCCTGGGCAACAGAGGAAGACCTTGTCTCAAAAAAACAAAAATCTACTGCTAAGGGAAGTCACGCTCTACTGAAATTCAGGTTAGTCAAGAAAAGCAATGATGTTTTTTCATGATCTATCCTTTGATATTTCTGTCAATAAAAAAATGCCAGGCTGGATGGTCCAGAGGGCTAACACAGTAGGATGGTTCCCACATTCTTGTTTTTAAATAAGTATTTAAAAATTGCATTAGCTTTGGGGGTACAAGTAGTTTTTGGTTACGTGGATGAACTAGAGGGGTGAAGTCTGAGACTTTAGTGCACCTGTCACTGGAGTAGTGTACATTGCAGCCAATATGTAGTTTTTAATCTCTCAACCCCCAATATTCTTCTGTCTCTACCTAGTTAATGCCATCAACTCCCTTATGAAAGCAAATCACAAACATGTGACAACTTGGAAAAAAACGCCTTGCAATCGGAAATATCTTGACCAGACAAGTCTAAGTAAAATGTGGAGCGTAGAAAGATGTTCCAGCACATGTCAGCATATGGTGACTTTTTCCACACCCAGCTGCTATTCATATGAGCCTTCAGAATTCTGATCACCAGTTTAATCTGATGCTGACCCTGGTCTTTGTGAAAATTCCAAACAACTCTTCTAATCCAGCGTGGGGAGAACCAAAGTTCCCCATGGACATGTTATTCCCAGAGTAACCTTGCTACAAGTGCTTTCGGCTTTAGAGGATTTATGAATCCAGTTGCCACCATATCATTGTCCGCAATGACATCAACTCAGGCCTAAAAAAATTCAGGTCTCTCCCATGTAAAGTGGCTTTCCTACATTTAGATCAAACCTTTCTGAGCAGCATGGGGCCATTCTGAAACACCTACTTTTTTTGTTTTCCCTAAATTTGATGATTCTAAATATGAGTAGATAGCTCTAATACAGCCAGCAGTTACTGAGTGTACTCAACTTTCATTTGTATCAACTTACATGAACAGCTTGCTTAAAAGAATGCTTTGGAATTGCTTATATGATAAATCAAGCTTGTTTTGTGTTTTTATGGAAACAAAATAGATCCCCATATGTGCACAGGAAAATTGGCAACTGCCAAGATGGTATTGTTACCTGGAATCCTGCCTTGAGATGGATCCTTTAACCAAGGAGATCCAACAAAGCCGGACCTCTGGACCAGCAGTCTTGGTTCTCGTGATAGTGAGCAAAGAATTGCGAACTAACCCCGAAATGCAAGCTCAAAACAAGGCTTTCTGAAGCACAGTAATGCACTCTCAGAGGGAGAGTGGGGTAACCTCTGCGAAGTGAAATCAGCCCCTCTTTATAGAGCTCAGGGTGCGTTTATGCAGTTTGTGGGGAGGAGTTGAGGCTTGGGCTGTGTTTGAGTGACAGGATTGTGTCATTTGATTAGCAGTTTATGCTTATATCACTGAACTTAAACTGCACGTCTTTACTTACACTTTGTTAAGGAAAGCCCACTCAGAGGGGCAAAACCACATGTAAATTTTATTATAATGACTGTATAATGAGGATGAGGTTACCCGGGTTTATGGCCTAGATGGACTGGGCATGCGCCACGTAAGGGGATTTTTTATCTGTGCCCAGTTCTTCTTTCTCCAGGATGTGCTGGCCACAGACTTTACCACAAGCTGCATCTATCAGGGTGGAGTTAGGGTGGTCTTGGGGGCTGAACTTAGGTGGGCCAGGGCCTGTCTTAGTGATAGCCCTTCTGCCCTCCTCTCTCGCCCCCTCCCAGCTGCTAATGTCTAACTACCTAACATTATGGCTGGGACACTATGTTCCTGCAGTAATGCCAAAAACTGTAGTACCAAAGGGTAAGCCTCCCTGATTCTGCCCAGCCATGGGTGAAATTTCTCCAACTCTATGTAGGAGGAGAGTGTTGTAATAGACCGTTTCTAAAGTCCCTTCCAGTTCAGGGAGACTACAATCTCTGAACAAACACATTCCTGTCATCCAGTGGAAAAGAGGCCTTCAGGGCCCACAGGCGATAACTTTTATTTTGCAACTTAAAAAACCCACCCCTCAGTCGGCCCTCGGAGGAGTGCGCCAGCCCTGCGGAGGCAGTGTCTACACAGGCCTCGCAGCTTCCGCCTAGCACTCCGCAAGGTTTCCGTTGCATTGTGGGGCAGGGACCACCGCGTTGTGGGTGTGGGGAAGGAGATGTGTGGACAAAGGGCGGAGTGATGGGTCACAATGTGCAGAAGGATGGTTTAGGTGGAGACGTCGGAGGAAGGCGAGCAGTGGCGGATTAGGCTCAGGCTGCTGCGAATGGGTGTCAGCCTGGGAGGCCCGGTCCAGTGCGCCCCCACATCTGCCCGCTCTCGATGGGATGGGCACAGTCTCGATCCTGGCACCAGTATCGACCTCAGCTGGCACCAAAGGCCTGAACAGAGGGTAATCGGTGTCCCCATTCCAGCCCAAGCCCCGCCTTCCTGGGTGTTCTGGAGCAAAATGGGGGCCTGCGCAGGAGCCCCGGGTTCCAGGGAGACCTGGCTCAGCAGGGCAGCCTGTGAGATGTGGTGAGAAAGGTGTGGAGCGGCCATCAAGAACTGTCTTAATGAAACATTGCCATGAGCCGTGAATCTATGTAACCATATTACTTTGTGGAAAACAGCCAGCGGAGGGCAAGTTTAACAGCTCCACGGGGAAGCTCCAGGGACAGCTGTGCAAGAGTGTACTGTTTTCAAGTACACATCGTTCTGTTGAAAGAAAAAAAACTTTAGACAAATTAAATTGAACAGAGTTTAATTGTGCAAAGAATGATTCATGAATCAGGCAACACCCAGAACAAGTGGAAGTTCAGAGAGCTCCCTGGGCAGGGATTATTTATAGACAGAAAACTGGAAGTACCCTACAGAAATAGCTTGATTGGTTACAACTCCGGCATCTGCCTTTTTTGGACATGGTCTGATCAGTGGGTAGCCTGTGATTAGCGGAAGTTCGGTTGCTATGACTGGCTGTGACACAGCTATTTGTTACAAAAATATGCTCCTAAATTAGGCTTTCGGTTTGTTTACCTACTGAGTTAGGTTGTGGCTCCTGACACAGAAACTCAAGGTATGGAGGCAGCCTCAGGCCAAAAATAAGTTAATTTAACAGATTTTTGAAAGAGACTTTTTCCAGATAGCAAAAGAAGAGCGATGATCCATCTATACACCACGGGAATGGTGGCTGTGGACCTTGTATCCACCAGCACCAGCCGGGAAATACCTGACGCCATGCTGCTGGGCTGACCAGAAGTAGCTGAGAGGCTGGGCATGGTGGCTCACACCTGTAATACAGGCACTTTGGGAGGCTGAGGCAGGTGGATCACCTGAGGTCAGGAGTCCGAGACCAGCCTGGCCAACATGGTGAAACCCCGTCTCTACTAAAAATACACACACACACAAAAACTAGCTGAGCATGGCAGCAGACACCTGTAATAGCAGCTACTTAGGAGGCTGAGGCAGGAGAATCACTTGAATCCAGGAGGTAGAGGTTGCAGTGAGCCGAGATTACACCACTGCACTCCAGCCTGGGTGACAGAGCGAGACTCCGTCTCAAAAAAAAAAATTAAAAAAAAAAAGTGGCTGGGCTGAGACATCCAGGGTAGAGGCTGTAGGCCTGTAAAGACCTTCGAGGCAACAGGGCTGCCTCCTTGAGGTTTGTAAAGACAGTCATCCACAGTCATGACAACAGTTCCACCTGAAGCTTGCCAATGGCCACTCATTTCACCTGCAGCCGTGCCCCTGCAGATGCAAAAGATCTGGAAAAACCTTGTTTATCCCCTAAGACCACCAATGGAGGCTTAAATCTGTACCCAGGCCATCCCACTGAGGACACAATGGGAATACCTGTGTGGAAGGCAGAGCCCAGCGGCCATGGTGCTCCGTGGAGAAGAGAATCTGCATCAGGCCGGCATTAGGAACTTCCCATGGTCTCTAAGGTGCTTGGGGTCACCTCCTCTGATTATGCTGAGGGGGAAGAAATTCAACACGTCTCCAGCACATGTGTTCATGGAAGGGCACTCTTCTTCATTCTAATTGCAATGCAACCAGTGCTCAATGAAGGGGCAACAGTAGCGGTAACAACAGGCACCAAAGCAAGTGCTATGGACACACAGGCCACCCAGTCTGCAGACTCAGAGCACATTAAAACAGCACCAGCAAGAGCAGCCTTTGTGGATCCAGTAGGACATGGAACCAGCACATCAAGGCAGGTGTGCTCAGAGGATCTTTAGGTAGTTGGAGCAACTGCTTACAAGCACTTCCCTGTGCTCAGAGGCTACGTCCTGCATGCCAGGAGGAGCTTCTGGTCTCTCCCCAGAGAGCAGCCCAAGTGTGGTGGCTGAAGGAGCGGAAATGACTGGCAAGCCTGCTGCAGAAACAGTTAAAGGCCTAATGGCAGGACCCCTCGTCTGGGCCTTGCTGATGAAGGATACGCGAGTGAATGGATGAGATGGAAGCCAGAAAGTCTCCCATCCCAAGACTGAAGCCCAGAGAGAGAGAGAAAGGTAAAGGACAGAACTCCCACAAGACGCCATTGCCATCACCAAAGGACTGGGGCACACAAGTCAACCCTATGAGCATTCATCTTCTGGTCCTGAGCAGAAGATGATCCCTGCAAGGGACCAATAGGGATGAAAAAATGAAAAGGCTAGAGCAGTTCGGGAGGCTGAGGACGTGGCTTCTCCTCTCTATGAAAATGCCAGTCCCGTTCTCCCCACAAAGGAGTCTAGGTTATCTCAAAAACTGCTGGGGAGCACACACCTATACTGGCAGCTACTCAGGAGACTGAGGCGGGAGGATCCCTTGAGCCCAGGAATCCAACACCAGCCTGGGCGACATAACAGTACCTGTCTCAAATAATAATAAGAAGAAGAAGAAGAAGAAGGGAGAGTCAAACTATGACAAGTTTAGGGTCTTAAGCAAAAATAACTCTTTGCGAAGTTCAGAACCTGCTTTACTCACCTGGAAGAGAGTAGAGAGGTGGAATCAAGTTTGAGACAGTAGAAAAGGGCAGCATGGAACACCACACAGTCAGGCAGAGTGTGGCAGGGGCTGGGGATCACTGGGACCATAGCCGAGATGAGGGGGACAGTAACTTTAAAGCCCATCAAAAAAGGAATCAGAGCATGGAGACCAAGGGGTTTCTGATTTAGGTGGCCTTGATTTAAGTAAATAAGTACAAACAAAATACATTCTTAGAATGAAAAAAAAAAAAACCTGTTAGCTATCATCCAAAGGCACACGTCATTTCATCATGAAACTCACGTATATGCATTGGGAAGAAGCATTGTTTGAGGTAGGAACGGAAGAGTCGCACACCTGAGTGAAAGGGTGACCATGGCTTGTGCTGGTCAGCAGGAGTTTCTTACCTTCCTTCTTTTTCTCCAAAAGGCATACATTTCACTATTGAGCTTTGTGATTCCTAAATTGTAGTGGGTCTAAGAATCATCTGGGGTGCTTTTCTGAAATGCAGATTCATGGCCCTGGACAAACTGAACCAGGATCTCATAGAGTGGGACTATCTTACATGATCCTCATGAGATGATCCAAGGTGTGGACTCAAGGCTAACATTGGTACATGGTCCAATGTAAGAAGTGGCCTTGAGAGTTAACAAGTAGGTTTTCGTGTAAATGTGCCCATCCTTTTGGACTATGCATTGGTTCATTTCAATCACAGCTACTGTCAACATTTATTCATTAGTTAACCAATATTGGAATAAGAGTTTACTATGTGCCAGACACTGTTTTAGCTGCTTTATTAGTTGAACCTTACATTTTTTGAAGGTCTGGTTTTTAGAATGCTACATGCAGATTTGCCTGGTGCTCTTTAGCTGGTGGCTGGCATGTCATTGTATGAGTGAGTGCTATATGACCGACCGTTCCTCCTAAGGGAAAGGGCATGGGAAAGAGAAAAGGGACAATGGCCCTCTTTATCCTTTTCCTTCTGACAATAACCTTTGCAAAGTATAGAACATTCACGGACTTTCCAAGGCTTTATAATGTTTTATTTATTTAGAAATATAAATAAATACACTGTGAAATATGTGATGGGGGAGGTTGTGAAGCAACCTTCACATAATACATAAGAAATTATAAATCTTTCTATTTTGAGACAGTGTCTGCATTGAGAAACAGATAAATCTATCTACCCCTCCTTTTAATCAGTAATCTTATCTCCAATAACACTGGAATGCACTTGCAGTAACACTTGCTAGGCTGGAAAATAGGTTAATGAGTAGAACAGCATACATATTTCAGGAAAAGAAATAGAATGCTTTATTGCCTCGCGATACCAAATAATTGCTTCTTTCTCAGCATTGTCTTGTCTCAGCCTTGTGTAGTATGTAGGAGAAAGAAAAAGTCTTTCATCGAACGATAGTCACCTTTAGAACATCGTTCTGCTCTGGTTTTATAAACCGAGAGAATGAGAGGTCTGCCATCTTGACATGTGTGGTCTAAGGTCTAAAATTAAGGCCGAGTGTTACGTGCTGCCTTGACATCTGTTGAAACTGGGAGGCCTTGAATGTTCTCACTGCAATTTCCCCTCCTTGCTCTGCTCTTGTGGATAAGGTCCCTTGGCTGAACAACTTTCCTTTCAAAGGTAGCAGAGGCAGTTCCTGCTTATCCTGGAGTATCCTGGGGTTTCAACTTCCTGCTACTTTTCCGAATTGTTCAAACAAGCCAATCACTTCCTCCTATGAACCAACAGACACCTCACCCTCTTGATATTACAAAGCCTGCCTCCCGCAGCCCCTGGTTGTCCACTCTGTTCCTGAATACAACCCTACTTGGTCTACGGTGTCGCCCCCACTCCCCGGGCAGTGAGTATATCTGACTAATAAATTGCTGTTAATCTAACCTTTCCGTTGTTGGTAGTAGCATCTTCAGCCATCCTTATAACCCTAGGACAGGAATCCCTCCCTCACCAACTGAATGAATAGGAGGTGATTAAAACATGTTTTATCCACTGAAATAGGATCTTTCTTAAAATAAAATATATATGTGTAATTTTAGAAAGCATTAAAAATTAAGTATTTTTTTCACCAATACTAAGATAACCAGCAAAAGGGCTACTTGGATATTTTCTTTTTACTGTAGCTTGTCCTCTTAATAGTCTGGAAGCAAAAATATGAAAGGCAGGCCAATTGCACGGTGTCTTAAAGGACCACAGGTTATCACAGTCACTAGTGAGCCCAGAAATTAGCCAATACTGGATGAAGGAGGAAATTCTCAGGAAGCTAACTAGGCAAATACAAGAAACAAGGCCTCCCACAAGTTTATTTATATCTGGATTAGGAGTATGATAACACCTATGGGTTGACTCAATAAAAATAAGAGCTCACGTCACAAGGCTCACATAGGACAGCAGGCATCATGGCTCTAGAAGAAAGGTTTGATGGGAAAGAAGGGAAGAGAGTCCCAGGAGGTATTACCATCCAATCACTTCTCTGACTCTACTGTACATGCCAAGCAGGGGCAGAGCAGCCCTTCTTGATTTCTACCCAGGCATGATTTTCATGCCCTAGTGCCAGGTAGCAAGGCCGTGAAGGCCCACGCAGGCTCAGTAAGGATTACGTTTTGTAAAGGATAACCTAGGAGTTGAAGCCAGCAACAGGGAAGAGGGCTTTGACCTACTGAAGGCAGCACTTGGTTTGGTGGTTGCCTTCGCTTGTGTTTGTGACTGCCTTCGGAGTGCAGTGCTGAAGTGAATCATACAACTTATCTGCACAACATCAAATGCAGCTGGCTTTTCTAGTAACAAAGTTGCTACCATTTATTAGCAACTACATGGGTGCTAATCACACACTGGTTTATTATCTTCTTTAATCCACTTAATTTTTCAAGTTAAGTACTCTTATCTACCTACATCTTGCAAATGAGGAAACGGCATTAAGCAACTTATTCAAAGTTGCATAGCTCTACAAGGAGTAGAGCCTGGACTCAAAGCTAGACCCAGGGTTCAATCTTTTTTTAAAATCAATTTTATTGTATATATTTGAGGTTTACAACATGATGTCATAGGATACATATAGATAGTAAAATGGTTACTATAGTGAAACACATGAACATATCATTTCACAGAGTTACTGCTTTGTGATGAGCAGTGAAAATCTACTTATTTAACAAACATCCTTAATACAATTTTATTAACTATAGTTCCCATGCTGTACATTAGATCTTCAGACTTTTTCATCCTACGTATCTGCTACTTTGACCTACATCTCCCCATCCCACCCCGCTGCCTCTTGACCTTTTTGTTGTTGTTTAGATTCCACATAAAAGTGAGATCATGAAATATTTTTCTTTATATGTCTGGCTTATTTCACTTAATATAATGAAAGTTGTGTGTGCGTATACACGTATATATGTATGTATGTATTATATATAATGTATATATAATGAAATATTATTCAGCCTCAAATTAGAACGAGATTCTGCCATTTGTCACAGCATGAATGGACCTGCAGGATTCATTCTTAATAGCACCCAGGGTGTGTCTGAGAATTTCTGGGGAGAAGGGACTAGAAAAAGAAGGTTACCTAGGACTATCAACTCCAAGTACAATGCTACTAAGAAAATAGGCCATGTCTTTAATACAAGTATAGGCAAGTTTGTTTTTGACAGAAGAAAAAAAAATCAACCAGGTGTCCCACAAGCATATACCATTAGGACCCATTCACTGTAGACTACATTATAATAGACTAGTCATATAGAGCTGAATCCTTTAATAGAAAGTGACGTTATAATTAAATAACATGAAACAAACACATATTTACATTGTGTGTTTTCCTGTCACTTCCAAATAGTTTGCAACTTATTGTACAAATTTATTGAAGCAGTATTTTCTGTTCTACAGAAAGCATAATCCAAAACATGGGTGCTCTGAAGGGCACCGTTCTGCACTGGTTATGTGTTTCTCTCTCTTTTCCTTATGTAAGCGTGTTTATATTATATAACATCAATACCCAGAGTAGTAGCCAAATGATGTTATGCTAACTGATGGGAACAGAAAAGTACTGCAGAGCTCAGCACCTCACAACAGCCCTTCCTTCTGATGGTATCTGGTAATTAGAAGCTACTCACCTTGAGAACACACCCCTTGTAGATCTGTAATTAGTTCAGTTAGTTTTACTGCTTCTTTGACATTGATCATAGTCTCCTTTGAAGTACCAAAAAAAAAGAAGAATAGGAAAAACTGACCCGGTTCATACCTGGTGACTTTTATCAATGTCTCTTGTATGAATCTATTGTTATGAGGTATTTTAGACATACTGATTTATAATGGCATTTACAGAGCTTAATGTTAGGTCTGAAAGATTCACTTGTAAATTACATAACTTCAGTACATTCATGCTAATTGTGTTGGTTCAGAAAAAATGTTTAAATTGACTTCAAATCACTATGTTTTGGAGACACTGCCTTTCATTAAACCTGCTCATGGTAAAACCAGACTACTTTAGTATCCTTCACTACTTCAGTAGTTATTGTAATTAGTATTTATGTGCACTATTTAAATATATAATTATCTGCACACATATGCTCTATCACCTCTAATTTGCTTTGACTCCATTGTTGGTGTTGTCGTTGTTGTTGTTGTTGAGACAGGATATCTCTCTGTTGCCCGGGCCTGGAATGCACTCAAGTGCAGTGGTGCAATTACAATTAACTGCAGCCTTGACCTCCTGGGCTCAAGCAGTAATTCCTTTTTAGCCTCCCAAGTAGCTAGGACTATAGGCATATACCACCACACCCTGACTCTTCCTTAATACACTGCAAGTTTTATGTTAGGATGGATATATGTCTTCTGCCTCCACAGGCTTCAAAACTCCAAGCAGAATTATCTGAATATTGTGAACACACACACACATACACACACAACAGGATGTTGTTGGACAATAAGAGTTTCAAGTCAATTTCAAGTCAATTAACAATATTGTAGCTTTGTAAGTATCTCACAGGAATCAAACCTAAATGACTTTTCCCAAATACAAGCCCTCTCTTGGGTAGTTTTTATCTTAGAGTAAAACACTTTCAAATTACTTGTTTGTAGTTTATATAATCAAATGGCCGAATGCTTTGCTCCTCTGAGAGCCAACATTAAAAGGAAATTCAACATCTAAGTATTCATTTACAAACCATCTTACTGTATCTAAAGACTAAAGATAGTTTAAATGTATATCCTATTTCTAGGTTATGCCGATTTATCTACTTACCTTTTTCCCAGCTTTTTCATTCAGATCCCATCGGTAATATTTTATTTTCCCAGCCCATATATGCAAGTATTTCTAGATCCATCAGTTACCTTATAGGTGTTCCTTATTTAATAAAGTCATATATATATATGTCCAAACTTCCCCAGTGGTTAAATTGGGAGACATATAATTTTACATTACAAATAATTTTTCACTTTATAAAAAGGAGCTCTCATCCCTTTTTTCTATAAATATCATTGATTATATTTGTAAATGAAGAGTTCTGTGGTTGGATGGTGGTGATGATAGCACAAAAATGTGAAAGTATTTAATGTCCCTGAACGGTACACATAAAAATGGTAAAGATGGCAAATTTTATATTATGTGCATTTTATCACAATTATATATACATAATTATTACAATTACATATATATATAATCACAATGATATATATGCATATATATGTGTGTATATTTGTGTGTGTGTATATATATGTGTGTGTGTATATGTGTGTGTGTGTGTGTGTGTGTGTGTGTGTGTATATATATATATATATATAAATAATTGAGGCATCTCTGTGGGCCTGCACCGTGCTGGGTGCTGGGGCCAGGACACTG
This sequence comes from Homo sapiens, assembly GCF_000001405.40. Lineage (NCBI taxonomy): Eukaryota > Metazoa > Chordata > Mammalia > Primates > Hominidae > Homo > Homo sapiens. The sequence continues at coordinate 5,970,033 of NW_018654717.1, forward strand.
AGTGAGGCAGAGATCATCACTACCCACACGGAGCCTGCAGTCTAGTGGGACAAACATCTAGTCCACTGACCATGTAATCCAGCAAATGTGGCCTAGTGCTATCAAGGCAGGAGATCAGCAGGACTTGTTTTTGGAACACTGGTCATGACCCCAATCAATCACGACCCCGCTGATTGGAGCAGGATCTGGTCAAAACAGGGTGCAGTGAAGAAGCTGGCCAAAACCAGTAGATGGTGATGAAAGCAACCTCTAGTTCCCCTCACTGTTCATTAGCATAAAGACACTCCCACCAGTGCCATGACAATTTACAAATGCCATGGCAATGAACCACGGCAATGGCCCATAAACAGTTACCTCTTATGGTTGCAGAACATCCCTGCCTCATTTCCAGAAAGTTCTGAATAACCTGCCTCTTAATTAGCATATCATTGAAAGTGGGTATAAACACAGCTGCCAACAGCCCATACATTGCTACTCTGGGCACATTGCCTATGGGTTAGCCCTGCTCTGCAAGGAGCAGTCCTTTGCTCCTGCTGTACAATGCTGCTTCAACAAAAGCTGCTGTCTAACACCAGCAGCTCACCCTCGAATTCTTTCCTGGATGAAGCCAAGAACCCACCCCTCTCAGGGAGGTCATGTGAGAGATAGCCCAAGCATTGTCATCTTACCTAAAAATTTCCAGCCCTTTCTCCAATGTCTCTACATGCCTGCCCAGATTCAGCAATTCTTAGAAAATAACTGAGAAGTAAAGTGTAGACGAAGGAAAGTGTATATTGGTAAAAGCATATTAACTTTTGAAACAAACGAATCCCACCACTGCAGTTAACACAGCACACGTTTTTTTCTGCCTCAGTCATCCAAATGAGAATGTGGTGCTGCCTGCTCCTCAGAGTCATTCAAGAATCCAGGTTGCCATAGCCCTGCCCTCTTAAGTAGTTGGCTTCCAAAATTGTGCTAACCATCAACATCCAGCAAGCAGTTGTTGGAAAGGAATAGATTACATGTGAGAGCTTTCGCTTGCTCAGACCTAGACAAAGTGTCCATCACTTTCACTCACATTCCTCTGGATAGAATTCCACCTGCAAGGGAACTTAGAGATGCAGCCTGGCTGTGTGTCCAGGAAGAAAAGGAAACAAGTTTGATGATCACTTAGCCATCTCAGTCTCATCAAAGACGCTGTGGTTCTCATATACAAAGAGTTATAAAAGTAGGAATGGAGGACAGATGTTGGAAACTGTATTTTATTTACTCCTTTGCTTATAGTTACAGGGATCAGAAATTAGGAGTCAAAAAACAATAATTTATTGTTTTATAATAGAAGAATATGTATCAGAAATTTGGAATAGTTATTAACTTCCCTCAACTAAAGATCTGGAAAAGGAACTTGGTTACAACCTACATTCAGGAAGGGGCTCAATAGTGATTCATATATAATATATGTTGGCAAACATTAAATTAGTCTCTACTTACTACAAGTAAAGATAAGAAATAAATGGAGCCTATAAAAATTTGCTCAGATGAAATGAAATATCATATGGAGACAAATTAAAAATGCACCCCTGAATGTGACTTATTACAGAAATCAGAAGAAAAGCACCCTCAGTAGACTGTAAGACTGCAAAGCCTCCAGGAAATAAAAGGTGTAAGTACAAGCAATGAAAAATCAAGATGAAAGAATGGTCATGTAGAGAAAAGGAAAGGAGAGGGTTATTTATGACATTGGACAGGATCAAAAGGACACTAAAAATACAATGGAATAATTCACTGTTGAAGATGTGTAAGGCACAATTGGAGTGGATGAAAATGAGTTAGGGATATGGAAACAAAGTTGAGTTCTTACAGAATGAAAATAGAGTGGATGGATGTGAAAAGATAAAAGAAGGAAGGTAGCTATGATCAGAGAACTCAGAGCATCGTACGGGTAACTTAGGTTCTAGACAAAAGGTCAGAGAAATACTCTGCAAAAGTGATCATATATACATACACATATATATGTGCATGTATATATATAGAGAGAGAGAGAGAGAGCGAGAGAGAAAGAGAGAGAGAGAGAGAGAGAGAGAGAGAAGAGTTTAAGAATCATTTAATTCCAGGCAAAAATCAAGTACAAAGAGATACAAAGAGCTACATCCTGGCACTCATTTTGAATTATAAGGATAAAAAATTTAAATCCTATCCAGGCTACAAGACAAGGTACTTAGAAAAAAAGGATAAATGGACTTTGAGATCAGCTGGGTTCTATCTAATACTAAGACAAAATTATTTCAGATCCAGCTCTTCATAGGCAGCCAAATTGTCCTTCAGGTGAAATAAAGATGTGTATATAAATGCCATAGCTTAGAGAAAGTATCATCCATGTACAATTTTTGAAAAACTATTACTTGATTATATGATCACGTTGACTACGAATGAAGCAAAATTATGAGCTCAGGAATAGGGAAATAGTGGCACAAGAGTACTTGGAGTGAGCACCAAAAGCATTTGTATGTAGGTTTAAATCTAATCCATGTGCAAAAGTAAATGATCTGAACTATTTCTTGAAAGAGAAAATATATAATGTAAGATAATAATTTTAAAACAGTAATATTAACCTATATTCTCAAGTTATACTAATAAAAACTGAAAAATCAAAGGGATTGTGATTGTATTTATTTCCTTAGCTTAGCTAGAAGATGACCCAAAGGATTTATTTTGGTTCAGATTATTAGGGAAATAAAAATCGAAGAAGGCTTTTGAATCTTAAAGCAAACCATAAATAGTTTAACATAGAGCTTGTATATCCCAAATCAGTAGAAAAGATAAAAATAAAACCATGTCTGCATTTTTAGCAGTGAGAAACAAAATGGAGTCGCTGTAAAAAAAAAAAAAAAAGGCACAAAACAAGATGACATAAGTGAGACCACATGATAAGGCATAAGGAAAGATGTCAGAAAATATGTCAGAAGTTAGACTAACCTTATTAGTTATAACAATAGATGGAAATGTACAAAAAATAAAAGTAACAAAAGCAACATCGAATGGTCAAAATTCCCAATTTAACCTCTACAGATCATTCACGACTTAAGATAGCTGGACTTATGATGTTTTTGACTTTATCATGGGGCAAAAGCAATATGCATTTAGTAAAAGCCGTACTTTGAATTTTAATTTTTTCCCAACTGTAGGTTAATGTCAGTATTCTGAGCACCTTTAAGGCAGGATGGGATAAGGTATGATGTCTGGTAGGCTAGGTGTATTAAATGCATTTTCGACTTACGAGATTTTCAACTTATGATGGGTTTATGGAGATGATAAGTTTATCACTTATGCAAATGAAGAAGTTTAAAAGAAACGTAAAACAAAACTATGAAAAACAAAATTATAGAATTCATAAAGATAAAAGCAGAAATTCAATAACAGAAATACATTACATCTTAAACATTCTCATAAACCTTATAGATGTAACACAAGAAGTTCTTAGATACAAGTTATCTCAGGGAAACAATATTTACCTAACGCCATATAAACCAATGTTATGTTCACTTGTAATGTGTCAATATTTGCTAACAATGACGGATTATGACATTTTCTTGTCAAAATGGCTTACCATCACCTATGTAGGTCTGGAGTGGCTTTTAAAATTCAGATATTCACTAGTGCAGATGTGTGAAAAGACTCACCTATGAGGATACTTCTCATGATTTTTTTCACTGTGAAAAATTGGAAAACATAAAAGGCGGATTTTAATTTAATAAATTATTCTACCCATATGGACTAACACTGTGCAATCAATAAAATGGTACTACAGAAAAATATCAAACAACATTGAAATGCTCCCAATACATTAAGATTCCAAAAAGCAACTCGTAAAATGTAATGCAATCTCGTTTGTTTAAATACACACACGCACAGAGCAGAGAGAAAGGGAACACTAGATACTGTAGATAAAAATTACAGTGGGGAGGGGAGGGAACTTAGAAGACTGGTCAATAGGTGCAGCAAACCACCGTGGCACATGTATACCTACGTAACAAACCTGCATTTTCTACACATGTATCCCAGAACTCAAAGTAAAATAAAATAAAATAAATCTTAAAAAAATTACAGTGGGGTTGCTAGTGATCTCTTTTTCTTTGTGTTTCTCTGAATCTTTCCATTTCTAACATGAATTTATTTTATACTCAGAAAAACAAATCATAAATGTTATATTTTTAAAAATATTAGTGCCTTCCATAATATTTTATGAGAAATTCAAGTAAAGTAATACCAAAATTAGTCTTTTTTTTAACTTAGCACGTATTTATAGAGTGTGTACTAACTGGTAGGCACTGTTTATACACTGGAGATACAACAGTGAACAAAACCAAGTCCCCGCCCTCCTCTCACTATAGACAGAGGGAAAGATAGAAGATAAACAAATATAAGTATATGTAATAACATTTGGTAACAATGTCATGAAGGAAATTATAGCAGCATAAAAAATAAGGAGTAATGAAAGACAGATGTGTTATTTTATAGTATAGTATTGGCTTTGTTTATTTTTTCCTTTTTTGTTTTTGTTTTTGAGATGGAGTCCTGCTCTGTTGCCCAGGTTGGAGAGCAGTGGCTCGATCTCATGTCACTGCAACCTCCACCTCCCAGGTTTAAGTGATTCTCCTGCCTCAGCCTCCTGAGTAGCTGGAATTACAGGCGCCTGCTACCATGCCTGGCTAATTTTTGTATTTTTAGTAGAGATGGGGTTTCGTCATGTTGGCCAGGCTGGTCTCAAACTTCTGACCTCAGGTGATCCACTCGCCTTGATCTCCCAAAGTGCTGGGATTACAGGCGTGAGCCTCTGTGCCTGGCCTATTTTTTCCTTTGATTTTCAGTTGACACACAATTGTACATATTTATGGAATACAGAGTGATATTTTGATACATGTATACAATGTGTAATGATGAAATGTATAAAGATAAAAATAACAAACGCCTCCAACGTTCATCATTTGTTTGTGTTATGGACATTTAAAATCCTGTCTTCTAGCTTTTTGAAAATATGAACTAAATTATTGTTAACCATATTTGCCCAACAGTGCTACAAAATACTAGAACTTTTTTCTCCTATCTAGCAGTACAATGTAACTTTGTATTCATTAACCTCTTTCCCTATCCTCTCCCTCCTCCTATCATTCCCAGCTTCTAATGACTACAATTCTTCTTTCCACTTTTATAAGCTCAGTATTTCTTGGCTCTCGTATATGAGTGAGAACATGTGGTGTTTATTTTTCTGTGCCTGACTTATTTCACTTAACATGATATCCTCCAGGCTCATCCATGTTACTGCGAATAACAAAATTTCATTGTTTTTTATGGCTGAATAGTATTTCATTGTGTATATATTCCACATTTATCCTTTCATCTTTTGACGGACATTTAGGTTGATTCTATATCCTGGCTATAGTGAAGAGCGCTGCAAAAAAACATGGGAATAAAGTTTTCCCTTCGATATAGAGGTTTCCTTTCCTTTAGATTAATTCCCAGCAGTGAGAACACTGGATTCTATGGTCTTCCTATTTTCAGTTTCTTGAAAAACCTCCATACTGTTTTCCATAATGGCTATACTAATTTACATTCCCACCAACAGTGTATGAATTCCCTTTTCTCTGCATCCTTGCCAGTATTTGTTATTTTTTGTCTTTTTGATTATAGCCATTCTAACTGGGGTAAGATGATATATGGGTATGATTTTGATTTGCATTTCCCTGATGATTGGTGTTGTTGAGCATTTTTTTTCACATATTTGTTGGCTGTTTGTATGTCTTCTTTTGAAAAATATTTCGTGCCTACAATCCCAGATACTCCGGAGGCTGAGGCAGTAGAATCGCTTGAACCCAGGAAGCGAAGTTGTGGTAAGTGGAGATTGTACCATTGCACTCCAGCCTGGGCGACAGAGCAAGACTCCATCTCAAAATATATATATATACGTATATATGTATACGTATATATACACATATATATGTATATATATATATATTCATATATTCAGCTCCTTTACCCATTTTTAAATTGGATTATTTGTTTTCTGTGGGGTTTTTTACCTTTTTTTTTAACTTTTCTTGTACATTCTGGATATTAGTCCCTCGTTAGATGACTAGTTTCTGAATATTTTCTCCCATTCTGTAGGTTGTCTCTTCACTCTACTGATTGTTTCCTCTGCTGTGCAGAAGCTTTTGGGTTTTATATAGTCTCATTTGTCTTCTTTTGTTTGTTTTTGATGCCTGTTTGTTTTAAGTCTTACCCGTAAAATCTTGCAATGTCCTGAAGCATTTCCTTTATGTTTTCTTCTAGTGGTCTTACAGGTTTGGGTCTTCTGCACTAGTCGTTAATCCATTTTGAGTTGATTTTTGTATGTCGTGAGATATAGGGGTCTAGTTTTATTCTTCTGCATATAGATATTCATTTTTTCCAGCACTATGTATTGACAGGGTGTCCTTCATCCAATGTAAGTTCTTGCCACCTTTGATGAAAATGTGTTGGCTGTAACTGCATAGATTTATGTTTATGTTCTCTATTCTATTCCATTGGTCTATGTGTCTGTTTTTTTATACCAATACCATGCTGTTTTGGTTACTATAGTTTTGTATGTATTTTGAAGTCAGACAGTACGATGCCTTCAGCTTTGTTCTTTTTGCAAAGGATTGCTTTGGCTATTTAGGGTTTGTGTGTGTGTGTGTGCACGTGCGTGTGTGTGTGTGATTCCATACAAATTTTAGGATTTTTTTCTATTTTGGTGAAAAATGTCATTAGTGTTTTGATTGGGATTCCATTGAATCTGTAGATTGCTTTGCATAGTATGGTCATTTTAACAGTACTAACTCTTCCAATCCATGATTATGCTATGTCTTTCCATTTTTGTGTATGTATCCTCTTCAATTTCTTTATCAGTGTCTCTAAGTTTTCATTGTAGATGTATTTCACATTTATTCCTAGGTATTTTACTTTTCTCGTCATAAATGAGATTGCTTTCTTAATTTACTTTTCAGCCAGTTCATTCTTAGTGTGTAGAATTGTTGCTATTCTTTGCATGCTGACTTTGCAGCCTGCATCTTTACTAGATTTTTCTAACAGTTCTAAGAGTTTTTTGGTGGTGTCTTAGGTTTTCCTATATATAAGATCATGTTGTCTGCAAAGAAGGACAATTTTACTTCCTCTTTTTCAATCTGGATGCCCTTTATGTACTTTTTTTTTTTTTTTTTGCCTAAGTGCCGTGGCTAGGACTTACAGTACCATGTTGAATAACAGTAGTGAAAGGCAATTTTGTCTTGCCCTAGTTCTTAGAGGAAAGGCTTTCAGCCTTTCTGTTTTGAGTATAGTAGCTGTGAGTTTGTCATATACGGCCTTCATTTTATTGAAGTATGTTCCTTCTATACATAACGTTTGTAGAGTTTTTATCATGAAAGATGTTGAATTTTATCAAATTATTTTTCTGCATTTATTGAGATTATCATACATTTTTTGTCCTTTATTCTGTTGAAGTGTAGAATTACAAGTACTGATTTGCATTTGTTGAACCATCTTCGCATCACTGGGATAAATCCTACTGGGTCATGATGTATAATCTCATTGTGTTGTTAGGTTCAGATTGTCAGTATTTTGTTGAGGATTTTTGCATCTATGTTTTCTTTATTTGTTGTGTCCTGGTCTGGTTTTGTTATCAGGGTAGTGGTGGCCTCATAAAATGAGTTAGGAAGAATTCCCTCTTCTTCAATTTTTTGAAATAGTTTGAAAAGAATTGTTGCTCATTCTTCTTTAAATGTTTGGTAGAATTTAGCAGTAAAGCCATCTGGTCCTGGGCTTTTCTTTGTTAGGAGGCATTTTACTACTGATTCAACCTTGTTACTTTGGTCTGTTATTGGTGTGTTCAGGTTTTCTGTTTCTTCCTAGTTCTATCTTGGTAGGTTATGTCTGTCCAGGAATTTATCAATTTTTTTCTGAAATTCCCTAAATTTGATAGGATTTCTATTTTTTATATTTGTTGAGATTTGTTTTGTGGCATAAAATATGATCTATCCTAGAGAATGTTTCATGTGCTGATGAGAAGAATGCATATTCTATAACTGTTGGATACAATGTTCTGTAGATGTCTGTTTGGTCATTTAGTCTTTAGTGCAGCTTAATTCTATGTTTCTTGATCGATTTTCTGCTTACATGACCTGTCCAATGATGAAAGTGGGATATTAAAGTCCCCAACTATTATTGTATTGGTAAGTATCTCTCTTTATCTCTAATAATGTTTGCTTTTAATATGTAGGTGATCCTGTGTTGGGTGCATATTCATTTACAATTGTTATATCCTCTTGCTGAATTGATCCCTTTATCATAACGTAATGATCTTCTTTGTCTCTTTCTATTTATTTTTTTGACTTACAGTCTATTTAGTCTGATATAAGTTTAGGTGCTCCCACACACTTTTGGTTTCCGTTTGTGTGGAATACCTTTTTCTAACCCTTTACTTTCAGTCTGTGTGTGTCTTTACAGGTGAAGTGCATTTCTTGTATATAGGTGGGTCTTCCGTTTTTAAATCCATTCAGTGAGTCTGTATCTCTTAAATAGGAGATTTAAATGGTCTACATTCATGATTGTTATTGATAGGTGAGGACTTACTCCTGTTATTTGGTTAGTTGATTTCTCATTGTCTCATATATCCTTTGTGGCCTTTTTCCTCACTTGTTTATCTTTGCAACTTGGTGGTTTTCTGTAGTGATAACCTTTTATTCCTTTCTCCTTCTCACTTGTGTATCTGTTCTACCAGTGAGTTTTATGCTTTCATGTGTTTTTTTTTTTTTTTTTTTTTTTTGATGGTAGATACCATCTTTTAGCTTCTGTTTGTAGGACTTCCTTAAGCATCTGTTATAGGGCTAGTCTAGTGGTGATAAATTCCCTCACATTTTGCTTCTCTGGCAAAGACTTCATTTGTAGCTTTATTCCTGAATTATGGCTTTGCTCAGTTTGGTGTTCTTGACTAGCAGTTTTCTTCTTTCAGCACTTTGAGTCTATCATCCCATTTTCTCTGGCCTGTAAGGTTTCTGCTGAGAAATCTGATATTAGTCTGATGGGGATTCCCTTATGTGTGACTTGATGCTTTTTTACTTGCTATTTTTAGAATTCTCTCTCTACTTTTTGACGTTTGACAATTTGACAATAATGTGCCTTGGAGATGACATTTTTGGGTTAAATCTATTTGGGAATGTTTAAACTTCCTCTATCTGCATTTCTATAACTCTTCCAAGACTTCAGAAGTTTTCTGCTATTTTTTAATTAAATAGGCTTTTTATGCCTTTTCTCATCTTTTCTACTTCTGGAGCGCTCATAATTTGAATATTTGTTCCCTTGATGTTGTCCTATATGTCACATAGGCTTTCTTTATTCCTTTTTATTCTTTTTGTTTATTTGTTTGACTGGGTTATTTTAAAAGACCTGTCTTCAAGTACAGAAATTCTTTCTTCTGCTTGATCTAGTTTAAAACTGAAGCATTCAATTATATTTTTTATTTTATCATCAAATTCTTCAGTTCTAGGATTTCTGTTTGGTTCTTTTTAATAATATCTATCTGATATGGTCTGGATCTGTGTCCTTACCCAAATCTCATGTCAAATTGTAATCCCCCATGCTAGAGGTAGGCCTGGTGGGAGGTGATTGGATCATGGGGACAGTTTCTCATGGTTTAACACCATCCCCTTTGGTACTGTCATGATGAGAGTGGGTTATCACAAGATCTGGTTGTTTAAAAGTGTGTAGTATCTCCCCCTTTCTTCCTCCTGCTCCAGACATGCGAAGTGCTTGCTCCCCCTTTGCCTTCTGCCATATTTGTAAGTTTCCTGAGGCCTCCCCAAAGGCCAAGCAGATGCCACCATTATGTATCCTATACAGCCTGTGGAGCTGTGAGCCAATTAAATTTCTTTTCTTTATCAATTACCCAGTCTCAGGTATTTCTTTGTAGCAGCACAAGAATGGACTAATACACTATCTCTTTGAATTTTTCCATTCCCATTATGAATTCTTTTTTAAAATGTCTTTGTTTTGTTTGTATTCTTATGCCTCACTGTTTCCTTAAGAAAATAATATTTTAATCATTAATATTATCTATCAATTCATTAATAATTATATTTTCATTAACATCAATACTATTTTATTATTAATACAACTATATTAATAATATTTTGAAATCCTTTTTAAGAATTTTATGTTTTTTTTCTTTAGGATCTGTCACTGGATAAGTACTATGTTCCTTTGGTGGTGTCATGTTCCTGGCTTGTTCATGTTTTTTGTGTACATACACTGATATCTACACATCTGGTGTAACAGTCACTTCTTCCAGTTTTATGCAGTAGTTTTCACAGTGAAAGACTTTTTCCTGCAGACATATCTATACTGTCAGTTGGGTAGAGCACATTAGGTTTGGTTGCAGTGGGTGTCATAGTGTAGTTCCTATATGATTTCTTTGACTGTATCATTGTCAGTGGTGTCTGTGAGTTTCTTAGTAGCTTAGGTTACAGTTGTTTATGAAGGCTGTGGTGAGACTTTTCTGGAGCCTGGGGTGCTAGATGGGCTGGTTCTCAGGACCCTGGACTGTGCACATGAGCACAGACTATGGCATCAGTGAGCCCTGGTAAGGATCATTTCCAGGGTCCATTAGCAGCACGTGCAGGTGCCAGTGGTGGATTGGCTTTTGAGTCTCTCGGAGGCACACTCGGGTCTGTGGCAGCCCTGCTGCTGGAGGGGGCAAGGTAATTGGTGGTGGTGGCAGCCCCTGGCAGGTGATTCTCAGGCTTTGGGGAGTACAAGCTTCAGCTCCATAAATCCTAGGGGCAGCCTCCCTAATATGCAAGACCACCTGTTTCCCAGAGTGTAGGGCACTGTGGGGGCTTGGGTCTCTGGCATGCAGTCACACTGCTGGGTCCAGCTGGTGTCATGATGCTGCAGCCCTCTAAGTGGATATGAGGGGAATGTTGGCTGGGCCTCAGGGATGTGGAAATGTAGGAGTTCTTGGACCCCAGGGCAGGATGTAGCCTGGTGTTTGTTCCATTCTTAAAATGGTGTCATGTGGCAGCAGCCTGTGTTCTGTAGGGTGAGTGGAACCCAGTGTGAATTCCCTCTTCAGGACAATGTAATCACATGGACTCAAAGCAGCTCCCTTTACTAAGCACTGGGCTTTTGAGGCCCGAGTGGCTTTCCTGTCACTACGATTGCAGGTGTGTGTTATGGGAATGTGGACTGTTGGAGATCTCTTGCAAAGGGAATCCTCACAATGGGGAACCCCTCCTGGCTCTGGCCAGCTGCTCTGCTGCCCTCTCTAGGCTATCATCTTGAGTTTCCCTCCTCAGAGGGTCCTTGTCACTTCCCTGCTGAATTCTAGTGTTCTCCCTTACATACTCTATTCAGCATACTCTACTCACCATTTTGGTCCTTCTTTGAAGAGGAGATTAGTGCCGGACACCTCTAGTCAACTGTCTTAATCACATAGGGTGGTATTGTTCTGCCTTTTATATTCTTGCAGAAAGTGGTATATGATGCTGGGCTCAGTGGGTCACACCTGTAATCCTAGCAATTTGGGGGGGCCAAGGTGGGAGGATTGCTTGAGCACAGGAGTTCAAGGGCAGCCTGGGCAACATGGTGAAACCCTGTCTCTACAAAAAATACAAAAATTAGCCAGGTATAGGTGGCATGCCCCTGTAGCCCAGCTACTTGGGAGACTAAGGTGGGAGGACGGCTTGAGCCCAGGAGGTAGAGGTTGCAGTGAGTTGAAATTGTGACACTGCACTCCAGCCTGGGCAACAGAGCAAGGCTCTGTCTCAAAAAAAAAAAAAGTGGTATAGGGAAGAGAACTATTTGCACCTCTATTAGGCATTCATAGTCTTTTGATTCTTAATAGGAATTGACCATATGACAGAACCTACAAACTCAAAATTAGTTATTGATGCTTATATGGCACCTGTATTTTAATTTTAATACCATGGCTAAAACGAAAGTGAGCAGGAGGGATCCCCAGGTGTAGAAGATAAATCTTGAGTATTTAGAAAAAAATTCTTTTGGGCTTCTTTTGTAGTGATTTTAAACCATTTTTATTTATGTTGGTGCCAAGTCTTACTACCTAGTAAAAAGCAAATTGCCCCACCCAGGCCTATTGAATCAGAACCCTTGTTTCAACAAGGCCTCCAGGTGATTCTGATAAATACTAACATTTGGAAACAATTGCCATAAAGACTAGCACAATAAGTATCCTCAGAGCACTGGTATTATCTTTGGATTCTCACAACAGTGGTCGATTCTGACATTTAAGTATCTTCTGATCAAATAGTTTTAACATTAAGTGTGCCAATATTAAAAAAAAAATCATATCTCTGAAAACAATTTTCTAAATTCAATCAGTTCAAACATAGAAAAAACTTCACAGAACAGACTAAATCATTACATTGTTCTTTAAAGAAAACATGCAAAACGCCAACACAAGAAATGTATGAAAGTGAAGGGTTCTGGTTGAGTGATGGTGGGAGACCTTAAGTCTTACATCTTGACAAACTCTACTCCTGGACCTAAATTTGGACCCTTCTTTGTCTCTGTGACAGCCTCTGGGATGCCTCTCTGGAGGTTCCACAAGATGCACTTTGAAAATCATTAACTCTTGGATTAGTCACCTGACCCTTAATTATATACTGCCTTGGCCTTGTATCTTCTTATAGTTTCGTTCTGTGTTGTTTTATTATTGCCTTTGATTACTTACTTTTTGCATGCTTGTGGTCTGAGCCCCTTCATGTAGGAGACAGGAAAAAAAGCCACAAAGCCCTGAATGTCTTATGAATTGTAAACAGGTACAGATAGCAGTCATATAATCAACCAATATAGCCAGCAAGCTAGACAGGAACTACAGGCAGGGGCTCTGTGTGCAGTACATTTCCTGTATTTTCCATAGTTTCTCAACTATATGGAAGAAGGAATACAACTGGCATTAAGAAGACATACCCCAGAAAGATGATAGAGTTAACAGCTATTTATCTGGTTCTTGACTTCAATAAAAAATCAGTTAGGACCACTATTTTTCTCTTATGGACCCCATATTTAGGAAGATTTTCTCCATGAGAATAACTATAGTATGCTAAGTAATACATTAGTTTTCCCCATTTTACTTAATAGATCATGTATTCTCAGTGGAAGCAAAAATTGGTTCTTCTGGTATGAGTGAATACATCTTACTCTTTTTTTTTTTTCGAGAGTGAGTTTCACTCTTGTTGCCCAGGCTGGACTGCAAAGGCGCGATCTCGGCTCACTGCAATCTTCGCCTCCCGGGTTCAAGCCATTCTCCTGCCTCAGCCTCCCTAGTAGCTGGAATTACAGGTGCCCAACACCAGTCCCAGCTGATTTCTTGGATTTTTAGTAGAGATGGGGTTTCCTTATGTTGGCCAGGCTGGTCTCGAACTCCTGACCTCAGGCGATCCACCTGCCTCGACCTCCCAAAGTGCTGGGATTACATGCGTGAGCCACTGCGCTGGGCCCACCTTACTCTTTTATACATAAAGCACAGTGCATCTATTGTACTAAAATTTCAAGGCAGTCATTAAAAAAAAGTCTAAAAGAATTCTTAGGGGAAAAAGGTAATGATACACTCATATAAATGACTTCCAATTAGAACTTTTGATTTATATGAACTTACCAGTATTCTCACAGTGAGTTGGAATTTCAGTCAAAACAAAATAACATCATATTTCAGTCTGTGGGTAAATGTAATTGTTCATTCATCAGTGAACACTTTGCTTGCCAGTAGTGCTGAAAGCATGGAAGAAAAAAGAACAATTGAAAAACGACTGCAATAGTCCAAGTAAGAAATGGTGGAGACTGGACTAGGATGTTCAGATTTGAGATGTATTTTAAAATATGCCTTCTGAAAAAAATTCAAAACAGCTCAATGCCCTCATAATAAAGGATTCTACGTTGGGAAATACTGTATGATGCCAAAGTTCTAGGCCTTATTTCAGGGGGATCTTTGCCTGTTTGTACACATGTTCCAAAAAAATTCTTCCTGGCATCATCATTCTTTAGGCTGGCAGAGAAAAACAAATCAGCAAATCTCACATTTTCCTTTATGGGAAAATTTTGTTTGTAGTTGGACCTAATTTCTATTCGGGTAAGGAGTGGCTCTTATTCAAAGACAAGCTTTGTATATTTTGTTACACAAATGACCTTTATTTTTGAAGCTGTCAACAACATTTTCATAATTGCAAATGGTCTAGGTTGATTAACCTGCTATATTTTGCAGATTTTACAGTGCATTTGTATTTGCACTGCTAAAAAATTACATAATGAGCATCAATAAGTCTTCCCATGCAATTTTTAGCTCACTCCTGGCATTGATCAACTGTTATGCTTAGTGTGGTGTAAATTTCTTCCTGATAAACCCAACTTCGGCCCTGGGCTCTATTTTTCCAACGGCTATTAATCAACTTTGCCAGCTGCTTTAGATTCTTTTTGGAGATAGGATGTCATAAATAAGTAAAAGTAATCATTGTTTCATCCAGGAAGTAAAGAAGTGCAAGCTAGAATACGTGCAAGACAGCATGGTTGGGTCATATGTGTGCAGATGAGAAAAGACCAATTCTCCTCTGTGGTTACATGGGTCATATTGCCTGTATATCACTCTCTTCTGCAGTCTACCAAGCGTTATAAACAGCATGTGATCCATGGGTCTGCTATCAAAACAAATACATTTCACGAGATGTGAAGCGTCATTTAACTTGAGCAATGACTTGAGATTATTACTTAGGGTTTAGATGGAATGTTTTCTTAATGGGCCAACGTCTTTTGCAAAAAATAGGACTCACAGAGGAACACATAGCAAGACATTTTATTTATTTTTTTGAGATAGGGTGTCTGTTGCCCAGGCTGGAGTGCAGTGGCATGATCACAGGTCACTGCAGCCTCAACCTCCTGAGCTCAAGTGATCCTCCTACCTCAGCCCCCTGAGTAATCCCAGCCTCCTGAGCTGCATTGCCCTATGTTCTCCCCATGTTGCCCAGGCTGGTCTCGAACTCCTAAACTCAAGTGATCCTCCCCGCTCTGCCACTCAAAGTGCTAGGATTACAGGCGTGAACCATCGCACTGGCCCAACAAGTCTTTTTAAACAGAGACTTAAACTGGTTTCCTCATTCCTGAAGTCCAAATAAATTATATTGCTAAGTAATATGTATATAATATATGTTGAGGAAGTATTTGTACTCTATGTTAAAGATATCGTTTGCTATGTCTTTGTGTGAATTCAAATATATTTTAAAATATTTATAAAGGAAGAATAATTTGGCTCATCTTACACCTCAGATAGAAAAATTATCTGGCAGTCCTGAGACTGGGAATGGTTATAAAATGTTTAACAACCTACAGACCAGAAGATAAAAAGCTAAGAGGCAACTTACATTAAAAGTACTGCAGCGAGCACATCATAGGAAAAGAGCCGTGTCTCTCCCATTCTCCCTGGGAGTGTAAGGGACTGGAGATTTAGGGGACGAATTATGCATGTAAGGGTAAACTCACTTGAGCTCATGGTGCTCAAGAGAAAGTCTCCTGAACAGAAGCCAGCAGGGCAGTTTCTTCTTGCACGTAAAGAATTGTGGTGGATGCGATTATGTTTATGATCTTTGGGTAAGGACATGGAGTAAAGAAAGGTACAAGGGAAGATGGGATACTCCAAGATTTTGGTATACTCTTTGTATTAGTCTGTTCTCATGCTGCTGATCAAGACATACCCAAAACTGGGCAATTTACAAAGGAAAGAGTTTGGCTGGGTGAGGTGGCTCACACCTGTAATCCCAGCACTTTGGGAGGCCGAGGCGGGTGGATCACGAGGTCAGGAAATCGAGACCATCCTGGCTAACACGGTGAAACTCTGTTTCTACTAAAAATACAAAAAAATTAGGGCGTGGTGGCGGGTGCCTGTAGTCCCAGCTACTCGGGAGACTGAGGCAGGAAAATGGCGTGAACCCAGGAGGCGGAGCATGCAGTGAGCCGAGATCGCGCCACTGCACTCCAGCCTGGGTGACAGAGCGAGATTCTGCCTCAAAAAAAAAAAAGAGTTTTACTGGACTTACGGTTCCACATGACTGGGGAGGCCTCACAATCATGGCAGAAGGCAAGGAGGAGCAAGTCACATCTTAGGGGGATGGCAGCAGGCAAAGAGAGAGAGCTTGTGCAGAGAAACTCCTGTTTATAAAACCTTCAGATCTCCTGAGACCCATTCACTATCACGAGAACAGTACAGGAAATACCCAACCCCGTGATTCAATCATCTCCCACTGGGTCCCTTCCACAACAAGTGGAAATTATGGGAGCTACAAGATGAGATTTGGGTTGGGACACAGAGCCAAACCATATTACTCCTGTTATGGCAACTAAAAACAGAAGGCAAAATGCTTTCTGGCCACAAAAAGAACAAATCCCTAAATCTTAAGTTTTAACTGCATGTCTAGTACTTAAAATCATGTGAGGGGTTTTACATGGGATAGCCCTAGAATGTGTGGCGTGTAACTATTTTATTTACAAACGAAGTATTTGAATTAGGAAGCAATCACCATAATATTTCACAATAATGTAATATATGCATGGGTTGTAATTTAAGAATTTCAAAAGATATGTTAATAAGTAATCAAACCACCTCATAGTTCAAATTTTAAAATACAGTTTTCAAAAACTAAATAAAATAACCTTTTCTAAAGCAGCATGTGTTGGTAAAAAACAAAATAAAATTGTCATTAAGGTCAAAGGATAAAACAAGCCCAATATTCAGATTTTTTTTTAGACCTCAGAGAGCTAAAGACTTTTTTTGAAGACTTCCAACATCCAGACTTCCAGTGTTTGCAAATCAGCTATTCTGTGCACAGTCCAAGATGTGGCGCCATTTATGATAGCTGAAAACTTAATGTAAGTATTAATTAAACTTGAAGCTCTAAAAATAAAAAAAGTACACTAAAAGCTGTTTTAAAGTCAGCAAGGCCGAGTATTTGCTTAGAGGTCTTCTTTTTTAACTCTTGCTCTTAAGTAAATCTTGATAACTATTTGTGGTTCTCCACATCTTTACATGGAAAAATGCATTTTGCTGGAGAAAAACAAAAATAATGGTCTAGATTTATGACTGATTTCTCTCAACTATCTTCCTCAGTAACACCTTAATCTAAGAATATTTGGTGAAATAATATCCCAGTTCTAGAGAAAGTTGCTAGAATTACAAACATGTCATAGGAAACAGATATTTCAGTTTTAGCATGCATATTGTAACATTTCAGGCTGCCTTCTTTCCATCAAGATCTGAGCACTAAGTTTCTTTCTGAGTGAAGAATCAGATGAAGCAGATGGGAGGTGATGATAATATTATACTATTTATTATCAGATTTGGTGGCTGTTTTATGGTTATATAAAAGAATACTTTGGTTTGGGGAAAGGCTGAAGTATTTGGAGTTAATAAGGTTTCATAACTACAATTTACTCAAATGGTTCAAGGGAAAAAAAGCAACAAAGAAAGAGAGAATGACAAATCAAATGTCATAAAATGTTAACCACTGGGTGAGGAAATGAGGAGTCTTGTATTATATTCACAACATTGCTGTGAGTTTGAAATTTTTTCAAAATAAAAGTAGAACAAATTAAAAAGGACACAGTGAGTTTGAAGGGCCTCCAACTGGCCAAATTTACGACTATTCAAAACAATAATGACTGTAATTGATTGTAATCCAATGAATAAGTAAGAATTCATGAGTCCACATGATACTATAAAAACAAGAAAGAAAAAGAATAGTAGCCAGAGGCTACTATTATGCCAACAACTTACTCTGAAATGTTTTAGTGAAAAAATTAAGCACTTATCCTGTCTTTTTGAGAATAATTATAGTCATTCCCAGTTGTATATTAGTCTGTTCTCACACTGCTATAAAGAAATACCTGAGACTGGGTAATTTATAAAGAAGGGAGGTTTAATTGGCTCATGGTTCTGCAAGCTGTATAGAAAGCATGGTGGTGTCAGCTTCTGGAGTGACCTCAGGAAAGTTACAATCATGATGAAGGTGAAGAAGAAGCAGGCACTTCACATAGCCAGAGCAGGAGGAAGAGAGAGAGATAGGGGAAGGGCTACACACTTTTAAACAACCAGATCTCACAATAACTCACTATCATGAGAAGAGCACCGAGGGGATGGTGCTAATCCATTCAGGAAGGACCCAACCCCATGATCCAGTCACCTCCCACCAGGCCCAACTCCAACATTGGGGATTACATTTCAACATGAGATTTGGGTGGGAACACAGATTCAAACCATATTATTCTGCCTCTGGCCCCTCCCAAATCTCATGTCCTTCTCACATTTCAAAATACAATCATGCCTTTCAAACAGTTGCCTAAAGTCTTAACTCATGCCAGCATTCCCTCAAAAATCCCCTTCAAAGTCTCATCTGAAACAAAGAACATCCCTTCTGCCTATGAGCCTGTAAAATCAAAAACAAGTTAGTTACTTCCAAGACACAATGGGGGTGTTGGCATTGGGTGAACATTCTCATTCCAAAAGGGAGAAATGGGCCAAAAGAAAGGGGCTATAAGCCCCAGGCAAGTCGGAAACCCAGCAGAGCATTCATTAAATCTTAAAGTTCCAAAATAATCTCCTTTGATTCCATGTCCCACATCTGGGGCACACTGGTACAAGGGGTGGGCTCCCAAAACCTTGGGCAGCTTCACCCCTGTGGCTTTCCTGAGTTCATCCCCAGCAGCTGCTCTCACAGACTGGTGTTGAGTCCCTGCGCCTTTTTCAGGCTGAGGGTGCAAGCTGCTGGGGGTCTACCATTCTGGGGTCTAGAGGACGGTGGCCCTCTTCTCACAGCTCCACTATTCAGTGCCCCAATGGGGACTCTGTATGGGGGCTCCAGTCCCACATTTTCCATCTGCACTGCCCTAGTAGAGGTTCTCTAGGCTGAAGGCTCCACCCCCATAGCAGGCTTCTGCCTGAACATCCAGGCTTTTCCATACATCTTCCAAAATCTAGGCAGAGGCTCCTATGCCTCATCTCCTGCATTCTGTGCACCTACAGGCTTAACACCACATGGAAGCCACTAAGGCTTCCAGCTTGCAGCCTCTGAAACAGCTGTCCAAGCTGTACCTGGGCCCCTTGTAGCCATGGCTGGAGCTGGAGTAGGTGGAATGCAGGTAGCAGTGTTCCAAGGCTGCACAGCGTGAGGCTCTGGGCCTGGCACATGAAACCATTTTTTTCTTCCTGGGCCTTCAGGCCTGTAATGGAAGGCGCTACCATGAAGGTCACTGAAATGCCTTTGAGGCCTTTTCCCCATTGTCTTCATTATACAATCATTATAATAAACTTTACATGTGGTTTTGCCCCCCCCCGAGTGGGCTTTCCTTAATGAATTACGAATTATGGGTAAAAACACGCACAGTTTAATTTCAATGATATAACTATAAATGCCAATCAAATAACATCAACTTGTCACTCAAACACAGCCTAAGCTCAACTCCTCCCAACAAACCCCATGAAAGCACTGAGCTCTGTAAAGAAGAGCCAATTTCACTTCACAGAGATCAGCCCGCCCTCCCTCTGAGAGTGTATAACTGTGCTTCAACAAGCTTTGTTTCAAGCTTGCATTTTGGTGTTAGTTTGCATTTCTTTGCTCACTATCACAAGAACCGAGACTGCTGATCTAGAGCTCCAGCTCTGTTGATCTCCTTGGCTGAAGGGTCCATCCCAACTCAAGATCCCAGGTAACAATAATACCTGCTTCTTGATATAAGGATTCAACAATTTTTTAAAGCGCTGAGACCATGCCTGTTACATAGTAGGCACTTAACACACGCTGATTATTTACATCTAAATCTTCACAACCACCCTAAGAAGTACATGTTATTATTCCCATCTTACAATAGAGAAAATAAGCTCAGATTAATTAATTTTCTTGGGTCTTACAGCAAGTAAGTGATGGTACTGGTATCTGTACTTATATTGAATGGTTTGACTGTAAAATTCTTCTTTTCTCTATATCAAATAGTCCCACGAGGAATGTGTGTGTGTGTGTGTGTGTGTGTGTGTGTGTGTGTGTGTGTGTATTTTAAATGAGAACCAAGCAAAAGCTTATGGTAGAGACCAGGCTATCTGAGTCATGTATGATCGTCATTACTATTTTGGTCAAAATATCTGGAAATTAGATTTGACAAAAATCACTTTCAGCATATAATGATGAAGATGATGAATTGTGCTCTAAATATTGAGAAGCTATTTTATAAGATGTGGGAAAATCTGTAACACCTATGTGTGGAATGTCGCCTTGGAGTTTAAAGTTTTATCACAAACTGACAACTCGTTACTGTCTCGGTATGAACAAATTTAAATCTCTACCTAATTTCTAAATTACCTACTGCCTATACCATAGTTTTGTTCTTTTAGTTTACATCTACCTATGTGTAGCAAACACTAGAAAACTTAAACTTTTTTTAAAAAAAAAGAAGCAGAGATGCTTTACTTCTCTAAGCAACGAAGCTGTTGAAATGGAAAGAACTGAGCAAGTATCAACAATGTAACATACTTTGCTTTTTTCCCCATGCTGTAGAAAACTGGAATAGTTCAGGCACCACATCTAAGCTCTTACATAAGTCTTACGCAAGAGTTGTGAGCCAGTTTTTTCCTGAATCAGTGTCAGAGCTAATTCAGATATTTAAGGACCTTTGCTTCCTAATATTCTTGGTAAGCATGGCATGCACTTACTTAGTTCACTTCCGTTATTTTTAAATTACTTGGGTAAACACACACACATTTACATTTATAAACATCCTTGCCAACACAATGAAAGCTCACATTGTGTTCCTCCTAGTATGCTTAGCCTGGGTAGTGTAGGGGAAAGGGAGGGAGAGTTTCTCTATCGTGAACGCTATTTTCTGAATCTTTCCTAAAAACATATACATGCACTGGATACACTTTTAAAGCAAGCTATTATTCACCAGGCCTTTTGCAGAGCATAACTCCAGCATAGAAGGCTAACACATCTATTAACTGGCTCAGTGATTTGATTTTTCTTTTTTTTAATGAGGGAATTGAGGCAGCTAAAAGTTAAGCCACTATGCTTCAGGACAAAGAGAAAATTCGAAACAGAGGTTAGGTCTCAAAGATCCTGTTTGGACCACAAACGTGAAGAGTAGCAAAGAGGAAACATAAAAAAAATCAAAAGATACAATTGAAGGAAACTCCTAACCCCTTCATTCTAAGCACAGCCTTCCAGGACAGCCCTCTTATTCTTTGTCTTAGCAGTTTATCTCCACCTTAATGCAGAATTATAAGTGATTATTTTGCTCTCCAGATGGAGATATTGGCTCCTTTTTGCCAGTCTTCTTAGAATATAAATTAGCTCAACACTGACTCGGGCAGCTACTGTACTAAAGGCAGGAGATAGAGCATTAAACAACCTGTCTGGGTTCACGCCTTTATGGAACTTACCAGAATGATATTGAGAGGTGATAGCATGCTGGCAGTCCTCACAGCCCTCGCTCGCTCTCGGACCCTCCTCTGCCTGGGCCCACCGCTGCACTGTGGGAGCCCCTTTCTGGGCTAGCCAAGGCCGGAGCGGGCTCCCTCAGCTTGCAGGGAGGTGTGGAGGGAGAGGCGCGAGCGGGAACCCGGGCTTTGCGCGGCGCTTGCGGGCCAGCTGGAGTTCCGGGTGGGCGTGGGCTTGGTAGGACCCGCACTCGCAGCAGCTGGCCGGCCCTGCCGGCCCCGGGCAATGAGGGGCCTAGCACCTGGGCCAGCGGCTGCGGAGGGTGTACTGGGTCCCCGAGCAGTGCCAGCCTTAGCTGCCTTCCCGCGGGGCAGGGCTTGGGACCTGCAGCCCGCCATGCCTGTGCCTCCCACCTCCTCCGTGGGCTCCTGTGCGGCCCCAGCCTCCCGGAAGGGCGCCGCCCCCTGCTCCACGGCGCCCAGTCCCATCGACCACCCAAGGGCTGAGGAGCGCAGGCACACGGTGCAGGACTGGCAGGCAGCTCCACCTGCAGCCCCGGTGCAGGATCCACTGGGTGAAGACAGCTGGGCTCCTGAGTCTGGTGGGGACGTGGAGAACCTTTAGGTCTAGCTCAGGGATTGTAAATACACCAATCAGCACCCTGTCTCTAGCTCAGGGTTTGTGAATGCACCAATCCACACTCTGTATCTAGCTACTCTGGTGGGGACTTGGAGAACCTTTGTGTGGACACTCTGTATCTAGCTAATCTAGTGGGGAGGTGCAGAACCTTTGTGTCAAGCTCAGGGATTGTAAACGCACCAACCAGCACCCTGTCAAAACAAACCACTGGACTCTAGTCATCTGCAGGATGTGGGTGGGGCCAGATAACAGAATAAAAGCAGGCTGCCCAAGCCAGCAGTGGCAACCCCTCCGGTCCCCTTCCACGCTGTGGAAGCTTTGTTCTTTCGCTCTTTGCAATAAATCTTGCTACTGCTCTCTTTGGATCCACACTGCTTTTATGAGCTGTAACACTCACCACGAAGGTCTGCAGCTTCACTCCTGAAGCCAGCGAGACCATGAGACCACTGGGAGGAAGGAACAACTCCAGACGCGCCGCCTTAAGAGCTGTAACACTCACCGCCAAGGTCTGCAGCTTCACTCCTGAGCCAGCGAGACCACGAGCCCACCAGAAGGAAAAGACTCAGAACACATCCGAACATCAGAAGGAACAAACTCTAGACATGCCACCTTAAGAGCTGTAACACTCACCACGAGGGTCCGCGGCTTCATTCTTGAAGTCAGCGAGACCAAGAACCCACCAATTGCGGACACAATATGGTTTAGCACAGTGATTCTCAACTCTGGCTGCAATTAAAATCAACTGGAAGCTTTTATAAATCTTATATCTGGGTCCCACTCTCCCAGGGATCCTTATTCACTTGGTCTGGGGAAGAGGCAGGGTGCAGCTGTGGTCAAGAACTATTGGTCAGAGAGATACTACTGTGGGGCAGACAGCTGCTATGCAAGGTGTTAGGTGATCATATTCTTTATTTCTTTATTCCAGCTGTTTACCCAGTGTATATTCACATGGGAGTTGAGTTTAAGTAGTTCAAAGATGAACACTTTCTATCCATATAGTTAATATGTTTTATGTGCACTTAAAAATACATAACGGGAATGTCAAACTTATGAATGCACAGATAATTTGCTCAGTACTGAAGGAGAGGCAAAATTGTACTTCTGCCTTCAGGGTTTTTGGCTGGGCTTGAGGATTAAATTGACCAAAGACAGATTAACTGGAGAAATGCATACACATTTATTTAAAATAAGTTTTACATGACACAGAAGCCTTCATAAGACCCAAACAGGCAGTTGGGGTAGAGCACATATATAGAATTGGACAAAGAGGAGTAAATTATGAAAGTGTGACAAATGGAGGGGGCTTGGGCTGAGTCAGTTATGGTGGAAAAGTAACTAGGAAGATAAGGATTAGTTTAACAAGGTTTCTACAGATTGGTCTCAATTCTGACTCCCCGTTTCTAGTGATAAGAATGTTATTTTCTTTGCGGTATATGAAGGACATCTTCCATATGGGGATTTATTTTCTTCCTTTAGGAGGAAAGAGGGAAGATCAGAGGGTCCTTGTCATACCTACTATTTTTTCAAGTGCCTTCAGCTCAAAATAATCCTCATGTCACACTGGCATACTTTGGATTGGCATAGTCTGGCAGTTTTCAGTACAACAGTATGAAAGTTCCCTTTAAAATAATGAATGAAAAATTACGGGTGTGTCAGATTCAAGAAAAATATTAAATACATAATAGTATAGGTTCTATGAGGATATTGCAAAAACCATGAAGTTGGTGTGAGATTGACACTTAGGAAACAGGGTATGGGGAAATCAATGTGCTTGTATGAACAAGTCATGGGTGATCTGTATTATTCTTGGTGATGGCCCATACATCACTTTGAAAATGAGAAAGAAGTGAAACTGACTGTATTCGATTCCCTAAGTCATCATTTAACTAATGGCCATCTCACTGGATCACCCATTTGCTAAAAGCCAGTTCATTGAATAATTGGCTAACCAATCAACCCAAAGAATACTGATAGACAGATATCTTAAACCAGATCTTTTAGTGTTTTGCTTAGAGAAGTGGAAGCAAATGCATGGGAAATAACTGGGATAGGACATAAACTCTCAAAAATAAAGAAGAGAGTAAGTTGCAGTGAAGTTGGGCTCATCCTGTCCCACTGTTACAGGATCCTTGGGGTGTCACTTTGCCAGCTGGAAACCTCTGTGGCCAGTGGTGCCTTTGCCTGAGTTTTGCTTGGGGCCATCTGGGCTCATTCCACCGCTTGGCCTGACAGGCTGCACTCAGCTCATGGTACCAGCCTGGATCCCCCAGGCCTGCCAAGGGTGAGCCAGGTGTGGAGTGGCAAGGGGTGTGTGAGCAAGCATGGGGTCTGGCCACTGCACATAGCCAGGCACACCAGCTGCAGCAGGGCAGGCAGCTCCAGTTGCTAACATGGGCACTGGCTCCCTCTGAGGCTGTGGCTGGACCAGGTGTACCACAAGCAGCTTCCACAGCTGGCACTGGGGAACATGGTGGCACCCAGAAGCTTGGAGACACCAGGAACTGCAGAGCCCCAAAAGGGGTGTCACGGCCCTGGTGTGGGGAGCTCTTAGGTCTGGACTCCCTGAAGGGCCACAGCTCTTCTCTCCTTCTCTCTTCTCTCTTTGTCACCTGCAATGAGCAAGGGGCATGTTTTAGCCCTGTTTGTGTTACAGCTCTTTTAGCCTTGCCATTTGCAGGGTTCCAAGGTCTCGTCCTGCATCCAGGAAGAATGAGGTACGTGAACAAGTGGAGGGTGAGAAAGGTGATGAAGAGCTTTATTGAGTGACAGAACAACTCAAGGAGACCAACACTGGGTAGCTCCTCTCTGCAGCTGGTTGTCCCATCATCTTCCCAAGTCTGGCTGAGTCTGGGGTTTTTATGGTCTTTAGAGGGGAGGAAGTGCGTGCTGATTGGTCTATGGGCAGCCACAGGTGGGCCCGGAAAAAGCACCACAAGTTCCCACTCTGGTCCCTGGGACCAGCAGCCTGGCCCCCAGGCTTCAGGTCTTCCCCAGCTTGAAGGTGGGGCTTCACTGGGGACCCACCTCCTTCTGCCCGGAAGCCTCTCTGCCTCCTGCTACCATTCATGATGCCCAGGCTGTTCATGTCAAGGGGCACCTGCAGGCCAGCCCCAAGCTGCCCTCAGCCCCCCTTAGCCTCCCTCCTGTGCTCGTTGGTGCCCAAAGTCCAGAGGGGGCCGAGGTGGCAGGGGGCTGGCATGTCAGTGCTGCCCTTGGTGTGCACACACCTGGTCAGGCTGCAACAGCAACCAAGCCCGGCCCCAACCTTGCTTCAAAATCAGAGTGGGTGCCAGGAGCAGGGAGAGGCCAGGCAGCGTGAGCAGACACCCCTGAGACTACAGGGCTTGGGGGGCATTCCCAGGCAGAGATGCCCAGGTTTACAGCCAGAGCTTGGGCAGCTGCAGCTGTGCCCAGAAGGCTCCTGCTGGCTCCCTGAAGTGTGCAGCCCTGCCCTGGCAGTGCCTCCCCACTACAGTCAGTGTCATGGCAGTGGCCTCTCTAGATGGGCTGCTACTCCCATCACCATTGTACCTTAAGAGAAGTTTTTTCTAGTGTCTGAAATTTAAAAGCCAACTGAACCACTTGAAATTCACATCCAACTAAGCCGAGTTGAGAAATTCATGATAAGATGACTCTGTGATGCTGAGGAGAAACTAAAACAAAAAGAAAAACCCTCAGTAATGTAACAGTGGATCACAGTGAATTGATTTTTGCTGAAATGGCTTTTTGTGAATTAGCTGCTTAACAAACTAGCTTTCCACAAAATAGATTTGCTTTAGAATAGCAGCTACTGTACTTATAGAAAACTGGAATACTTTTATTTTAGGCAAGTCTTTCTATATAAGTCCCCTTCTCTAGACTGCTAACTTCTGGAAGTGTATCACATCTCTATTCTCCCCAACAGCTTATTCAATGTATTTGCTGGTGAAACAGCAACAAGCCCTATTAAGATATATTTGGGCCGGGCGCGGCGGCTCACGCCTGTAATTCTAGCACTTTGGGAGGCTGAGGCGGGCGGATCATGAGGTCAGGAGATCGAGACCATCCTGGCTAATACGGTAAAACCCCGTCTCTACTAAAAATACAAAAAATTAGCCGGGCGAGGTGTTGGGTGCCTGTAGTCCCACCTACTTGGAAGTCTGAGGCAGGAGAATGGCGTGAACCCGGGAGGCAAAGTTTGCAGTGAGCCAAAATCATGCCCCTGCACTCCAGCCTGCATGACAGAGCAAGACTCTGTCTCAAAAAAAAAAAAAAAAAAAAAAAAAGATATATTTGGTACAATTTGGTACAGTGCCCATTTCCATTACAATTTAGGGCACACAATATCAAATCCAAGTATCAATTCAGTCTAGCCAATCCAAATATCTATCTATAACTAGAAATGATGAATAGGAGATCTATTTATCTCTGAATATGAGATAACTGTTAACTAGAATTTAAAGAAACAAATAATTAATTGAAAAAGACTAATTCACACTGTAGATCATGAGCTATATACATTTAATCATAAAATTCAATTAACAATTTCGTTCGGCCATCTTTAATATACAGTAAGAATTCTGATATTGTTAGGTGGTTAGATATTGTTAGGTGCAGCTGGGAAGGGGTGAGAGAGGATAGCAGAAGGGCTGTCACTAAGCCAGGCCCTGACCCACCTATGTTCAGCCCCCACGACCACCCTAACTCTACCTTAATGGATGGAGTTTCTGGTAAAGTCTGTGGCCAGCACATCTTGGAGGAAGAAGAACTGGGCACAGATAAAAATCCCCTACAGTCATGAATGCCCAGTCCATCTAGGCTGTAACCCCAGGTAACTTCGTCCTCACTACACAGTCATTACAATAAAATTTACATGTGTGTTTGCCCCCTTGAGTGAGCTTTCCTAAATGAATTATGGGTAAAAAAAATTATGTGCAGTTTAACTTCAGAGATATAACCTTAAACTGCCAATTAAATAATATCATCCTGTCACTAAAACACAGCCCAAGCCTCGACTCCTCCCCATAAAACCCGTAAAAGCACGCTGAGCTCTGTGAAAAGGGGCTGATTTCACTTCACAGAGATCAGCCCACTCTCCCTCTGAGAGCGCATTACTATGCTTCAATAAACTTTGCTTTGAGCTTGCATTTTGGTGTTAGTTTGCAATTCTTTGCTCACTATCACAAGAACTGAGTTTGCTGATCTAGAGCTCCGGCTCTCTTGACCTCCTTGGTTGAAGGGTCCATCCCAATGCAGTATCACTGGCAACATCACCAATATATAATCCTTCCTTTCCAGTGAATGATGACTTGTTAACTTTCTCCCTTCGGTGTGACAAATAGAATTGTTTCTGTTCTAGTCTGATCAGAACTCTCATATCCAAGTTCTATTGATCTTTTTTATGTGTCTTCTGTGCAATTCTGGTCTCAGGCTGTTTTATACCGAGATTGTCACTCTTATGTATTAAGTGCAGAAAACAGTCTCTTGTGTTATAAATGTTCAAGGTGCTGGTTTTAGATACAGTCTTTGCCAGGGGTATTTATAGGGGTTGATTTCCTCAAAGGATCCCTCTGAAATGCATGCCACACAATGGGAAAATTTCTTCTATTAGGTGACCTTGGATTTCTCTCTCTGACTCAAATGTTTGCCCTATTATGGCAGTAGAAGCATTTAAACTTAGCAACTTCAGTCAGAAAGAGTAATTTCCTGATTAGATCTGAGGAGATTATGACCCTTTACTTCTGTAAGTCAATTAACACTTGATGTTTGACTGACACTCAAGTCAAACATCATTAAATGCTTTGCCAAGCAGCAGAACCTCAAGGTTTTATTGTTTAACCATTCACACTAGTATATGGACTGAACTAGCATTGTACATGCTGAATAAATAAACAAATCTCCCCAAACAATATACTACTTTAATATAACTGCCATGTTTGTCTATCTCCAAAAATATGATCCTTCTAAGAAATATTTTGTTTTAACCTAGCCAGTTGCAGTGAGCTGAGATCGCGCCATTGCACTCCAGCCTGGGTGACAGAGGGAGACTCCATCTCAAAAACAAAACAAAACAAAACAAACAAAAACAAAAACAAAACAAAACAAAAAACCCCACAGAACACCTTAGACTGGGTCATTTATAAACAACAGAATTTTACTGCTCATGGGTCTGGAGACTGGGAAGTCCAAGGTCAAGGCACCAGTATATTCACTGTGCAGTGAGGGCCCATTCCACTTGGTTGGTGCCTTCTGTGTGTCCTCACATGGCAGAGGGGGCAGAAAAGCTCCCTCAGGCTTCTTTTATAAGGGCACTAACCCCATTCATGAGGGCAGAGCCCTCATGACTGAATCACCCCCAAAGGGTCTACCTCTTAATACTATCACCTTGGAGTTTAGGTTTCAACATATGAATTTTAGAAGGACACAATCAGTGTGTAGCAATCCTCACCCCCAGTTTTCCCCCTGAAATCCTATAAGGAGAGGCATCTCAGTCATTACTTTGAATTTGAAACTCGGTTATTCCCATAAAAGGTTTTATATTATGCTCACAAAGGCTACCTCAACTGGGCTTAGTGAACAGATACCTTGAAACAAGACAGGTTACTGGCAGATGGCTTAAGAATGGAAAATTTGCCTTGGTGATTTGTAAAATGAGGTAAAGGGGCAGGGACTGGGAAGACAATTGACTTGGTGGGGAAAGGGACCCAGAAATAGGCATGTCTTATTCCCAGCACCCAGAAGGGCTGCCTGATCCTAGACATTTTATGACCTTTATGACATTATTAATAAAGCCTATAAAGAATCTCCAGGTCTAGACCTGCACTGCCCAGCAGAATGATCTGCAATGATGGAAATGACTTCCATCCACTCTATCCAATATGGTAACCACTGGCCACATGTGGCTATTGAGCATATAAACTGTGGCTAGTACAAGTGAGGAAGTGAGTTTTTAATGTAAATGTGTAAATATAAATAACCCCAGGTGGCTAGTGCCCACTGTCAGAGAGTACAGGTCGGGACCATGTTCCCTATGACAGTTTTGCCTATATGTTGCCAAAACCAAACGAAACTCAATTTTTTTTTTTTTTTTTTTTTTTTTTTTTTTTTTTTTTTAGTGACAAGGGTCTCCCTTTGTTGTCCAGGCTGGTCTTGAACTCCTGGGCTCAGGGCTTAAGTAATCCACCCACTTTGGCCTCCCAAAGTGCTGGGATTACAGGTATGAGTCACTGCGCCCGGCCTTATTACTTTTAATTCTAACAACAGACCTTCAAGATAAATATTAATTTTTTTTACACAATGAAGTTGAAGTTCAGAGAGGTCATGAAGATAGTACAGGACAGAGCTGGAATTTAAACCTAGACCTGTCTGACTTTGAAGTCTATATTTTTTCCAATACATCATACCAAAGCTACCAAACATATAAAAATACTTAAAATTTTTTATCTATGTCTGCTTTTGTAGATCAAGCCATACATTTATTATATTTTATTAGCATAAAGAATACAATTTTTTTCTCCATCATTCTCTGTACCTATTTCTCTTTATGTGATACAACAGAAGAGAGTGACTGTTGTCTATAGCAGAGGTAGTTATCTTAGGAAACACAGATAGAATAATAAAAGGTAAGGACTAACTTATGACTAATAGAGGCATCAATTGCTACTAGCATTCTGAGATATAATTATTTTTAAAGTATATTAGGAAGAACAGTTGCATCTTCTCACTGCCTGTTATTTGAGGTAACTATTCACAGCTGAACACTGATATGGATTAATCCCGGTATGACTCAGTTCAAATCCTATGTTCTTATGATAGGCCATTAGCAAATTAAAGAATAAGAATCCTACATAGAGCTCAGTTGTAAGCTAACAACTTATTAGTTCAAGGAAGGTCTCAAGCTTTATCTGCCGGTGTCATTATGAAAAAAAATACCAACTGCTTGAAAATGTAAGACTTATGAAAATCAAACATAAACAAATGTTTATGTATTTGAATAAATTCATGAGAAGCAATGCTAATTTGAGAGAAAGCAGAAGAGTATGATACACTTGATAACACAGTTGTAGACAGAACCCCAATTAATCAGTTTTAAGTGCTCTTTGCAGTTATTGGATTTAGTCTTCTTGAACAAGACTTTAGAGGCCGTAAAATAAGCCAAAGTGAAAAAAGAAAAGACTAAGTATCCAAATAGACCCACAGCATTACGGAAGGCTATGCTTCTGAACAAGCAAGTAGGGTCAAGGGCCAGCTATTTTAGGAACAAATAGTACCCAGAGATATCAGCTTAAAGGGAGCGCTTAGAAACGAAGAGTTAGCCCTCAGAAGAAAACCAGACAATATACAAAGTAAAAGTTCATGGTATCTGGCAAACTAAAAGCGGGCCAGACATTCATAAAGAGCGCTTATGGGTGGGCAGTTGGGCATTGACAGGATAGGAGTCACTGCAAGGAAAGAGGTCAAAAACAGAACAATCCAGCCACGAAGGAGGCTGCAGTGTAGAACAAGAAACACTCTAGGAGGATAGTATAGGAGCCAGGCCACTGAAGAGCTAGGGCGTCAAGAAGGAAGCCAAGGATGGGCTGAGGATGCAGCCGCGAGTGACCTCAATGCATGACCGACTCATCGCTGAGCAAGAGAGCAGCTCCCTCAGAGTCCTTAGAGTTCCCTTAGGAACAATGAGGTGCCAGCTGGTAGGCATGAGGACTCGGACCAAGAAAAAGCTCAGTTCAGCCTTTAAAGAGGGTGAGACCACTTGATGTGCAATCTTAGTAGAAAGAGTGGCCCTTTGGGAATCACCATGAATCATATCTCTCCCTGGGGGCTGCTGAAAAAGATCAGGATGCCAGAGCCCTTACTTGCCATGGATAGATATGGACTTGGGCCATGGTACCTTGGAAGGTAGCAAGGACAGTAACCTAATTCTCTCAAGCTTCTGTTTCTCTACCTAAAGGCATAATCAGAGTTAATCCGAGATTTTCATCACCCCAAATGGCACAGACACACTCTCTGAACCACAGGTGTTCTCTGATAGCAGTGGAAGATGTTCCCCTTTTCCATTTAATATTTTTTATTATTTTCACTCTATTCATTTTTATTTATTTATTTTTTAGAGACAGAGTCTCGCTCTGTCACCCAGGCTAAAGTACAGTGATGCAATCATAGCTCACTGTAATCCCAAACTCCTGGGCTCAAGCAATCCTCCTACAACTAGGACTACAGTCATATACCACCATGCCCAGCTTTTTTTTTTTTTTTTTTTGAGATGGTGTCTCAGTATGTCACTGAGGCTGGAGTGCAGTGGTGCTCTCTCAGCTCACTGCAACCTCCACTTCCCACGTTCAAGCAATTCTCCTGCCTCAGCCTCCTGAGTAGCTGGGACTACAGGTGTGTGCCACCACGCCTGGCTAATTTTTTTATTTTTAGTAGAGACGGAGTTTCGACATGTCGCCCAGCGTGGCCTCAAACTCCTGGCCTCAAGTAATCTGCCCACCTCGGCCTCTCAAAGTGCTGGGATTACAGGCATGAGCCACTGTGTGCACTCCCAGGTAGTTTTTTGAGAAATTTTTTTGCAGAGATGGGGTCTCACTATGTTGCCCAGGCTGGTGTCAAACACCTGGCCTCAAGTGGTCCGTCTCAGCTTCCCAAACTGCTGGGAGAGCAAGCGTGAGCCACCATGCCAGGCCCTCTTTTCCACTTTAGTGTTTTCTTTCACCCCTGTAAGAACCAGATCCTACTATGTCTTTAGTGCCATCATTTGCACCCAGGAAAACTGCAAGAGTCCCTCTGTATTTGCTCCTCTGATGAGGGGGATTGTAAGTACAAAAGGCCGTACTTTTCCTGCAGCACAGGGTACAATGTCACTGATTATCTCCACCATGCAAACCGGTAAAGGCATGCTTTGGAAAAACTCACATGTCTCGATGCTCTCCCACTAGAATCCATTTACTCCCTTTCTGTATTTACTGTGTTTCCCCACACAGTGTGCAAAAGTCGTGGCAGTTGCACTTCAGTGTTTAGCTTGTTTTCTTTATTTGCTAGGAGATTTGGCTTCTGAGAGGTGTAAAAAAATGGGGAAAAAACGTGTGAACGGGTGTATCTTGAAGTCTACTGTCAAAAACTTTGCAGTATGCCAGCTGTGGTGGCTCATGCCTGTAATCCCAGGAATTTAGTAGGCCAAGGTGGGAGGATTGCTTGAGCCCAGGAGTTTGAGACCACCCCAGGTAACATGGCAAAAACCCACCTCTACTAAAAATACAAAAAATTAGCTGGGCGTGGTGGCGGACGCCTGTAGTCCCAGCTACTCGGGAGGCTGAGGCAGGAGAATGGCATGCACCCGGGAGGCGGAGCTTGCAGTGAGCCGAGATCGTGCCACTGCACTCCAGCCTGGGCGACAGAGCGAGACGAGACTCTGTCTCAAACAAACAAACAAACAAACAAACAAACAAAAAAAACATTAGCCGGGCATGGTGGTGCACTCCTGTGGACCCAGCTACTCGGGAAGCTGAGGTGGGAGGATTGCCTGAGCCCAGGAGGCTGAGGCTGCAGTGAGCCGTGATTGTGCCACTGCACTCCAGCCTGGGTGACAGGAGTGAGACTCTGTCTGAAAACAAAACAAAACAAAAACAAAAAACCAAACTCAGCAGTGAAATCTACAAATCTGCCTTTGCCTTCCCCAAACTTTATTTTCCATAGTCTCGCATATGTGTGACTCTCTCTCAGTTATCCTATCAAAATTCTTTGGTTTTAGTTTCTTCTTGAAACAATTAATTTGGGCTAGAGTCAACAGAACACCAGAGCTACTTGGAAAACAACAAATTAATCTCATAATTACCATAGAAAACATTAAAACCAGAAAAAATATATTAAGAATATGCCTATAGAAGTTTATTTATTATTATTATTATTATTATTATTATTATACTTTAAGTTTTAGGGTACATGTGCACAATGTGCAGGTTAGTTACATATGTATACATGTGCCATGCTGGTGTGCTGCACCCATTAACTCGTTATTTAGCATTAGGTATATCTCCTAATGCTATGACAAACCCACAGCCAATATCATACTGAATGGGCAAAAACTGGAAGCATTCCCTTTGAAAACTGGCACAAGACAGGGATGCCCTCTCTCACCACTCCTATTCAACATAGTGTTGGAAGTTCTGGCCAGGGCAATTAGGCAGGAGAAGGAAATAAAGGGTATTCAATTAGGAAAAGAGGAAGTCAAATTGTCCCTGTTTGCAGACGACATGATTGTATATCTAGAAAACCCCATTGTCTCAGCCCAAAATCTCCTTAAGCTGATAAGCAACTTCAGCAAAGTCTCAGGATACAAAATCAATGTACAAAAATCACAAGCATTCTTATACACCAATAACAGACAAACAGAGAACCAAATCATGAGTGAACTCCCATTCACAATTGCTTCAAAGAGAATAAAATACTTAGGAATCCAACTTACAAGGGACGTGAAGGACCTCTTCAAGGAGAACTGCAAACCACTGCTCAATGAAATAAAAGAGGATACGAACAAATGGAAGAACATTCCATGCTCATGGCTAGGAAGAATCAATATCGTGAAAATGGCCATACTGCCCAAGGTAATTTATAGATTCAATGCCATCCCCATCAAGCTACCAATGACTTTCTTCACAGAATTGGAAAAAACTACTTTAAAGTTCATATGGAACCGAAAAAGAGCCCGCATGGCCAAGTCAATCCTAAGCCAAAAGAACAAAGCTGGAGGCATCACACTACCTGACTTCAAACTACACTACAAGGCTACAGTAACCAAAACAGCATGGTACTGGTACCAAAACAGAGATATAGATCAATGGAACAGAACAGAGCCCTCAGAAATAACACCGCATGTCTACAACTATCTGATCTCTGACAAACCTGAGAAAAACAAGCAATGGGGAAAGGATTCCCTATTTAATAAATGGTGCTGGGAAAACTAGCTAGCCATAAGTAGAAAGCTGAAACTGGATCCCTTCCTTACACCTTATACAAAAATTAATTCAAGATGGATTAAAGACTTAAACGTTAGACCTAAAACCATAAAAACCCTAGAAGAAAACCTAGGCATTACCATTCAGGACATAGGCATGGGCAAGGGCTTCATGTCTAAAACACCAAAAGCAATGGCAACAAAAGCCAAAATTGACAAATGGGATCTAATTAAACTAAAGAGCTTCTGCACAGCAAAAGAAACTACCATCAGAGTGAACAGGCAACCTACACAATGGGAGAAAATTTTTGCAACCTACTCATCTGACAAAGGGCTAATATCCAGAATCTACAATGAACTCAAACAAATTTACAAGAAAAAACAAACAACCCCACCAAAAAGTGGGCAAAGGATATGAACAGACACTTCTCAAAAGAAGACATTTATGCAGCCAAAAGACACATGAAAAAATGCTCACCATCACTGGCCATCAGAGAAATGCAAATCAAAACCACAATGAGATACCATCTCACACCAGTTAGAATGGCGATCATTAAAAAGTAAGGAAACAACAGGTGCTGGAGAGGATGTGGAGAAATAGGAACACTTTTACACTGTTGGTGGGACTGTAAACTAGTTCAACCATTGTGGAACTCAGTGTGGCGATTCCTCAGGGATCTAGAACTAGAAATACCATTTGACCCAGCCATCCCATTACTGGGTATATACCCAAAGGACTATAAATCATGCTGCTATAAAGACACATGCTCACGTATGTTTATTGCGGCACTATTCACAATAGCAAAGACTTGGAACCAAGCCAAATGTCCAACAATGATAGACTGGATTAAGAAAATGTGGCACATATACACCATGGAATACTATGCAGCCATAAACAATGGTGAGTTCATGTCCTTTATAGGGACATGGATGAAATTGGAAATCGTTCTCAGTAAACTATCGCAAGGACAAAAAACCAAACACCAGATGTTCTCACTCATAGATGAGAATTGAACTATGAGAACACATGGGCACAGGAAGGGGAACATCACACTCTGG
Organism: Homo sapiens; assembly: GCF_000001405.40. Lineage (NCBI taxonomy): Eukaryota > Metazoa > Chordata > Mammalia > Primates > Hominidae > Homo > Homo sapiens. The sequence goes on from NW_018654717.1 coordinate 6,005,133, forward strand.
GGACTGTTGTGGGGTGGGGGGAGGGGGGAGGGATATGCCTGTAGAAGTTTAGAAATATTTTCTGTAATAAAAAGAATGACGTTTATATCCTACGGCATAGTATACCCAGAAGGAGGCAAAAACGCTATTGAACAGTGAGAAAGAACATTGCATATTCTCATTTTCAGCGGGAAAGAAAAGCTTTATCAGAGGCAGGCTGTTTTAAGGATTAATGTTCCCAGATGGAGATAAATCTTAACTATTGAAATAGTGTTTTCTCAGATCTAGTTTAAAAAGTGTTCGCTTCTGGAAATCTCTTACTTGTTCCTTTGTTTATAATTATTTTGAACATTTGCTTTCTGTTATCTGTGAAGAGATTTGAAAAGAGCAGGTCTTTTGGATGGTTGCTTTAGGAGTGACCTCCCTTGGCTTAAACAGGCATTTGTTGGATAACATCTCTGCATGATTTTTAAAAGTTAGCAGAAGTGAGAAGGGTAATTGAAGTTTCCAGAATCAAGAAAAACTACAAAAGAAGCTCATTTTTATAAATGCTATTGTCTTATATAACCCCCTGGAAGACACCCAGTTCTCACTTCTAAGAGCTCTCATGAGTCAGTTTGTCATTTGATATTTTGTAGAGTTTGCAGTAAATTAGAAGACGTGAATTCTTCTGCTTAACTTCAATGACAAACTATTTTGTACTTTAGTTCCTTAAGAAACTAAATAGAGGGAACCTTTTTTATCTCTTTCCTATCTATGTCCAACCTACTCCCAACTTCTAGAACAGTTTCTTGCATGTAGTGAGTGCCCCATAATTGTAGAATTAAATCGAATTTGGGCAATTTTTCCTTCTTTTGAAAATGAAACTAAAAAAATATGAAGCCAGGAAGTTTTACCAGTCTTCCCCACAACCACCCACAGACATCAGGCTCTCAAGCATCTGCCTTTCCTGGGCTGGGGAATGAGTATCCTGTCTTCCCTCCCCTTCCTTCTTCTCCCTTTGCTCTTCCTGCTCCTACCTCCTCCTCTTTCTCCCCTACCCGCTCCTGTTCCTTCCCTTTCTCCTCTTCCATAACCTAGAAGTTTCTAACCAAGAAATCTATACACACAAAGAACAACTGCCAATGGGAAAACAAAATATCACTTCATTAAGAGCTAGGCAAGGACTCAATCATCCCAATGCAACGCTCTCTAGCAAGAGGAATTTGGATAATAAAGTTGAAGTAAGGAAGCCTAAGTCCCTGTGCCTGACTCTAAGATTATCAGGAAGCCCACTTATGCTCCAAAACACATCAAAAACGATATAAGAAGGCCGGGCATGGTGGCTCATGCCTGTAACCCCAGTACTTTGGGAGGCTGAGGTAGGCAGATCACTTGAGATCAGGAGTTTTAGACTAGCCTGGCCAATACAGTGAAACACTGTCTCTACTAAAAATACAAAAATTAGCCGGGCGTGGTGGTGCATGCCTGTAATCCCAGCTACTCAGGAGACTGAGGCATGAGAATTGCTTGACCCCAGAAGGTGGAGGTTGCAGTGATTGTGTCAAGATTGTGCCACTGCAGACTGGCCTGGACAAGACAGTGAGAATCTGCCTCAAAACAAACAAACAAACAAAAAAAAAACATGTAAGAAGATCTTACAGCAAGTCAGCAGGGTCCACCAAGGTCTTTGGCCAGAAGCTGAGAGTTTACCATGTGGACACAGGAAACAGCAGTAGAGTGACTCGGGTGGGTTTGTCCTTAACCACTCAGGAATTTCAGCAATTCCGACCATGGGTAAAACCCAGTGCAGTGACACTCTCATGTTCTCACCGACCAGGAAACCACTTACTCTGCTTTGGGGAGGAGTTAGTGCAGGACTGGGCGTGGGCAGAAGAATGGACACATTTTGCTTCCCTCATGGACCGAGGAGGGAAGTGGGAAGGGGAGACTAAATGTTCCTGGACAGGAAAGCATAAATCCAGAGTTGGAACGTGAGTTTATGATCTTACTCTATTTCTATTTTACAGAGGAAACCAGTCGACAGAGCTGTGATTTGCCCTGTGATTTGCCCTGGGCCTTCCCACAATTCTAGAAACCCATGACTTGACATCATTGCGCGGCCACCTGACTCCCAGCTGGCTTCAGCCTCTCCGTTTCATCTCCCTCTACTCTCACTCTGCTGCTACCAAGTCAGACTTCTTTTCAGGTCCTTAAACAATCTCTGTACTTTTCCATCTCCGTGTCTTTGATGACTTGATTCCCTTTCCTCACTCCATCATTAACATACGTACCCCTCAAGACCCAGCTCAGATGCCACTTCTATGAGACACTCTGTTTCTGTGCCAGAAACAGTTAAGCCTTTATTTGCGTGTCCAAAGTGTGCCCCAGAGCAAGGATCTGGCAATCGGCATTTGAAACCTGGCTCCTTGGCTTCTTAGCTCTGACCTTGAGCAAATTACTTATTTTTTTGTTGTTGTTACTCAGTTTCCTAAAATATCATATAGGGACTTGTCATGTCATGTTAATGGACATAATATAAATTAAATAGTATAATGGCAAGTATCCATCGGTCACCAAAAAGGGAGCCTACTATTACTGCCTGTAGCTATATTTTAGCATTGATGACAAAATATGGTAAATTATATCTATTTGTAGACCTAAGTTATCCCTTCCCATTGATTATTCACTTGCTGAGACTGCAACAATAGCTGCCCATTTTTTTATCTCTTCCATCCCCACCCAGCTGTCTTGCACAATATACAAAGTCAATACATGTCTGATCAACGGAATGGACTTAATCTGCCAAAACAGACCTGACTCTCTATCAGTGATACAGGAGCTAAAAAGAAATTATTTAGGCAGAGAGTGAGAGTAAGGGAGTCCTTGGCAAGGCTTCCCTTTTAACAAAAAGCAGCCCCCAGATAATTTCTTTTCTAACAAAAAGCAGCCTGTAAAATCAAGCTGCAGACATAGATAACCAAGCTGGAAGCTTGCACAGGTGAATGACGGCGGCTGTGCATTGCAATAGGGGAAGCCTACCCGGGGGCCAGGTATGTTCAACATGGAGGCTCCATCTTCGCTTTTCTTTGTCACCATGTGTACAGTAAAGAAACAGGCAACATGGCGCTGGCCAGGTAGAGAACCAACTGCATAATTAAAGATTAGGGTGGGGTGGCCAGCTATGCAAATGGCACACCTGGACTCACCAATCTCTCATGCCCTATATAAATCAGACACCGCCTCCTCAAGCTCATCTATAAAATCTTATGCACTTGGCTGTGAACCGGAACACCTGCTGGGGTGCCCCTCTCTCTCTCTGCAGGAGAGAGAACTCTTCCTTTTCTTTCGCCAATTAAACCTCCACTCTTAACCTCACTGTTTGTGTGTCTGCGTCCTTGATTCCCTTGGCGCAAGGCAACAAACGTTGGGTATTACAGACCAATGATGCCGCTTCACCAGCTCATATATGGCAAAAACTGCAATAAGTTTTGCACCAACCCTAATGCTAAATTATTAATTACTACTTACCTAAAAAAGAGAACCATATAAATTAATTAGTATTGTACAACACTACATGTATTTAGTCAAAATACCAGATAACCTAACTTTATATTTATGTATACATCACATGTATTTTTAAAATTAATTCTTCACTTTAGTGAAGTATTATAAACTGTTAATCATTCATCCTAACTTTTGCTTAGCCTTTGAAGTTCAGACCTCTCCAAAATTTTTTCCTCCACCTGGTTAAGAACTATTTTCTTTGGACTTAATCTGGTTTTTCTATTGTAGATCACATCTAATCAAGGTAGTTGAATAGACTCAACAAACCAGTAAGAGGTTGTTGAAGTATCATTCATAACAAAAGGTAACAACAGTTCCTTATAGGCCATATCTCATGCCTTCTGTTTTACTGGTGCAAGTTTGTGCCCCAGGAGGGTTAGGAATGGCATCTAACACCCCCGTGGAGCAGACAGACCCCTTTTGTAAGTGTGTATTTGTTTCAACCACATGCCTTAAGCTCAGTTTAAAAAAATAAAATTAAAAAAAAATTTATGTGAGTATAGAAAGTTTGCATCACATTCACTCTACAACATCTTTAAAGGCAGCGATTATTCCAGAACACAGAGGAGACAAACAAGGCCCCTTTGTTCCAGGAGTGCACTCCTTAAAGAGCAGTTCCAAGCCCATCAGTCTGAAGGGCCAGGCAGTTGGCCCCGGGGGAGCCTGCCAAACACCCAGAGATGCTTCCCGGGAATCTTCTGCTGCTGCTGAAGTGTTGACAGGCTCTTGAGCTGAGAGCTCAGGCTGTTGATAGGAATATATAGCTCAGATAGTCAGAAATCAACCTACTCAAATTTCTCAGACCATTCTCTCCTTCGTTTCTCTCTTTTTAACAATCCAAGTACAGATTTTCTTTTAAAAACCTTCTTCCAAAAAAATGTCTACGTTCCTGCTTCCTCCTGGGGGTAACGAAATAAAAGGCTTAAGGTGCTTTAAGGAAAATGGAGTCAGTTCCCCTCCCTTCAGCCCTCAAGTTCTGCTGATTCCAAGGGGTGGGTGGCGAGGGCCAGCAGTTGGCGGCCACCCACTCCCTGTCTCCTCTCACTTGGTATCTCCCTGGCCTCACGCTCAATCAGGTCTTCCGTGACCACACAGGGAAATGAAGAATACTGTTCGCTTACGAAGAATCTGGGAATCCCTGCAGTCCATGATTTTCTTTTTTCTATTTTACTTTCTTCTCAAAAGCCTTTTATTTTCTAAAAGCACATACAGTATAAGCCCATTCTGATGATTTTAGGAGCATCCATTCCTCAATGCAAAGATATTAATGCTAGATAATAAAGCTCTGAGTTCATACATTTAAAAGTCGAGAGAGTGAGGAGTGAGGGGAGAGAGAGGGAGCAGAAAACGCTAGCTGCCTTAATACTCATTTTCCTCTTCTACAAACCCTTGATATTTAGCTAATGTACCCTACCTTTCTCAAGGTCCCCAGCAGCTAAGGAAGGCCATGTGACTAATTCTGGCCAATGGGATGTAAGAAATTCAAAGTGCATTTCACAGAGCATGTTAGGAACACGCCCATTCTTCCAGCCCTTCCTCAACCCTGGTGTTCGTACCAGGGACTTGGTGTCAAAGGCAACGTCCCAGAAGAAACCTCATGCAATGCAGTGACAATATCAGTCCTGGAAACCCTATCTCTGGACTCTGGGATAAAAGAGCAATACATTTCTATATTGTTTATACCACCGTTAATTTGAGTTTTAATTTTATTTCATGAACCCAGTCATATTTTAAGCCAAGGTGGATTTCCCACAAAGCTAATGGAGCAGAAGCTTTAGAAACCCTCACTTGCGTCAGGCGTGGTGGCTCACGCCTGTAATCCCAGCACTTTGGGAGGCCGAGGCAGGTGGATCACCGGAGGTCAGGAGTTCAAGATCAGCCTGGCCAACATGGTGAAACCCCGCCTCTACAAAAATACAAAAATTGGGTTGGGCATATTGGTGTATGCCTGTAATCCTAGCTACTCGGGAGGCTGAGGCAGGAGAATTGCTTGAACCTGGGAGGCGGAGGTTGCAGTGAGACAAGACCACGCCATTGCACTCCATCCTGGGCAAAAAGAGCGAAACTCTGCCTTAAAAAAAAAACAAAAAACAAACAAAAAAAACAAAACCCTCACTTGCCAGGATGACTCCAAAGCCTGAGGAGGAACCCCGACATTGGGGTCACATGGTCATCTTATATTCTTTTCTTTAAAAGGTTCCTCAACTGCATAAGCCTCACACCTCATCCATGATAAGCCAGTGAGTCTTTCCACATGTGCCTCTTGAGTGGGGCAGCGCCATTCTGGTCAGCCCACCTTACATGTAGCACAGTAAATAGTTCACAGTTTCTCCTGCATCAGATCATCTACTTGGTGAAATTTAGGAATAGCACAGCCCATTGTTTCCCAAAGTACATTCCTAGATATTAATAATTGTTATAAGAGAAAAGAGTAACAGAAAAGTATAATATTAGCTAAGATGTTTTTGTCTATGTTTTTAACTACAATATTTCTCAGAGGAAGCAATGTGGGAATGTGCATAGTGAATATCCCAGCACAAGAGAAGGCTGTATTTCCTAAACGTATTGGACCACCAAACCCCCTTTTTAAGTAGTTGGTGGGTTATATTTTTGTGAAGCATGATTTGAAAGCACTCTCCTGGTCTCAGTAGCAAATATTTGTTGACTATCTCTTTGGGGAAGTTAAGTGTTTTATTTTTGTAGCATTAGTGGAAGAAGGTAATTTTTCTTCCTGATTTTATTGTTTATAATTGCTCCCTGTCTGGAGTTTGCTAATCAGTAAGCATTGATTTCAACAATATTGTCATTTCTGCATTGACACTGATGCATCTCTCAGGTCTCCAACAAAAGCTAAGAGTGACATGTACAAAATGTTAGATCACCTGTGGAGGAAAGGGTGTGAGTTCAAGGGAGTCGGAGTCACACTGAGGTTTCATCTCCTGTGAGGAAGATCTTTGATGGGGGGATACAGAAAGCTACAACCACGATGGAGACGTAGTTCTGCAGAAAGGACCCATTTCTGTGCTTATGTCAGTGCTTGGAGAAATCTCCAGGCTCATTTATGTGAGCCACATTTTCATTACAGGAAAATAATTGACACCATGCTTCTTGGCTTTAACTGAAATTTAAGCATTTACACCTGTATTCATCTTCTAGGGTTTCTACAAAAAAGTATCATAAACTGCATGGCTGCATGTACCCTACCTTTCTCAAGTTCCCCAGCAGCTAAGGAAGGCCATGTGACTGATTTTGGCAGAAATTTATTTTTTCACAGTGCTGGAGACTGGAAGTTCAAAGCCAAGGTGTCAGCAGTCCTTGCCTCCTCCTACCTTCTGGTGGTGGCCATTGATTCTTGGCATTTCTTGGCTTGCAACTGCACCACTTGAGTCTCTGCCTCTTTCCTCACATGGCATTTTCCTCTTACAGGGGTTAGGAATTCAACATACTTTTTGGAGGGGGCACAATTCAATCCATAGTAACACCAAAGACTCCTTAATTTTCTGTAGGGCAACATAATGTCATGATGGACAGAGCTCTGAGTTAGGAGTCCGAAGGCCTTAGTGGGCACTTAGCAAATCTCTAGGCTACATTTCTATATATATAAACAAGGATAACAATACACTCCTTGACTTCCCTGTAAGGGTTGTAACAAAGATATAGAAAAGTGCTCTGTAGCCTTTCAATGATGATAGAAGTGTTATTGTCTTCAAAGAGAAACATGGCTAATGTGGGTAATTGAAATTTGGCATATGATCTCACACCTTACTTTAGACAATGATTTTGACCTCTACCTCATTCATCTCTCTACTAGACAAAGACATAATTTTGTTTATATTGCTGCCCTTGCACTCTCTACTAAGTGATGTTAGATGATGAGGAAAGTCCTTGTCAGTGCAGCCAATTCTCAAATTGAATCTGAAGCATCCGGTAATGGGAAAATGTCCATATTGCTTCAATAATCATTCTTTAATAGAGTTTCAACTTGGAGAAAAAGACTGAAAAATGCCAGCAGAAGACTTTTTCTAAAAAAAAAGACCAACTACATATTAATTAATCTAAAATTACTCAGCTTCAGTTGTATGTGCCTTTAACATGATAATAAGGGAATAGTAGGGCCATGGTTTATAAACCAGTGACTTCATCTTTAGAAGAACTGGTGATAGTAATGGGAATTTGCAGGCTAGTTCAGTTTTGCAGAAGTTCCCCATATCATATTTTCATTTACTTAGTGCAGGGTAACTCAAATGTTCATCCTTTTCCTGAGGATAGAATTTACTACATTGTTTATCAATAGTAATACTGGTTATGTCATGTTGGGTAAATGTTCTCTTTGGCAATCATGTATCAATCCAAATAAATAAAAATAAGTTACTTATAACATGCAATTTTTTGATATGCAAAATCTTATAAAGCATGGGGTTAAAGGGAGATTGAGATTTTAAATAGGGATTCTTGATAGTTAAAATATTGAGAAGAGTGGAGTTGAGGATGAATACTGATCATATGATTCCCCTTTAATGAACACTGGAAAAACAAGGCAGGCTTCCAAATACTGTGTTCTATTTGTACTTCAACTAATCACTTGACTTAAATGCCTTTTAACTCTGACCTTCTGGAATTTCCTGTGCAATCTTCCACTATTTAAAATGAAGTCGGCTGATTGATTTCTTTACCATTTCAGAATGTCCTGTATCATTTTAATGACTGGAGTGTGACTTTGTTCTCAGCACAATGAGTAACAAAGCCAAAACACTGGAGAATACGTTTACGTATTCAAGAAAACCTCAGACAAGGAAGAATGCTTTCATAATACAGTACATTAAAATCAGACGAAGCCTCGAAGGGCAGAATCACCGACCCTGAAAAATCAGAGTGTACTACAGAAGAAGACGACAGCGTTTGAGCACATTTGTTGAAGCAGCCTCCTCTCCCTTATGGTACGATAATCCCACACCGTTTTACCATGCTCTCTGGCCTTCCCAGAACATCAATAAAAACTGCATCCCCTGACTTTTCTTGGTGGTTTCTGTTTTCTTCCCTAAACTTTAATTTAATATGATCTTACTTAGGCATTTCTCTTAGAGAGTAGGTCATTATAACGAAGCATTTTTCACCCTCTGGGAAAGAGGTTTCCACATAAGGGCCAGGCCACGTTTTCCCTTTCATCCAGGGATTCTACCATAAGCAGCCTCTCATCTTCACTTTTCCCAAAAATTTTCTTAAAATCAGTGTATTTTTTTGCAGGACCGGATATCACATTACATTCTCTAGTTGGGGGTGGGGGGCGGGATGGGAAGTGAGAACAAAGAACGATAACTCCCGAAGTGATTTTTTAAAATGTAAACTTTCTTATGAAGCATAACATAGACACGTGCCAACATTAAGCGTACAGCTCCATGAAATTTTATGCAGACACTCACTCATGAAACCACAACTAGAACAGGAAATAGGATTTTGCCAGCACTCCTATAAGGCACCTTGCAGTCGCTCCCCTCCCCTACCCCACTCCAGAACATAACAAGCTCATTTTCTGACTTCTATCACTGTAGATTAATTTGCCGCTTTTCCAAACTTCCGTAAATGGAATCGGACAGTACATACTCTTTGGTACCTGGCTCAATATTCTGTTCCTTGAGTGTGCTGAAGCAGTCATTTGTTCAATTTTATTGCTGACTCATATTCTGTGCTATGAAAATGTAACAATTTATTTTTCCATTCTACCACTAATGGGCCTCTAGAGTCTTTCTACTATTTGACCATAATGGAAAATGCTGCAATAAAAATTGTTGTGCACGTCTTTTGAGAGCACATGTACCTATTTCTGTGGATATATACCTAGACGTGTAATATCTGGGTCATAAATAGTCGTGTGCCTATGCAGGCTTGCAGTGCCTCATGAGAGCCTAGTTTTTGCAGTCTAATTGTTAAAAATAGCCATAACTGAAAATTAAGTTAGTAAACTTACCATTAAATAAAATAATTTTTAAACAATAATAAATACTCAAAACTGATTGTTTCCTATTTTACTACATTTGACTAACATCTGTTTGATTAATGAACATTTTATTATTGCTGCTTAATTTATGATTCTACCTAAGATATTTTATTTTTATTTACTTTTTTTTTTTTGAGACAGAGTTTCACTCTGCTTGCCCAGGCTGGAGTGCAGTGGCTCAGTCTAGCCTCACTGCAGCCTCGACCTCCCAGGCTCAGGTGACTCTCCCACTTCAGCCTCCCAAGCAACTGGGACTACAGGCATGTGCTACCATACCCAGCTAACATTTTTGTATTTTTAGTAGAGATGGGGTTTCACCATGTTGCCCAGGCTGGCCTTGAACTCCTGGACTCAAGCAATCTGCCAACCTCGGCATCCTAGAGTGTTGGGATTATAGGCATGAGCCACAACACGCAGCCTGATACTTTAGGATTCCGGCAAATAGAAGATATTAATACAAAACAAAAACAACAAAAGCATTTAATCTAACTTATGGTAGAGACTTCCAATCTCAAGAGTCAGTGCCTCCCTTATTTTAACCAGTCACCATAGAAAACCTGAAAAACAGAGCCTGTAAGAGGCATCTGAGAGGTCTTCAAGAGACTGAAAATACTAACCAGGCCTCGGGAGGACTGAGCAGATCTGCTGTGCTGACCCTCCAGTTTTGACCAACATGTACAAATGGAGTCATGCTTTCATCTCATACCCACAATTCTGCTCGGGACGTAATGTCTTAGTCTGTTTGGGCTGCTATAGCAAAATACCTGAGGTTGGGTAATTTATAAAGAGTAGAGATTTATTCTCTTACAGTTCTGGAATCTGGGAAGTCCAAAATCAAGGTGCCAGTAGATTCCATGTCTGATGAGGGTGCGGTCTCTGCTTCAAAGATGGCAGCTTGATGCTGCATCCTCCCGAGGGAGAAATGCTGGGTCTTCACATGGCAGGAGGAACAGGAGGGCAAAAGGGGGTCAAGTTTTTCCCTCCATCAAGCTTTTTTTTTTTAATGGCATTAATCTGTTCATGAGGATGGAGCTCTTACGATCTAAACACCTCCCAAAACCCCCCACCTCCCAGAACTCTTGCATTGGGGATTAAATTTCCAACACATGAATTTTAGGGGACATGTTGAGCCCATAGCACTTGGTAAGAGAGAGGAAAACAAAAAGCAGTGGGCAGAGGCACAGATGAGATGAGATGATCAGGACCTGTCTGAAAGTTGCATGCTTCCCCACCCCCATTTACTGTGAATCTTTCCTCACTTCCTTCTTTGTCTGGATCATAGAATGATATACGTGCTGCCGAAGCGAGTGGTGGATCGCAGAATGATAAGGGAGAATTTGGTAAATGGGAAGGGTGGTTTTTGTGTCTCCAATGGCCTGATCAGTATAATGATGTGGCTTGAAAAAATAATCCCTTAGGTTACAATCAGTTCAAATTATTGAGTCGGCATTTAATCATTGCAGCACGTATTAGAATCGTGTTCATGACACTTTGAGGTGCATTGATCTTTAATAAGGTAAGAAGAGAACATTGGCTTAATTTTACATATGAAGAAAGTGAACCTTAGAGGGAAAAAGTGACCTTCTTATGAGACCAAGTGAGTTAGTAGAAGAGTTAACTGGATCTAGAAACTCAAATTCCTAACTCCCAGGCACGTCCTCTTTATCACTCCTGGTGGCTTTTTTTATTATTATTAGTGATACTAGTGATACTGGATCCCAGAAGACACTACAGTGAAGTTCGGAGTTTCCCTTATTCTGCTGTTTATTCTGTTGACTGCAATGCAACCAATGGGCCTTAACACTTGGACCCATAATTAATTTTAGATTACAAGAGAGAATTCAACTCACACTAGATTGAGTAGGGGGAGACAAGGAGCGAAATTTATTGGATGGAGTTGAAACGGGAAAAGTTACCTTGTCCCCCTCACAGGGCATGAGACATGGGGAGTGACTCGCTTCTTCAGTGCCCTGCTGCTCACACCTCTTGGGAAGCATACAGACAGGCAGGCTGTGGGGCTCTGACTCCCTCCCGCACTCTGTAGGGGTGAATGTTTGCAGCTTCTGAAGCCCCAGTGGGCATGTGTTACAGGGTGCTCTGAGTTTGCATGTATAGGCGGCTTTTGTTAACCAGCTCAATTAGACGCTCTACCTCCTTGCAAGGACAGAGGGCTTTTTGTATTCCCGGTTCTTGCCTTGGTCTACTGAAGAACTGGATCACTAGCGGGCTTGGAGAATGAGTGCAAAGTTTTGAGTGGAAATAGCTGTCTGCCAATGGGGAACTATGAGGGAGATGGTTTTCCCTTGGAGGTGGGCCACTGGGCACCCCAGCTCTCTGACTGCCCTGGCCAAACTCTGCCTCGTCCCACCAGCCAGTGGCCTGCGGGCATGCCGCAGTCAGTTGGTGTGCTCTTCTGCCTGCCTGCCGCTTGCCTTGTCTTCTGCTGATGTGCTTCTCTCCATGTCTGGCCACCTGCGTCTCTGCCTTGCTAGGGTCTGGAGTTTTCATAGGCCCAGGGTGGGGGCGTGGCAGGCCAGGGTCGTCTTGGGAAATGCAACATTTGGGCAGGAAGGCAGGAGTGCCTGTCCTCACCTAGGTCCGTGGGGGTGGAGCCCTAGCCAGGGACCACGCCCTCCTCTACCCAGCACTTCCCTTTCCCCTTTCCATATTATTCAAAGGGACCATGCTCTTCCCTTCTCAGCACTTCCGTATCAGAGTGCAGGTGGCCTTGGTAATGATTAGCACAGGGGACTCAAATGTCGTCCACTTTCCTCTTCATTTACTGCCTCTGCTTTGCTCAGCGTGATAGCTTGTCTCTTACTTCACCTCTCCTTTCTCCAAGCTGCAGCAGACACAACGGGTGACAGCTCATCAACTCTGAGAGGAAAGGGATCCCCTTTCATGCTCTTTTCTAAAAACAATCTGTAAGGGAAATTTTGATTGTCATGACCTTGGATATAAGGCCACTTCCCTGCAAAAATCAAAACGGCTGGGAAGATACGATATTATGACAGGCCATGTTGAGAAAGGTCTCTGCAGGTAAACAAATAATTGAGGCCAGAAAGGTAAGGTAGCTGTTTTATAAACCACATCAGCAATGGAATGGGGGTGGTAAGGAATAATTCTCTTAAAAACAGGTGGGTACCATGGTCGAGGTGGATACCACTGGGGTTGTGAGAAGCCAGGAAGCCACATCATCTTTTACCAAGAGGATGGCCTCAATATCACACTATTTATTATTTGAGTTACAAGGTTGTAGAGGGAAGCAAATGTCAACTGAACAAAAGCCCTCACGAATGAACTGTCTGTCCACTTAGGGAGATTGTCACTGATTTTCTTTTTAGATTTTGGAAATAAAATTGTTATCACAATGCCGCATAATGGAAAACAATTGACAAGTGAAATCAGCAATCATGCAAAAGTTGACTTGAAAAAACAGATTTCGGGAAACTGCTCAAATCATACACATATCTGTTGATAATGAGGACCTGACAAAGTAACAGCAGTTTACAACTGAGGAAAAGAGAGCCAATGATTGCATGATGTGATTTCAGTATCAGAGAATTAAGAATGGCCCCTGGGAAACAGGTCAAATCCTAGAATGTTTTAGTGAAATAATCCTCTTTACCATCACACTGCATCAATGAGGCACATAAAGGAAAGGTGTGTAAAAGGGCCAACCTACATTTTTAGAAAGACAATGCACCCCAAAACTTTATACATAAACATTTCCTTTATTGTTTGTTCATTTTAAAGAATTAATATATACATGCAATGAAAACCAATATTTTATTAAATATAAGATAAAATAAGCTTATATTTACAATTCCCCTGGTTACTTTTCAAGATTAAATCTTTTTTTTAACTATTTACTATGAAATGTTAGTATTCCTGTAAGGTGATTCTCCACAATTGATGTTTTCTGGTTAGCAATATTCCAAAGTAATCTATCTATAAGTTGCTGTTTCAAAGAGCTCCTCTTACTAAGCTAAATGATTTTGAAATGTGGTTTAGGGCACCTAAAATTGTTTGTTTATTTCTCTCCTTCCTCTAAGTAGTTGTGCCATTTCAGCTTATCCTACAATGGCTTCTTGGAGAGTTCCAGCTGACATATAATCTTTGTACATATCTAGTTGAATGAATTCAATATTATTAATTGCAGTTCAATTTGATTATGATACACTGAATTGCTTCAAAGTGGATAGATATCTTGTATTTGAGCATTGTAGTTTTGGTGATATATTTTTAACTGGTTATTTGACCTCTGGGAAAGGTCAATCTGAAGCTCAATGGCAAGACTAACAACTATTCAGGACAATTGCTTAATATTAAATGATGCAATATACATGATTTCTTGTATATGGAGACAATCAGTGCTAGTTGATATTGACTTTGTTTTCCTATTTACTTATAAGGATGATGCTTACATTGCAGCTAAAACTGCTCAAGAAGCTTTGGCAGACTCAGGTCTCATAGCCATAAATAGTATTAAATGTAAGACAAAAAACTGTGGTGTCTCTCCGAATAACTGACAACACACTACAACATAATGCAAAACAATTGCCAAGTGAAATCACAAATTGTGAAAAATGCCCCGAAAAAAAAGCATTTGGGAGAACTGCTCAAACAATACATAAGTCCATTACTAACATTTTCAACACTTGTTAGGCCAGAATAAAATATGCCATAATTATTGTTTTAGTGGAAGGATCATGGGAGTCAGATCACAAGAATGTATGCCAACGTGCTCTGAAAACCCTTGTCATTACACTGCACCAGCACATTCCAACCTATCATGAGCTTTATTTCCATGAATCCATTTTCCCAGGACCTAATAGTGTCTTGTTAATCATACTTAAAATTTTGAGCTGACAAAACAAATAGAGCAGAAAGAGCTAAAAGCTACCCTAAGTCTTTCTAAGCCAGCCAATTTGATAATAATACTATTCATGCCCTCTCTTTTTAAGTCATTTTTTGAGATAAAATTCACATAACTTATTTTAAGCATTTTAAAGTGCACAGTTCAATGGTTTTAGTATTATATACTCATAATGTTATGCAAGTATCATCACAATCTGATTCCAGACTATTTCCCCTGCCCTCCAAAAGAAACTCTTCTCTTGAACATACTTCTGGAGGGGCAACACAAAGTCCAGCACTAATATTTATACATTTTCAATTTTTTTAATTCCCAAGGGTAATATAAACTTGAATGCACTAGGGAAAAGAGGTTACTTGAAACAGGAATTCAGAGTTTTAAAGCAAATATTAACAGTTCATTACCTGGAGGGGTAGTTGTGGTAGCCTGCCTTTAAGATGGCTTGCAGTGATCTCTGCCTCCTGTCTGTCACTCTCCGGATAATACCCTCCCAGACGATATCAGGATTGGTCTGGATGATCAGTGGAACACTGCAGAAGTGATGCCATGTGACTCCTTAGGTTAGATTATAAAAGATATTGTGGTTCAGCCTTGCTTTCTCCCTCAGTTCACTCCCTCTGTGGGAAGCCAGCTACCATATCATGAAGACACTCAAACAACCTATAGAGTGCCTAATGGAGCAAGGAACTGAGGCTTTCTGCCACCTGTCAGCAAGGAGCTAAAGCTTTCTTCCAACAGCCATGTGAGTGTGCCATCTTGAAAGCAGAACCTACATACCCAGTCAAGTCATCAGATGAGACTGCAGCCGTGGATTATACCTTGATGACAGCCTCATGAGAGTCCTTGAGCCAGAGCCACTCAGTTAAGCTACACCTGGGTTCCTGACCCTTTGAAACTATGTGTAATAAAGGTCTGTGGTTTTCTACTGCTAAATTTTGAGGTAATTTTTTTACAGAGTAATAGACAACATACAGTGGTATTAGGTTAATAATTCAGCAAACATGGGAATATGAGAAGAGGAAGTATCTCTGCCATTTTGGGCAAAGCACTGAGGCTCATAGATACACAGTCAATGTACAATCCCTTTAACTGTCACTAACTTTGAGCAGATCAGATCAGATTGCAGCTTCCACATATAGTCTTTTCCCTGCCACCAGAATGCACTATTGCAACTTCTTTTTTCAATTAATACAGTCCTTGTTCAAATTAAGTCTATATCATACACAAATCAGTAGAGAGACTTACATAGTATAATTTTTGATGGTCCTGTTCTTGGCTAGATGGAAGACTTTAATCCCCTGAAACTTCACTGGGATGGGCTGAGAGAAGGTTGAAATAAGTACTTTCCAGAAGAGCCTTCCAATTTTTCTCTATGTTTATTTGTACTGGATTTTACTGAAAAAGGTAGAACAAACAAACATAAATTTAAATCAAATGCAAACAAAATGGCAAACCAATTTAAAATAAGTAAAGGATCAAGGAAGAGAGAGTTTGAAAATGTTAAACCAGGTATTAAACCCTTCCCCAACCCTACCCTTCAGGAGAGGCACTAGGTTCTCCTTTCCTGGAGAACCGTCTATTCTTTGAGGTGCTCACACCACTCTACAATGTTTTCTTTTGGCACCAAAATATGTTTATACAATTCAAACCTCCAGTCTGTTCAGATCTTGTTAAAACTTGTTGTGCTTTGCTAACTCCTAATATAAAGTCAGTGCATTTTTGTAGTTTAGGCCATAGACTTAAGCTGCATTTCACTAAATGTTTTCCTGATACCATCAATTTCTGTCACTTAGTCAAGTGACGGGAGGTGCAGTAGATTTTCTTTTTGAAGGAATGTGCACCAAAAATTTGCTTAATAATTCTGGGCATCAGGTTCTTGGACTTGCAGTAGCTCTAAGATGGCAATGGTGAGAATAAGCAAGATGCCATCCACTTACAAACATCAACAGTTGGGAGCCAGGGGAACTCATCTCCTGTTTCATCAAATGAAAACATCACACAGATGCATTTTGTAAATTGGGCATGAGGAACAGACAAAAATCCATGAGTTCATTTGTTTTAAAAATAGGCCCCAAAATAATCAGGATGCTTCTCTGGGACTCTTAGAATCAGGTATAAATACAGAGTGATGATGTCTTCAAGACTGGCTCCTCCCTGTTTTCTCCTCCTCTTCTGTTTCCTCCTCCTCTTCTGTTTCCATAAGTGGGTTTTTGTTGCTGCTTGTGGTGGGTTTTTTGTTTTTGTTTTTGAGACAAAGTGGCCCTCTGTTGCCCAGACTGGAGTGCAGTGGCGCCATCTCGGTTCACTGCAACCTCCACCTCTTGGGTTCACGCAATTCTCATGCCTCAGCCTCTGGAGTAACTGGGATTACAGGCATGTGCCACCACGCCTGGCTATTTTTTTGTATTTTTCGCGGGGTTTTGCTGTGTTGGCCAGGCTGGTCAACACTTTCACAACTTAAAAAAATTAACAACAGAAATTTATTTCTCATAGTTCTGGAGCCTGGAAAGTCCAAGATCACACCACCAGCAGATTTGATTTCTGGTGACAGCCCACTTTCTGATTCACAGAAAGTGCCCTCTAGTTGTGTCATCTCATTATGCTTTCAAGATTTATCTATTTTTGATGCATATAGATTATTCTTTTTTCTTAGTAACATATTCCATTATATTATAATATCATAGTTTTATATTTTCTAAACAATACTGGAGTGAACACACTTGTACTTATCTTGGGACAATTCAAACCTCCAGTTTCACTTCTACGATATGTAGAAGTGAAATTGCTCTCTAAAATGGCTGTATCAATTTTTATTCCCACTTCCAGTGTATGAAAATTCTCATTATCTTAACATTTGGGGACCATTAGATTGTTTAATTTTTGTCAATTTGATGAGTATGAAATTGTAACTCGTTTAAATTTGTATTCTCCTAAATTCTAGTAAAGCTAAGCACCATTTCATAGATTTTGGCTCATTCTGCCTCCTTCTTTGATGAATTGCCTGTTCATTTCCTTTGCCCATTTCCCTATAGGGTAGTTATTATTTTCCTCATTAACTTGTAGGACATGTTTATATATTCTGATTATCAATCTTTCATCAGTTATATGCACCACAAATATCTTAATCCAGTCAGCTCCCCTTAAAACATATGTATTTATGGTGAAGCTTGGTTTTCTCAATTGCAAAATGTGGATTATACCATCTCACTCACAGATAAATCAGATAATATGCATGAAAGTTCCTGCTGCAGTGCCATGCAGAGATTAGGTGTTTGGTAAATGTGAGTTCCCTCCCTTTTCCTTTAAAGAACTTCAGGATCTAGCAATATAGCAGTGGCTGAGATAATAGGCTCTAGAGTTGGACTGGGGACTTACTGAATCCCAGCATATGGTGGCTCTGTGGACTTGGACACTGCTTTAAGCTCTCTGAGCCTCAGTTTGTGCATCTGTAAAACAGATATCGTAATATTTGCTTGACAGAGTTACTGTGAGGAATAAAGCACCAGCTAGGTAGTGCTGGCCCAATAGTAAGCCCTCAAAACAGTGGTAGATGCTATTATTGTTGTTATTATTATTAGAGAAAATAAGAGTTGCATTTGAATAACAAATGTGAACTATGTGAAATATGATCATCTGTCTATAAGAGAAGTACTAGCTAACTGCTATGAGAATGCAAAAGGAAAGAAGAGATTATGTCTAGCCAGGAGTTGACAGAGATCCAGGGAAGACTTCACAGAGGAAATGCCATTTAAATGCTGCTTGGAGGAAGTGTGGATGAGACATAAATAATCAGAATTAGAGGAGAAGCAGATTTTTGCAAATGAAACAAATTATGTGGAAGCATTAAGCAAACACACAAACAAGAAAAAAAAATACGCCCTAGTATTCCAGCTGTGTAACAGTGTGGGATGATGGGAGAGGGAGTTGTAGAAAAGCTGGAAAGAGATGATAAGACCAGATCATAAGCGCTCTTAAACGTCTTCAGACTTTGAAATCAGTGATAAAACAGCATTTAATCTTTGAAGATATCAAAGTACATTTTGCATGAAATGGTATCCCATGCCCTAAAAAGAACCCGCTCTAACTATGGAGTGCTTTTGACCATGGAGTAACATTTGTGACACAGAAGTCAGTGATTGAGTTACCCACAGATGGGAGTGGGAAGGCCTGGGGACTCTGCATATGACTGATGTAATGGAGTCCAGGAGGTGTTTTAGGGTAAACACCAGGGGCTATGTCACTGGCACTACGGAATCCAGCTCGAAGCTGCTTAATTATCTGGTTAATCGAGGGATTATCCTGTACCAGCTAGATGGTTTTTTTCCCCCTTCAGAAGGAATGATATATGATCCTAAATATGATACAGAAAAGGCAAGGGAGTCCACAGGGTTCTCTCGTAGGCATTTTTTAATGGATCCATAAAATTAGATAATAGCTTCAGCCGCACTTTAAAAACTTCAATGAAATATATTCCCTTCAAAAAGTTTTGTTTTGGACAGAATGTGCCTCATTTATTTTCCACCTAAAGCATAGCTACTCCTCTTTGTAGCAGGTAATTTGGCTATGCCAAAATTATTCCATTTGTCTTTATTTCTTGTGTTTTATCTGGGCTTTTTTCTTTGCAGTGTGCTATCACATGATCATTAATTTAAAAGACGCTTTCATCCTGTCTTACAATTTTTTTGTCAACAAAACATTCCAAATCCTATTTATTTACTCATAAGAGAACTGAATTTCAAAACATAACTGGATATGATTACAGGATCTATGCTTTGAAATTATGAGTCTGAGGTTAGAACTATTCCTCTTTTCCAAGCATGCTCTAGGCTTCAGAATGATAAAATGTTTTTTCTCAAACAGAAAAGGATGAGCAATTCTGTTAGCAAAACCAGAAATGAATCATGTCACAAGAGAGTTTTATCTCCTAACCTCCATTTTGTCCCACTTATTAAAAAAAAAAAAAAGACATTTCTGAAGGAAAAAATGGAAAGCTTTCACTGTAAAGTTACCATATTGCTGTCCTTGGTCCAAAAGGATTCTGCTGGTGTTTACTTGCCAGTGGGCCCAGATAAAGCTGAAATGACCTTTGTGAGACCAGCACTTTTCCCTCATTTTCCATCAGGTGTTTTGTAGCACTTGGCAAGAAGTAAGTAAATAGCAGGTGTGTTCACCGTTGTTTATTATTTCTGAGAACGAAGTCTTAAGTTTTTCAGTCTTTCTGCTTATCTTAATCTAATTGGTAGAGAGCATGAGAAGCTTTTTGAAACAAGGTTGTCATAATATAATTTTCTTTATCTGGGACTTTAAAAACAAAGTAAGTAATTCATCAGAATATTCCTTCTTTGTTTAACCCAGAAAATAAAGAAAAATATGTATGAGATTTGTGAGTTGATAGCTATTTTTTAAGACAATTTGTTGGGGGCAGTTTTAGGCTTATAGCAAAACAGAGGGAAAGGTACAGAGATAAACTGTAGACTCCCAGCCCTAGGACCCACATAACCTCTCCTTGCATTGGCATCCCCCACAAGAGTAGTACAATTGTTACAACTGATGAATCTACATTGACCCAGCATTATCACCTGAAGTCCATAGTTTACATTATGGTTCACCGTTGGTAGTGTTCGTTCTATGGATTGTGACATGTATCTGTCATTATAGTATCCTACAGAGTAGTTTTACTGTCCTAAAAATGTGCTCAGCCTGTTCATCCCTCCCTCCCGCCTTGCCCTGGTAACCACACCGCTGATCTTTTTCCTGTCTCTAGTTTTGCCTTGTCCAGAATGTCATGTAGTCGGAATTATACAGTACACAGCCTTTACAGATTGGTTGATTTTACTTAGTAATAGGCATGCAAGTTTCCTCCATCTCTTTTCATGGCTTGATCACTCATTTCTTTTTAGCACTGAATAATATTCAATTGTCTGGATGTATCACAGTTTATGTATCCATTCACCCACTGAAGGACATTTTGCCTGCTTCCTCATTTTGGTAATTAGGAATAAAGCTGCTATAAATATCTGTGTGCAGGTTTTGTGTGAACACAACTTTTCAACTCCTTAGGGTAAATACCAAGGTGCATAATTGCGGGATCATATGATGAGTATGTTTAGTTTTGTAAGAAGTCTCCAAATTGTCTTCCAAAGGGTCTGAACCATGTTGCATTCTCACCAGCAAAGAGACTTCTTGGTGCTCCACTTCCTCACCAGCATTTGGTGTTGTCAGTGTTCCCGATTTGGGCCATTCTAATAGGTTGTGTGTGTTTTAAATGGGTCTTGGAGAAGTTACTTGACTTTTTTTTGACAAAGTCTTGCTCTTGTCGCCCAGGCTGGAGTGCAATGGCGCAATCTGGGCTCACCACAACCTCTGCCTCCTGGGTTCAAGCAATTGTCCTGCCTCAGCCTCCCAAGTAGCTGGAATTACAGGTATGCACCACCACATCCAGCTAATTTTTGTATTTTTAGTAGAGACAGGGTTTCACTATGTTGGCCCAGCTGGTCTCGAACTCCTTACCTCAGGTGATCCACCTCCCAAAGTGCTGGGATTACAGGCGTGAGCCAAGACTCCCGGCCCTTGAGTTTTAATAGTACATATATGGTGGTGATTCTAATGAGAGACACAAGTCTTGTGGGACTTTAAAACCTATATTTGTCATCTGTCAAATCATGATTCACAAATTACACTTAAAATGCTATTTTTCCTCAAGAGAGCTTTTATTTTTGTTAGTTGAGGCAATTTTTTAATATTTCTATCAATTTATTGTAATTTCCCCTAAGTAACTACTCCAGATGGCACGTTAGAGACTAGAACACAGGGAATTAAATGTTTTAGGATCTACTGCCATCTCTAATAATACTTTCTTCAAGATAACGTGGCCAACCTTTTTCTTCTTAATACCATCTAATTAACCAACATGAGAGCTGCCAGTCAGAAAATTCCCATTGTCTCTTCCGAATTAGGAATCTTTTTATACAGACTTTGGCACATGCAAAGCTTGGGCAGACACACAGCTCTCACTAGTGAGTCATTTGGCCTTGTTGGTAAATAAAATATAGATATACTTCTAATCAGTTTCATTTAAAATTAAACACAAATTATGTTCCAAGCACATTGAAAACACTGTTTTGGCAGGGCAGCTTCCCAGGCTGAATCACTGATGTTTTATGATACAGTTCCAGGTGGTGCACTTTCCTCTCCTGTTTTGCCTTGTGATTTGTTTTCTTCCTTTAATCCAAGTCTTTAAAATTCACTTGAGCTCAAGGCTCTTTTAAAAATGTAAGTCTAGACCGGGCGCAGTGGCTCACACCTGTAATCCCCATAATTCAGGAGGCCGAGGCCGGTGGATTGCTTGAGTCCAGGAGTTTGAGACCAGCCTGGCCACGTGGTGAAACCCCATCTCTATAAAAAATTTTTTTTTAAATAAGCTGGGTATGGTGGCATGTGCTGGCAGTCCCAGATACTCAGGAGGCTAGGGTGGGAGGATCGTTTGAGCCTGGGAGGCGGAGGTTGTAATGAGCCAGACTCTACCACTTCACTCCAGCCTGGGAGACAGAATAAGACCCTCCCCAAAAAATAAATAAATAAAATAAAAATAAATGCATAAACAAAAAAGAATAAAAACCTAAGTCTCTACTCAGATGTGGTATATAGGCTTTTCCCTGTTGTCATCTTCTGGGACACATGGGAATGAGAAATGGCTGATATCGCTGTCCTACCATGGCCAGAGTAGCAGAAAGTCTTAGATTAGCACATGCAAAACTTCCCTAACACTTTCTCTTGTTTTCATGAAATTCAAGGCTCTTAACATCAGGTCCTTAAAAATGGAAAAGAGGTGAATTCACTGGGTATGATCAATAAAGAAGTAAATGGAAGTCACTGGCCCTCCCTGGTCTCCTATCCTTGGCCACTAGTGGCATTCTCACAGTTGGCTGAGAGATCCAGGGACAGATGGGATGTTAATAACCATTCCTGGAACATGACTTGGCTGTGTTCAGGCCCTGTTTTCAGTTTCTTGGCTGTTTATTTTGGTGGAAGTCATTGGGTCTGAGTTGCACCTAAAAGTGTCGTGGGAACAAGTCAGGTACGAACAGCTTTAGTCTTCATAGACTGTGAGACCTTTCTTAGATGTACCTTTCCCCCACTCTCTGGGGGATGAAGCAAAACTTAAATCTTTATTGTGGTTTAAACAGCCCAACCTAAGAAAATCTAATAATACTTTTGGATTTAAAAAATTTAACTTAGATAAAAATTGTAAGAGAACGAAGAAATAAGCTAAGAGCAAAGGGGTCTCTCCAAACACCCCCTCTCTCCCTGCCTGCTCTCGAAGATAGTGCAGTTGGCATAGAAATCGCTGAGAGGAGACCACGCAGCCTTTTGGGTTTGGGGTAAAGAGGGACCCTGATCTCGTGCTGGATTTGGGGTGTGATCTGGCAACATCTGCTGGCCTCCAGGTTGATGTTCCTTGATCGACGGCTTCCTACCCTGCTGTTTTGGGCTCATGAAAGCATGAGCCATTTTTCTGGGCAACGCTCTGGGCTGCGCCAGCCACCTCCACAAGCTGACCAGGAGTCTCCTCCTGTCTCACTGCCTGTTGACTCCTGAACTTGCCTTCTCTTCCATGTGGTCACCTGGCCAGATGATGTATCCTCAGCCTTTGCTGTGGATCACTTTGCCTTATCTGAGCAGCCCTGCAGGCCCTGGACTCGGTGTCCTTACCTTGTAGAAAGGAAGAGGAGCTGAGGAGCTCAACTCCAGGCACTTCTCTGCCTGACCATGATGGACGATGTTCTGTTTGGTATGAGGCTGCTTGGGAGGTATCCTCCTTCCTGGGACCTCAATAAGCAACAAGACAAGAGTGCATGAACTCAGCATGTACAATACACTTTGCAGGGAAGAATTGGGCTTGGCTCTCCTTCCATCTAATTCTCCCTTCTCACCCTCTATTCCTTTACATTTTTGTTTCAGGACTGGAAAAGGGCAAGTTGCTTTCCTCTTCTTTCTGCTGTTCGTGCCTTACATAAAACTCTACAGTTTAACCTACAATGCTAACGAAAAAAAAAAATGAATTCAGCTAATCTTTTTTGAGGGCAGAAGCCTCGCCCAATAGGCTTTTGTTTTGCTCCATTTAAAAGTACACTTCTTATGTTTTTAAACTTCTAAATGTTTTGCCTTTTTCAACTAAACCATAGGGGTTTAATTTTTTTAATTTTTCAATTGTTATTTAAGATTCATGGGGTACATGTGCAGGTTTGTTACCTGGGTATATTGTATGATGCTGAGGTTTGGGGTGAGATTCATCCTGTCACTCAGGTACTGAGTATAGTACCCAACGGGTAGTTTTTTAACCCTGCCTCCTTTAATCATCCCCAGTGTGTATTGTTGCCATCTTTATGTCCATAAGGACCCAACGCTTAGCTTGCACTTACTTTATTTATTTATTTTTTGAGACCGAGTATCACTCTGTTGCCTGTTGCCAGGAGGGAGTGCAGTGGTGTGATCTCTGCTCACTGCAACCTCCACCTCCTGGGTTCAAGTGATTCTCATGTCTCAGCCTCCTGAGTAGCTGGGACTACAGGCATGTGCCACCACACCTGGCTAATTTGTTTTTTGTACTTTTAGAAGAGACGGGGTTTCACCATGTTGGCCAGGCTGGTCTCGAACTCCTGACCTCAGGTGATCTGCCCACCTCAGCCTCCCAAAGTGCTGGGATTACAAGCGTGAGCTCCCACTTATAAGTGAGAACATGCAGTATTTGGTTTTCTGTGTTGATTCATTCCCTTAGGATAATGGCTTCCACCTGCATCCATGCTGGTGCAAAGGACATGATTTCATTCCTTTTAAGGCTGCATAGTATTCCACGGTGTATATGTACCACATTTTCTTTGTCCAGTCCACCGTTGATGGACACCTGGGTTGATTCCATATCTTTGCTATTGTGAATAGTGCTGTGATGAACATGGTAGTGCCTGTATCTTTTTGATAGAACACAAATCATAGTTTCAATGACAGAAATTGAATATTAGCTGTTGCACTGTTGTTTCTTAATTTTGTTTTGCGTTCCTTTTATAGAAATCATCCCCCTTTCTCAGGCTGATGTGTGCCTTGAATGTACTAGAATCAAGGCCATGTACTTGGAAAGCGGGAAGTAAAAAAGAAAAAAAGCACATACAAAATGGTCAAATTATGTTCCCCATTATATTGATGTTGTCCCAAATCCTCACAGAAATTTAGCAAAATGCGTATAAATTTTGACAGTATTCTACAGATAAGTTAACGAAGCTTCACTTCAACAGATTTCGAACTATATCTGACTGCCTCCAAAACCCACCTTCTTTCCTGCATACAATGCTGCCTCTGGTGAAAAGCTGAAAGTTGAGATGGGGATCAAGGGCTGAGAGTGGAGGCCAGAAAGGCACCATGTCAATGGCATCCTCCACACCATTTAAATTGCCTACATATTCTTGAAAGTCAGAGAAAAGAGGAGAGACAAATGCAGCGTGCCATCATCATCGTGCCAGGGTGACCCAAATCATTCAAGAAAATACTGGGCAGAGAACTGCTCAATACAGGAGCCATTCAGTGATAAGAGAAGATATGGCACATCTGAAGGCTTGTTTAAGAACAAAAACAAAATCGGCAGACGACTTTGCTAAAATGGAGGAGGCTTTGAGGCACATTCTATGAATTCTTGATATTATCTGGGATGCTGATAAATCATTCCACAATCTTGGGAAGGGAGGAAGAGCAGGTTCTGTCTTTTTGGCTTCAGAATCCCATGCTGTCTACCAAGCCTCCAATACTTCAACAAATGTCATAGGATTGGAGCTCAGAGAATTGAAAGCTTCATGGGTTATCATATTGATAACTCAGTAAGTCAAGCCTGCTGCATTGAAACTTGTAAATACCTTGACGTGTTTTCAGTTGCAGTATTCCCTCCATGTAAATTTCACTTTCCCTGTTATTTTCATCTGATTTTATAACGGTGACAAATAGACAAGCCTTCTGGAAGATGAATGAACTCTCACTCTTGGGCATTGGGAGGAGGAAGTGCATGCATGGATAATGTCCCGAATGGTGTTAGAACTTCAGGAGAGTGGGAAGAATGTCTCCAGAGACAGGTGGCCTGATGTGGGAGTGCTGGAGCCCAGGATGGGGGAGAAGGCATCTGTGCAGGAGGTTAGCCACCTGGGGAGTCAGAGCTCTAAGAAACTCCAGGGGAGTCCATGGAGGGAGGCAGAGATGGTAGCCACATCCTGGAGTATGGGAGCCCAAGTGTGACGAGGAACGACACATTCTTATGGGGGAGTGGGTGGTGGCAGGAATCACAGTGTTGACACACTAGGGAATTGATAAAACAAGTAAATAGACTGAGGGTAACAGGAGACAGATTTCTTACTGTTAGGGAGGGGGAGAAAAGTAAATGAACCCAGTGCTCGTGGATTGGAATGAGCAGTATAAGTGTGAACACTTGGAAAATTTTTTTTTTTTAGGTGGAGTTTCGCTCTTTCACCCAGGCTGGAGTGCAGTGGCATGATCTTGGCTTATTGCAACCTCCGTCTTCCAGTTTCAAGCGATTCTCCTGCCTCAGCCTCCCGAGTAGCTGGGATTACAGGCGCCCGCCACCACGCCTGGCTAATTTTTGTATTTTTAGTAGAGATGGGGTTACACCATGTTGGTCAGGCTGGTCTCAAACTCCTGACCTCGTGATCTGCCCACCTTGGTCTTCCAAAGTGCTGGGATTACAGGCGTGAGCCACACGTGGATTTTTAATATACACAGAGGTAGATAAAGACATATAAATAGATCTACATATATTCCTGGCTCTGACCACTGCCAGGGTCTGGGTGAAGTGATGCTCCAAAAATAGTGAACAAGACTCCTAGTGAAGCGGCCTCATTGTCTGGGGTGATGCCCAGAGTTCTTGGTCTTACAGCCAAGGAAATCAAGGACAGGGACAGGCCAAGGGTGAGGCTTAGAGCAGAAATTTAATAGGAGAAATAAAGAGAGCAGCCCTCCACTACAGAGAGGGGTCCCGGAAAAAGGGCTGCCGTGCTGAAGTGAAATGCAGGGGTGTTTATAGATGACTTGGTGGGGAGGTGGTATCTGATCTAAATAGGGCACAGAAACCTGTTAGAACCAGGTGTGCCATCTGCATAGGGCATGAATCTCTGACAGCCTTCATCCTAACCTTTTATTATGCAGGCGGGTACTCAGCCTGAGCTACTCCATGTTGCCTGTTTCTTTCTTACTGTGCACGTGCTAAAAAAAGGAGAAGCCCCCATGGTGGACGTGCCTGGCCCCAGGTAGCCCTTTCTATCTGTGCAGCTGCTGGCATCCTCCCAGTGCAAGTTTCCAGCTTCCTTATTTATGTTTGCAGCCTGATCTTCCAGGCTGCTCTTTGTCAGAAAATAAGTGATTTCTTAGGCTGCCTTTTGTTAAAAGGAAGTTCTGCCAAAGACTCTTTCCCCTCACTATCTGCCTAAATAGCTTCCTTCCCCCTTCTGTATCACTAGCACCCAGATCTGGTCATCTCAATACCATTGTCCACCAAAAAAGAACGAGTTTCCTGATAAAACTGGTTTATTTCAGGGTTTGGATAGAGAAAGTGTAAGATGAGACAGAAACTTCTTGTGTCAGAAACTAAAAAGTGCTCAGAGATGCCGGGCGTGGTGGCTCATGTCTATAATCCCAGCTTTTTGGGAGGCAGAGGTGGGTGGATTACCTAAGGTCAGGAGCTCGAGATCAGCCTGGCCAACATGGTGAAACCATCTCTACTAAAAATACAAAAATTAGCCAGGAGTAGTGGGGGAGGTCCCTGTAATCCCAGCTACTCAGGAGGCTGAGGCAGGAGAATCGCTTGAATTCGGGAGGTAGAGGTTGCAGTGAGCTGAGATCACACCACTGCACTCCAGCCTGGGCAACAGTGAGACTCCATCTCAGAAAACAAAATACAGCAAAGAAAGGAAAGTGCTCAGGGAATGATGAGGACATGTCAAAGGGACTGAGGACCAACTTGAGGGGGCTCCTACTGGCCAAATCTGGGACAATTTGCATTTCAAAATAAATAATAATATTAGTGAATTATAACCTACTAAATAAAATAGAAAACTATGAATCCATACTGCTATTAATAATTTGTAAATGTGATAAGCAAGGGGATATTTATTCTCAAAGTACCCCTCCACAAAACGCTTATTATAAAAGAATAACTTTATCTTGGGAAGTCTGGCAGACACTAGATTTAGTCAAATGACCAGAGCAAATATTCCCAGTAAGAGGACATGTTAAAATAGTGTCCTACCAATAGTGGATGATAAGAAGACCACAGCTTCACTTCTGTAACGCTCCTGCCAAAGACACTAGCCTAAATCCAATCATGAGGAAACCACAGACAATCTCACATTGAGGCACACTATACCAACTAAACTTCTTGTTATCTTCTCAAGTGCCAAGGTCATAAAAGTCAAGAAAGTCAAAGAGACAGTTCTAGAGTGAAGTAGGACGAGCAGACCTACAATTAAATCCATCTTATGGTTCTAAAGTGGATCCATTAGCTATAAAGGACATTATTGGGACAACTCGTGAGACAGGGTCTGAGGATTAGATAGCAATTATGTATCCACGTTAATTCTCTGATTTTTGTTGGTTGAATTGTGGTTTTGTAGGAAATGTGCACTAAAGTATTCTGCGGTTCTGAGGTAGGATGCATGACTCAACTTCAAAGGTGGGGCTCAGACACCAGACCAGATTGAGGACTAGGTAAAACAGGATTTGGGCGGGCGGGGAGAAGCTTTCCAATCAGACACACCCACCAGTGTGCCATGTCAATTTACCATTGCCATGGCAACACCCCAGCGCTACCACTCCTTTCCATGGCAATGGCCCAATGGCCCAAAAGTTATTACTCTTTCCCTAAAAATTTCTGCATAAACCATAATTTCTGCATAATCCCTTAATCGGCATGCAATTACAAGTGAGTATAAATATGACTGCAAAACTGCCCTGAGCTGCTACTCTCTCCTAGGGGGTTGCCCTGCTCTGCAGGAGCAGTCACGGAGCTGTAACACCACCAGAGGGGGAACACTGACGCTTCAATTAAGCTGTTTCTTCTACTTCCGGTTTGCCTGTGAATTCTTTCCTGGGCAAAGCCAAGAACCCTTGTGGGCTGAGCCTCACTGTGGGGCTCACCTGCCTTGCATCAGTTCTGGGATATCAAAGTTGGTAACTTACATTCCATGATTCAACAAAAGAAGTTCTTCATGCTGTACTGATAATTTTTCTGTGAAAACAATATTTAATAATGTATTAAATAAATATGCAAATCAATTAAAATGAAAGATATTTAACGTAAACTCTGTACACAGACACTGGCATGCTTATGTTTATAGGTATCACAGATGATAAGACAAAGGTGTCCAACCACAGGAGACTCATTTGAAGCAGAAAAATGTAGCTAGTGTGAAGCTCTTGGTCAAGTGGCTCTGAATTATTACCACTATTATTATCCTTATTACTTTTAAATTAAAGTACCTATAAATGCCTCCAAGCTAAGAGTTTTATAGATGCATTAGAAATATGCAATTGGTAATTAATGTGAGACTCACACTATGTATATGATGGTTTATAAGTCATATAAATATATATGCTATATATATTTATGGAATAAATATAAATATATTTATTCTATATAAATATATGGAAAAGCAATGAATATATGGAAAAGTCATAAGAATAGTTCAAAGAACTTCCACATACCTCGAAACTTCACCTAGATTCAACATTCATTAACATTTTCTGTTTGATTTTTCACCCTATCCCTCTCTGTATACCTTTTTTCTGAAACTATTTGATATTAAGTTGCAGACATCATGCCCCTTTCCATTTAAATACTTCTACCGCTGTCTCCTAAGAATAAGAATATTCTTTTCTACGACCACAGTACAAGGATCAAATTCAGGAAATGCAACATTGATATAATACTTTATCTGATATATAGTCCATATTTAAATTTTCTCAATTATCACAATAATTTTTATAGCAATTTTTTCACACTTCAGGATCCAATCCAGGGTCGTACCTCACATTTCCTTGCCATGTCTCCTTAACCTGGTACTGCAACTGTTCCTCAGACTTTCTTTGTCTTTCGTGATATTGACAGTTGTTTTACAAAATGTCCTTCCACTTGAGGATCATGTTTTCCCTAATTATTTTCTTTCATCTTTTCCCCTTTTATTGCCAGTTTTCCTTTATGTTATAGACACCTCTTCTTTTTCTACCTTCTTGAGTTCAACTAAATTCCAGAAACAGACACCTGTTTTGATGGATGGATTGTTTATAAGTTTCTTCTAAATATTTTTTTGTTTTTATTTACTTTGATGGATGCCCTATGGATCAATAGCTAAATAATTTCAATAATGTGGAATTATATAAAGATAACAAGTCAACTTATTGAGAAGAACGAATTCACAGTTTGAAATTAACTATTATTGACAAATCTATGCATCAAAACACAAATCACAGACATATAAACCGTCATATACATAGTGTGAGTCTCACATTAATTACCAATTGCATCTTTCTAAAGCATCTATAAAACTCTTAGCTTGGAGGCATGGGGGTGTTGTCTCTGTTCTAAGTGGGTCTTCTTTCACTGCGTTGGTTCAAAGTTGAGCTTTCTCACTGATTCCTTCCCTAATAATAGAGCACTGTGGTGTTATAATGAGACTTGTGAGTACATGAAGTGAGAAAGTAGAGAACTAATTGTGAGAGAAAGATGTAACAACCTGAAAGCAAGGGGTTATTAAGAGCACTTAGTGTCAGGGAAGGTGGGGTGAGATGGCAGAGAAACATGGGCTATGCTAAACATAGAAAGAAATCTAAATGAAACACATAGGAACATAAAGTGCTTATTATGTAACAAAACATTCACCTCATGGAACAATAATCTAACCTCAAAATTTTCGGTTACATTATTTTTGTCCCTGCCCATATGGGTAACTGTTAGCTTATAAACTGTGAACATGGTAATGTATGATTTTTCTTTTCCTTCCTTCCTTCCTTCTTTCCCTCTTGCTTTTTTTTTTTTTTTTTTTTTGAGGCAGAGTCTCGATCTGTCACCCAGGCTGGAGTTCAGTGGCATGATCTGGGCTCACTGCAACCTCTGCCTCCCAAATTCAAGTATTCTCTTGCTTCAGCCTCCCAGGTAGCTGAGACTACAGGCATACACCACCACGCCCGGCTAACTTTTGTATTTTTAGTAGAGATGGGGTTTCCTCATGTTGGCCAGGCTGGTCTCGAACTCCTGACCTCAGGTGATACACCCGCCTTGGCCTCCCAAAATGTTAGGATTACAGGCGTAAGCCATAGCGCCCAGCCGGTAGTTTAATAATGTTAGAAATATGTGTCCAGTTGGAAGACTGTTGCCCAACTCATATGCATATTTTTGCACTATTTTAATAAATCATGTTATGTAAAAGCTAAGCAATATTAATACACTTAACCTTCTACCAAAACAAACCAAAAAAAAGAAATTTTGTGCTTAGACAAGCATTTAGTGAATTAACATTACTTCTAAATTTTTAAAAGTACTGGCCTAAGAAAATGATGTTTTGTTTTAATATGTTTCAGATGCAAAATATTAATTGACACTAGCTAGGCCTGCTTCACTTTTGTTGCTGGGCACGTGCTGCCCCCTGGTGTTCTCTGAGTGCCTTCCTCTTTCAGGCAAATGAGTTTGGTATTTCCTGCTGCCTGTTGGACATTGCATTGGAAAGTATCTCAGAACTGCAACCTCTTTAAGTCTGACTGTAGACTCCCTATCTTCTCATCCCTAACTTTTCTATTCCTGCTACTATTGCAAGCACTTGGCACAACACCTGACATACACAGTCTCTGACTTATCAATAACAATCAGTTGGTTGAATGAAGAATGCTTGCTACCCAAACAAGAAGGCCTGAAGTCATTTTTAATATTCTTTACACCTCACCAAATAGCCACAGTTCTTTACTTCCTCATTATGAATCTTTATCTCGTCCTGTCTTGACTAGTTTTCATTTAAGTGTATTTCCTCCCAGCTGAAATCTTTCCTCTGCACCCTTTCAGTATCTTCCCTTTCTTGAATGCCTATAGCCCTTGCTTTCTGTCCCAGAGATAAATAGGGTGGTCAAGTGGATAAGGCTTTAGAGTCAGTATATATGGGTCTGGATTCCAGCTTTGTCATTTACCAACTAGATGAATTTGGTACACTAATTTTTTTAAGAGGGGAGAGGAGACAGGAGAGTATAACACCCACCTCCCATGTTTAACCCTTCATGCACATACTCAGAAAGCTCCCCAAATACTGTGGGACATGTTGGCCTTTGCATGTCATGAGGAATAGAGGCTCATGATATTTTATGTCAATATTAAAGGAAACAGACCTACAGCAAGCTGAAGGACTTGGACACACCTGGGTTACATTAGAAAAGCGCTTCAGGCCAGAGGCGGTGGCTCATGCCTGTAATCCCAGCACTTTGAGAGGCCGAGGCAGGTGGATCACCTGAGGTCAGGAGTTCAAGACCAGCCTGGCCAACATGATGAAACCCAGTATCTACTAAAAATACAAAAGTTAGCCGAGTGTGGTGATGTGTACCTGTAATCTCAGCTACTCAGGAGGCTGAGGCAGGACAATCGCTTGAATCCAGGAGGCGGAGTTTGCAGTGAGTTGAGACCATGCCATTGTACTCCAGCCTGGGCAACAGAGTGAGACTCTATCTTCAAAAGGAAAAAAGAAAGAAAGAAAGAAAAGCACTTCATATGAT
The DNA here is from genome assembly GCF_000001405.40 of Homo sapiens. Lineage (NCBI taxonomy): Eukaryota > Metazoa > Chordata > Mammalia > Primates > Hominidae > Homo > Homo sapiens. The sequence goes on from NW_018654717.1 coordinate 6,037,328, forward strand.
GCCTAGGACAAAGTAAGCACTGAAGAGTCATCAAAATAATAACCAGGTCACTATCAAGCTATTACCACTGCCAGTTAGTCAAGAGTGGATCACGTATGTAGATGTTCTGTGATATCTCTTAAAGTGTTGAAATAGATTTCTGATTCTCTCTAGTGCATGCTACTGGTATTTTACCTTCACATGTATTTCTGTCTAATACAGAGTAAACTCTGTGAGATCAGGGGCCACAGCTAGTTCTTCTGTATATGTCTCAAAGCTCCTAGTATGGTATCTTATACATCGTAAACTCTTAAAACAGTTTTTGATTGAGCTGTGCTGCTATGTGGTGCTGACTCTTCATTTATTCTTTTAGTTGATGAACAGGGATAACTGGATGATTTAGCCTTTAGACATTCTCCAGCTCTCAACCTCCTCCTCTCACCAAACTTTTAAAGGGGTGTTTCCCTCTTTAAAGAGAAACAGATGATTTTAGATTAAATTCCTTGTCATTCTTTAAAATGCAGACTGTGCCTGGGATTTTAAATGATCTCTCTTATGACTGCCTCCCTGAAGACACAGTAGGCCCAAAGTGAAAACTTTAGTCCAACAGGGCTCTAGGTTGGAGCCCATCCAATGAAGACTGAGCAAAAGGACCTCATCCTACAAGTGGCTCAAGGCAGGGCAGCGATCCTGTAACCTGGGCTCCAGGCTGTCCTGCTAGTGTTAGGCCTTTTGCACTTATTTCTGTGGATGTGGCTGAAATGGCCTCTATTCAATGACTTCTTTTTTGAAATCTGTGCTCAGTGAGAAGATGATTCTTTTAAAAACTAATAATAATTTTTTAAAGAATTTTTTTGAGATGGGGTTTTCACTATGTTGCCGAGACTGATCTCCAATTCCTGGACTCAAGAGAGTCTCCTGCCTCAGCCTCCCTAGTAGTTAGGATTAGAAAATGGTTCTTTGATTTACAGATGGAATCATCACGTGTGACACTGCTTATTTATTTGCCAGCCCTCTCCAAACTTTTGTTGCCAAAGAATGATCACTCGGGGGCCAGAAGCTAGGGAAGGGATGGAGCAAGAAGGTCAGGGTATCTTACCTCTCACCTCTGGAATATCCAAGGGTCACTATTCAACAAAACCTTTCAAGCTACATTTATTTTCTTATAATTGAACAAAAAATTTCATTAAAAAGAGTAATGCTATAAATAAGACTGTGGGAGAACAATTTACCTTATTCAAGTACAGAGAAATATAAGAAAAAATAAAAGAAAAAAACAAGGTTTGTTTTTTGTTACATACATACACGATAAAAGTAAAAAAGAAAAATACATGGAAATGATACGCTCCAACATCAGTAGCATGGTTACCTCTGGGAGGGATGGAATGGAAAAACATGGATTGTTCTCTGACTCTATTTGTCATGTTTTATTTCTCAAAAACAAAATGAATCTGGATAAAACATGAGGCCTTGTTTCCATAACGTTAGTGAAACCAAGAGGGCCTGTTGAGAAGGACAGGTGTCTATGCCCAGTTGTATTCGATCATGGGCCAAGTTGTTGTGAGAATTGCCTATGGCATTGTTTTGGCTTATAAATTTATAAAAATTATGTTTGTACATATCCATTAGCAATTTGTCTTTTCTCCTTCCTATCTTACCTTGAGGTGTATCATGTTGATACTTGATTTGTAATTTGTTTAAGTGAATCTTGCATGACACTCCACCTTAAGAATTATGTCTGTTTCTGTTTTATTATTATTATGACAAATAGTGCTGTGATGAACATTTTTGATCATGCTTCTGGGGGAAGATTTCTCAACCTCAGCACTATTGACATTTTGGACTAATTTTTTTTTTTCTTTCAGAAACGATCTCACTCTGCTGCCCAGGCTGGAATGCAGTGGCGTGATCACAACTCACTGCAGCCTCAATCTCCTGGGCTCAGCTCATCCTCCCACCTTGGCCTCCCACGTAGCTGGGACTACAGGTATGTGCCATGATGCCTGGCTAATTTTTTTGTAGATTTGGGGTTTCACCATGTTTTCCAGGCTGGTATTGAACTCCTGGCCTCAAGTGATCCTTCTGCCTTGGCCTCCCAAAGCACTGGGATTACAGGCATGAGCCACTGAGCCTGGCCTGGACTAGATAATTCTCTCTTGTGGGTCTGTCTTGTGCATAGTAGGGTGTTTGGCAACATCCTTGGCCTCTGCCCACTAGATGTGAGTAACATCCTCCACCCCCACAGAGTGATAGTTAAAAACGTCACCATACATTGCCAAATGTTTTCTAGGGGGTAAAATTCACCCCTCTGAGAACCACTGCTCTAGAGTATACACTCAGGAGTGAAATTACTGAAATTCCCAGTGTGTAATCTTCAGTTTATCAGATACTGCCAAGCTATCCCCCAAAGTGGTACCAGTTCAAACTTCTAACGAGTACTAAGGGTTCCTATTCCTAAACATCATTGGCATGACATGTGAACTTACGCGTTACTTTTGGTGACTCTAATTTCCTTACTTACTAGTTTAATTGCTGATTTCTAGTGAAGTTGAATATTTCACGTTTACTAACTATTTGGGTTTCCTTCTCTGAATTTCTACTCATATATTTCGTCCGTGTTTATGTTGTTATTTGACTTTTTCTTACTTATTAGTAGGACTTTAAAAAAACTGCTGAATACAAACATAAATACATATTTTTGTTTAAAAACATATGTGTTGAGAATGTACATGGTCCTGAAACAATTGTAGGGGGCCAGGAATAGAGCAGTAAACCAAACAGACAAATATCTCTACCCTCATGGAGTTCATGTTCTGGTAGGGAGAAAGAAACAATAAATAAAAAAGTAAACTGTATAGCATAGGAAAAAAATAATGCAAGAGGCTGGGTGTGGTGGCTCATGCCTGTAATCCCAGCACTTTGGGAGGCCAAACCGGGCAGATCACAAGGTCAAGAGATCGAGACCATCCAGGCCAACATGGTGAAACTCCCTCTCTACTAAAAATACAAAAATTAGCTGGGCATGGTGACACAAGTCTGTAGTCCCAGCTACTCAGGAGGCTGAGGCAGGAGAATCACTTGAACTCCGGGAGGTGGAGGTTGCAGTGAACTGAGATCACACCACTGCACTTCAGCCTGGCGACAGGGCGAGACTTCGTCTCAAAATAAATAAATAAATAAATAAATAAATAAACAAACAAACAAACCCAATAATAATAATAATAATAATAATAATGCAAGGAAGGGAGCTAGGAAATAGCAAAGTGAGAAGGTTACAGTTTTAAACAGGGTGGTGAGTTAAGACTTCACTGAGAAGATGGCATTTTAACAAAGCTAAGTAAGGTGATTTACAACCTCTATAATCTATTGTTAGTCATTAGATTGCACAAAGCTTCTCCAAGTTCATGCTTTGACTTTTCACTTTTGAACATCTTTTGTCACCAGAAGTTTAAATTTAAATCTTTTCTTTTATGCTTGGGCTTTTGAGGTCCTTTTTCTTTTTTTCTTTAAACAGGCTTAATTCGCCTTATTTTTTTGGTATGAAAACCCTGTGTGGTAGCCACAGCTGGAGCCTGGGTCCTCTGCACAGAAACTCTGGTGATATTGAGGTCTTAAGGAATCTTTCTACACTCTGATGTCATAAAGTTGTTCTATGTTTTTTGCTGAAAGTTTCACAGTTTTGTTTTTCACGATGATTTTTCAATCTATCTTTGTTTTGTTGATTGGGATACAGTAAGGATCTAATTTAGCTTTCTCCATTTGGCTAGCATCATTTATTCAACGCTGCATCCTTTCCTGGTTGATTCATATAGTATATCCTGTGTCATTACAGACACTTGCAAAGGAGCATTAGAGTTCTGTTTCTCTGCTCTCTTTCAACGGTCTACATGTTCATTCCCATGACAATATCACATGGCTCTAATAAACAAAAACCTTATTTGTTAATCCAGATGTCTGGTAGTGTGAATTTTCTATTCTTCTTACTTTTCTTTAAAGTCTTGCTTTTTTATTTTTTATGTGAATTTTTGGATCAGCTCATCAAATTCTACAAAATAAACAAATAAAAGCAATACTGTTCAGATGATGATGGAAACTTCACTGAATTTATTGAGTGTCACTGGGGTTCGTGTAAGGACAGTTGTGATCTATATAATAATAAATCTTCAATTTCATTTATTTTGAGTGTATTTTATGGCATTTAAAAATCTTTATAATTTTCTTTTTTAAAAACATATTTTGTTACATTTATTCTACACTTTAATTTTTGTTCCTATTACAAATTGTAACTCTGTTTTGAGTTATATTTTATAATTGCAAGCTGTTGGTATTTTAGAATGCTATTAATTATTTGTGCATTTATCTTGTTTCTGTCATCACTGATAAACTCATAAATTCCAATACATTTCAGCATAGTCACTTGGAATTTCTAAGCAGCCAAACATATGCATTTGATAATAATTTTGTTTTTTTCTTTGTGTTTATCCTTTTATTTTTTTCCTTGTCTTATCATGCTAACAAACCAAAATAAAATGTTAACTAAAAACAGAGATGAAGCATCTTGTTTCCTTTAAAGCAAATATTTTAAAAATTTCAGCATTAATTTGGATGTTTGTTGTAGGTTTTTTTTTTTTTAATAGATATGCTTTAGCAAGTTAAGGCAGATTTCTCTATTCTTGGTGTGCTACAGATTGTATCAAAATGGGTGTTGAAGTTTGGCAGAATAATTATTTTGAATCTATTTTTTCTCCAAATTCATTAATACGATGAATTTTATTTCCCTAAAGTTGTTCATAGTGTTTTCTTATGTCTTTTAAAGATAAAGATATATTATGTTGCTTTCCTTAGAAGACATCTACTTGGTTCTGATGGGTTTTAAAATATATATCTATAACAGTTTTATTCTTAGGTTTGTGACATATTTTATTTGTATCTATGTATAAGAGGGAGATTGATTAATAACTTTTCTTTCTTAATGTGCTTGCCTAGTTTGGTATTAAGGTTATTTTGCCTCATAAAAATAGTAGAAAACAAGATCTGATTTTCTATCTGATGTGTAACAGTTTGTAAAATACTGGGATTATAATATTCCTTAAACTTTTTATTAAAGAATTATAATATTCCTTAAGACATTTAAATAAAACATACCTGCGAAGCTGGACTGAGGCTTACTATTTTTTTCTAGAGTTATTTTTGTAAGTCACATCTTTCTAGGAAATAATCCATTTTGTCTACTTTTTAAAATTTATTTTCCCTAAAGTTGTTCATAGTGTTTTCTTATGTCTTTTAAAGATAAAAACTTGCTACAGGATTTAGTTATGCTTCCTTTTTCATTTGGAGTGCTTTTTTTCTGTGTCTTTTTTTTTCTTTTTTTTGTGTGTGTGTGCTTAATGTTCTTCCTGAAGTGTTTCCTTTAGTGATTTCATCTGGGAAGATGTGGCTGGTAGTTCTCTCTGTGTTTATTTATTTATTTTTTAAAAATTGTGATGGTCAGATCACAAGGTCAGGAGATAGAGACCATTCTGGCTAACATGGTGAAACCCCGTCTTCACTAAAAATACAAAAAATTAGCCAAGCGTGGTGGCACGCACCTGTAGTCCCATCTACTCAGGTGGCTGAGGGAGGAGAATCGCTTGAACCCGGGAGGTGGAGGCTGCAGTGAGCCAAGATCGAGCCACTGCACTCCAGCCTGGGCAACAGAGCAAGACTCTGTCTCAATTAAAAAAAAAAAAAAAAAAGGCCGGGCATGGTAGCTCACACCTGTAATCCCAGGACTTTGGGAGGCCGAGATGGGCGGATCACAAGGTCAGGAGAGCGAGACCATCCTGGCTAACACGGTGAAATCCCATCTCTACTAAAAATACAAAAATTAGCTGGGCATGGTGGCGGGTGCCTGTAGTCTCAGCCACTTGGGTGGCTGAGGGAGGAAAGTCTCGCTTGAACCTGGGAGGCAGAAGATGCAGTGAGCCGAGATCACGCCACTGCACTCCAGCCTGGGCGGCAGAGCGAGACTCCGTCAAAAAAAAAAAAAAAAATTGTGACCTCAATGTTGAGTGAGAATTAGGATGGACCCATATCAACCATGGAAGCCTTGTCTTCTGCCTTCCATGGTTGTTACTGAGAAGTCTGTCATTCTGATTTTCATTCCTTTGTAGATGATATTCTTCACTTCCTGCATAAGAATACTATGCATCCATAAAAAAGAACAAGACCATGTCCCTTACAGGAACATGGATGGAGCTAGAGATTTTGATCCTTAGCAAACTAATGCAGAAACGGAAAACCAAATACCACATGTTCTCACTTAAGAAGTGAGAGCTAAATAATGACAACACATGGACACATAGAGGGGAACAACACACACTGGGGTCTACTTGAGGATGGAGGGTGGTTGGAGAAAGAGGATCAGGAAAAATAACTAGTGGATACTAGGCTTAGTATGTGAGTGACAAAATAATGTATACAACAAACTCCCATGACACAAGTCTGTTTACAGTTTATATAATAAACGTGAACATGTACCCCTGAACTTAAAAGTTAAAAAAAAAAATGTACTCTTTGTCTATGATGAGAATAATTAGTCTTTGTTGCAACACTGTTGTCTAAGCAGAAATTCATTTATTTCTTTGATCTGAAGAGTCACATGTTTCTTAAATTCTGGAAAGAACCCAGTCATCTTCTTGCATATTATTTCCTAATTCTCTCTATTATTTCTTCTTAAAATTTATTTGTGTCTCTAATTTTCATTCTCTTAACTGCCATATCTCTTAACCTCTCATATTTCCATGTATTTTTCTCTTTCTGCTGCATTATAGATACTTTCCTCATACTAATCTTCCAGTTCTCTAATTCTTTCATTGCTTATGCCTCATCCCATTTTCCATGTTTTTTTTGTTTGTTTGTTTTTCTTTTTTTTTTAACCTTAAATGTCTGTCTTTATTTCTGGGACTTCCGATTGGTTGATTTTACAAATCTGCCTGCCTTGCATCACAGGGTCCTGTTCGTTCTTTAAGGGCTTTGTTTGCTTCTCATGTCTTTAATTTTTTATTTTTATTTTTTATTTTATTTTATTTTTTTTTGAGAACACCAAACATACTTTATTAGCACAAAAAAAGCAGCCATAACAAGGCACAGCAAGCAGAAACATACATTAGCAGTCAAAGGGTTAGTGTTGCATACAAATATAGCTTTTCTTTTTTGTAGCCTTGGCAATAGCCATAGGGATGTAAAATAACATTCTGTGGCAGCAGGTAAGGAAACCATGGAGCACTCACCAGTGGTACAAAGCACATTAACAAAAACACACAAGAATGGATTCGGCTACTTTAGTGCAAAATGTCTAGGACAGAACTGTAAATTCAGTTCAGTTACTAAGAAGCAAACACTAGCAGTTGATATAACTTCCAAAAGAGCTCACTCAAGTAGTAGTACATATTATTCTAAGTGACAAAATATCAATCTGAGAACTGCTCCTTTAAAAAATTAAAGACATGATTTGTCTTTAATTTTTTAAAGGAGCAGTTCTCAGATTGACATTCCATTAAACTTAGTTATGGGAGCTGTACATTTACTCTTTGTTTCTGTTTACTCTCACTTATTTTGTCATGTCATGTGAGTTACATTGTATAGATATAATGAGCTCATCTTTGTCAGGATTGGTTTTTTGTGAGAATCTTCTATGGTGTGGGTGGTAGGAACATAATTTTAGGGCAGTGTTACATTTGCTACTACTAAAGTTTCTGAATGTTTTTCCAGAAGACTTGGCTGTAGCAATTTCAATTCACAAATTCAGGTGAGGTTCTGCTCTGTGGCTTTGAATCCATAGAGCTGAATTTTTCCTCTACACTGAGATATATAAGCTTCCTTGTTGTCTTTCTGGACAAGTGTGCGAATTTTTTTCTGGTCCAATTTAAGGGGCATGACTCTACAGAGGAGTCTCAGTTACAAATCTCTCCTTGCATGGGCTCAGGGTTTTCTCTCCTACCCAAACCCAATCATTAAAATCAACTCCCCATACTACTGAGCCCGACATTCCAGCAAAGCAATGGTATTAGCTTAATATTTTGTCTTAATGTCTAGACCTGATTCTAGCTCAGCTGTGCATTTTTTTTAAGAGACAAAGTCTCACTCTATTGCCCAGGCTGGATTGCAGTGGTGCAAGCACAGCTCTATGCAGCCTTGAACTCCTGCACTCAAGTGATCCTGCCACCTCAGCCACCTGAGTAGCTGGAACCACAGGTGTACACTACGATACCCTGCTAATTTTTAAAAAATTTTTTGTACAGACCTGATCTTTCTATGTTGCCCAGCCTATGCATTTTTAAAGGTATTTATTTTGATATACACCCACTTGAACCAATACATCATGAGGCCAAGGATTTTATTTGTTCACTGTCATATCCCAAAGCCTAGATAAGTGCCTGGCACAGGGTAAATATTTGCCAAATGAAATAAAAACGTGTGAATGAATCCACCCCCTGCCATATACATGTGTGTATATGTGTATTGGAAGAAAGGCATTTCTACATATTTACAGTGGGACTCTTTTCAGATTGTCTAGTCAGCATTACAGGCACACTATCTGAAAAATGGTGGTGCATTCTATCCCTTTGTTAAATTAAGTTTAACCTAAAGCTGCCTCCTTACATATTTTAAGTTTGGCCTAAAGATTTCTCCATACATACTGAACTGTAACCTAACTGGATGTGTATACAGACTGCAACCTACTCTTGTGCCAGTCACAGGGTTTTGTGCAATCAAAGGCGGCCAAGTGTTCACACCATGCTCAAATAAGGCAAACGTGGGGATGTAACCCATCCGGCTGCTTCTGCACCTCATCTCTGTTTTCTGTTCATCACTTTTCCTTCTCTGTCCATAAGTCCTCTCTGACCACACAGCAGCAGCAAAGTATCCCTGAACCTATTCTGCTTCAGGGAGCTGCCAGATTCATGCATTGTTCTTTATTCAATTAAAGTCTGTTAAATTTAATTTGTCTGAAGTTTTTCTTTTAACACCCTCATCCCTTGGATGGCATACAGTAACATTCTAATCCTATTAGCCCCCAATCCAATGATCCAAATCCAGCCTCCGTCTTTTCCCCCAGCCTGAGCGTCTCTTCCTAGCTATAGTCCCTTCCCCCAGCTCCTGCTGGACCCATAACTAGACTCTCATATGCTTCATTCTCCAAATCTACCGACCAGCCACAGACCTTGTCCCCTACTTTCAAACAGAATATTCTACCGAGACTCCACTTGAATCCAAGTATCATCAGGCCAGCAACTTTGTTTTCTCACTGCTCTTTCCCAAAGCCTGGAGGAGTGTCTGGGACAGAATTTATTTCAGTAAATATGTCTTGAATAAAATAAAGGATGAATGAATTTAGCCACTATCCACACTGAAATACCGTATGGTATAAATACACAACAAGCAATTAAAAGCTTCAGCTTTAAAGTAAAACAAAATTAGCAGAAATATGCAGTCTGAAGCCTGTCTCTATAATTTTAAAGTGGCTTTTTAAAAAAAGTTTTCCAATATGTGCTACTGCTTCAAGTTTCCTTGCACAGTTTCCAATATAAAACAAAGTAACAGGCAAAAGCTAAGAAAACTAAAACCCTCTGTTATAAAGAAGAATGAAATTAGAAGCAAAAGATTCTGCTGTAAAATGTAGACATGACTTTAAAAAAGTCATGTTTAAAGCCTCAGCCTCAGTTTCCAGTTATAAAAAACTAACTAACTAAAGTCCAAAAGCAACACATTTTTCTTTACAAAAACCTTCCTCCAAGTTTCTGGGCTTGAAGTAGCGAGTAAAACAAAGGAGGGTCTTTTCAGAAATGTCATTTGTTTAAGGTCCTCTAGTCTCCGTTTTTAAACAATGTTTTCAAATAAAATAAGCCACAAAAATAGCAAGCCAGGCTGGGTTCGGTGGCTCATGCCTGAAATCCCAGCACTTTAGGGAGGTCAAGGTGGGAAAATCACTTAAGGTCAGGAGTTCGAGACCAGCCTGAACAACATAGCAAGACACCATCTCTTAAAAACAGAAAAACAAAACAAAATCCTATGAAGCTCATGCCTGTAATCCTAGCACTTTTGGAGGCCGAGGCGGGCAGATCACTTGAGTTTAGGAGTTTGAGACAGCCTGGCCAACATGATGAAACCCCATCTCTACACAAATACAAAAATTAGCCAGTTGTGGTGGCAGGTGCCTGTAATCCCAGCTACTTGGGAGGCTGAGGCAGGAGAGTCGCTTGAACCTGGGAGGTAGAGGCTGCATTGAGCCGAGATCACACCCATTGCACTCCAGCCAGGGTGACAGAGTGAGACTCTGTCTCATAAAAAAAAAAAAGTTTTCTAACTTGGCTAGGGTGTGCAAGTCAGTCCATTTTACTGTTCTATAGGCTTCTCCAGCAAGAAATGCTCCCAGGAAAAAGAATCTGCGAAACCCACTCCTGGCTCCTAAAACACAGTGAGATATTTTGATTAACTCTATGAGTTTAAGGTTGTGAGAAAAGTAAACTTACAGAAAACCAGGCCTATGTCTAAGTTTGGTGAGGCTTTCTCAATTTCCTGAATTGCATTCCCTGCAATTTTCTGGTGACATTTCAGAGAAGACGGGTGATGGAGTGGCTATGGACACCCACGGAGATCTTTCTGAAATTTTTTCACCAAAAATTTTTGGTTATGTCTGAAAACACACCTGAAGTCTGGCTGAAGGGCCAATAAATAAAAAATAAATAAATAAATAAATAAACAAACACTCTTCAGAGCCTATGTACGTTTCAGCAAAGTGAAGTGCCCTCCGTTTTCACTTTAGTTTTTTTAAAGCACCTGTATGGAACCTTGAAAACATTATGCTAAGTGAAAGAAGTCAGATAAAAGTTCACATATTGTATGATTCCACTTACATGAAAAATTCAGAATAGGTAAATCCATCAAGACAAAAAGCAGATTCGTGGTTGCCATGGCCAAGAAGGGGAATGGCGAGTGACTGGTTCATGGGTATGGGGTCTCTTGTGCCTCAGCCTCCCGAATAGCTGATTTTGAGGGTGATTAGAATGTTTTGGAACTACATGGAGCTGCTGCTTGTACGTTGTCAATGTACTAGGTGTCAATGAATAGTACGCTTTAAAATAGTTCATTTTATGTTATGTGAATTTCACCTTAATACAAATTTAAAGCTTGTATATGAATGTGCACATACATGTACTTGCAAATTTTTCCAAAAATTATTTAAAGAAATGTGCCTAACATGTTGCTTTTTTCTGTCTGGAATAGGTTCAATTGCCTCAAGACCAATGCCATACAGTGAACGGTTTCAATGCTTCTCGAAAGCCTAAGTTCCTCACATCATTTCAGGGTTATTTGGGAATGGCTACAGGGAGCTGTTCTAGTTTTGATGCATTAGTGGACCAAAAATCACCAGTGCAATGGCTGATTAAATGGCGGCTCATCCCACTCCTGCTTAGCATCAGTGATGGTCATCATGAGAATTTAAAAAATCCATTAAATCTTCCCAAGATTATTCTGTGTACTGACAGTAGTTACATAAGATGAACACAAAATAGGATTGTACCCTGAATCTGCCTTTTGGCTTTGACTTGGATTTGGCTTTTGGAAAACCAAATAGTAGAATGTCTGCTTCAACATCACATTTGGTATCCCTGAACTCCGGTGTTGATCACAGACCCATGATCTGCCAATCATGTAGGTTATCATCCTATCCAAACAGTGTAACACGAGTAATTCAAGCAAGTCATTCTTATCTTCAAACATAGGCAAATATTCTAGATATAACTCGGAGTTTGATATGCATTAGACAGTTGGTGCATAAAGGTGTATTTATCTTGACAAGAGTAAGATGTGGTGAAAGTTAATGAGGAATGTGAAAACTAATATTTTATTCACTAAATTTATTTATGAAAGAACAAATATTTAAAATGTTAAATTGTTAAATAAGGCTATAGATGGACAGCTATTATAAATAGGCAGGGAGAGTGCATTAGCTAGGTACATTTACAAAGAACATTATGTCCTTTTTAAACCAAAAATGCTTTATAAAAATGTAAATGTTAGTACAAAACATAATAATAAGGTTTAGATTACACCATAATTTTAACCTTTGTAGAACTGTTTGGTAATATTAAATACAGTCACCTCTAAGGACTGTATCTAATTTTCTGACTATTTAGACCATAACAATTTTTTCAAGGAATAATCCTATTTACGAATTATTTTGACTTTTTTTTAAAATTCAGGTTTATTGAGGTATAATTCACATACAATGAAACAAACCATCTTATTTACAATTATATAACCACCACAATCAACACATAGAACATTCTGATAATATCTTTTTTTATCAAAAGCCTCAATTTTTCTACCATTGTACAATCTCCAAAAGTCCTATAAATGAAGTTGTTGCACATTTTTTAGGGGTTTGGAATGCATATATTGAAAATAGGTGACATGTAAGAATATCCAAATGAGAGAAGGGAGTTGTAAAAGAGAATGGGCAAATAATATCAAGGAAATATTTATCAATACAGATGTGGTTGCATCCGGAATTTATTCCTTCCGGTGGGTTCTTGGTCTCACTGACTTCAAGAATGAAGCCACGGACCCTTGCAATGAGTGTTACAGCTCTTAAAGATGGTGTGTCCAGAGTTCTTTCCTTTAGACGTTCAGATGTGTCCAGAGTTTCTTCCTCCCGGTTAAAGAACAAAGCAGTGAGTGTTACAGCTCTTAAAGGTGGTGCATCCGGAGTTGTCCTCCTGGTGGATTTGTGGTCTCCCTGACTTCAAGATTGAAAACGCAGATCTTCACAGTGAGTGTTACAGCTCTTAAAGGTAGTGTGGACCGAGAGTAAGCAGCAGCAAGATTTATTGTAAAGAGTGAAAAAACAAAGCTTCCACAGCACAGATGAGGACCTGAGCAGGTCGCCCTGCTGGCTGGTGGGGGGGGGTGGGTGGCTAGCTTTTATTCCCTTATTTGGCCCTGCCCACGTCCTGCTGATTGGTCCATTTTACAGAGTGCTGATTGGTGTGTTTTTACAGAGTGCTGACTGGTGCATTTACAATCCTTTAGCTAGACACAGAGCACTGATTGGTGTATTTTTACAGAGTGCTGATTGGTTCATTTACAATCCTTTAGCTAGACCCAGAGTTCTGATTGGTGCACTTTTACAGAGTGCTGATTGGTGCATTTACAATCCTTTAACTAGACACAGAGCAGTGATTGGTGCATTTACAATCCTCTAACTAGACAGAAAAGCTCTCCAAGTCCCCACTTGACCCAGGATGTCCAGCTGGCTTCACCTCTCATGGTGACAGGTTTCAGAGCCAGTTAAGCAGCTGAAAGATTGTGATAGAAATGTAAAATGTATGGCATGATTAACTCAATCCTCCACACCCAAAGTTCACATAAAATAAATAAATAGAGAAGTTAACCTTTGCTTACAATTAGAGCTTGCATTTTTCTGAAATGGTAAGTTTATTTATTTACTTAAGATGGAGTCTTGCTCTGTCACCCAGGCTGGAGTGCAGTGGTGGGATCTCGGCTCACTGCAACCTCCGCCTTCTGGATTCAAGCGATTCTCCTGTCTCAGCCTCTCAAGTAGCTGGGACTACAGGCATGCGCCACCACACCCAGCTAATTTTTGTATTTTTAGTAGAGACAGGGTTTCACCATGATGGCCAGGTTGGTCTCGAACTCCTGACCTCATGTGATCCACCCCCCCCCCACTGCCTTGGCCTTTCAGAGTGCTGGAATTACAGGCGGGAGCCACCATGCCCAGCTGAAATTGTAAGTTTAGATAATACCATATCTCACTTTTTATTAATGGATTTGCTGGAGAAACAGTGGCTGGACAATCCCTTTTATTTACCCTGAGGCAGCCCAAATATCATCTGACCTACCAGGACTCAAGGGATGGTTTCCTGAGGACAGAACATGGAATACTGATCCCTGTCTTTTAGACTGGGGCTTAACAGTATGGGTGGCAAAACCCTGGGTTAGATAGGTTAGATTCTTATCCACAAATGACCCATCCTCTGGTCATGATGTCACATTTTTAAGCTGTTTCAACTTACTCAGGGACAAGTTTTGGGGCTCATTAGCTTTCTACAGTGTCAGTTCCCACAGAACAAGACTTCTTGGCTGACAGGATCCCACATGGATAATTGCTAGGGTCCCAGTTAAGTAGCTCAGGCTCAGTCCTCATGAAGAAGAGGTTTCTTCCTCCTTATGCTGCCCTTTCCATGTATATGTGAGATCCCTGAAGCAAAATCACATAATTCTTTATCATCTCAACATCTTTGAAGTCCAAATGGTGAAAGGCAACTGTCATGCTTGCATCTGATTGCTGAGTCATGGTTGTGATGGTGTTCTATTCAGCAAATTAGGGATGTTCTTCATAGGACTTCCAACAGCCTCTCTGTTTACTTCATTAACAACTGATCAAAAGTCTAATGACTGGAGAAATTGTTTTTCTAAAAAAGGCTCCAGACATTCTTTTTCTGTTTTTTTTTAAACAGAGTTTCACTCCGTCGCCCAGGCTGGAGTGCAGTGGCTTGATCTCAGCTCACTGCAACCTCCGCCTCTCGGGTTCAAGCAATTTTCTGCCTCAGCCCCCTGAGTAGCTGGGATTACAGGCACCCACTTCCACACCCAGATAATTTTTTGTATTTTTAGTAGAGATGGAGTTTCACTAACTTGGCCAGGCTGATCTTGAACTCCTGACCTCATGATCCACCCGCCTCTGCGTCCCAAAGTGCTGTAATTACAGGCGTGAGCCACGATGCCTGGCCAACACTCTCTTGGATATCTTAAGGATGACCTTTTCGACACCATGACTCCTATCTCCCTGTGCCTTCTCTTCAATATGGAGATCCATCATTAGGGAGACAGCAGGGTATCACCTTCATTGTGTTGAGAGTGATCTTAGCTATTGCATAAACAAAATCATCAGAAGCACCACACAGGGCGGTTTCCCTTTGTTGGAGATGATTGCAAAGCATTTAGTTTGTTCTGCATGAGCTCACACATGACTGTAGTGTTAGAGGTGTTTTGGCCAATGGGGTCAGCCACAACGTTAGCTTTCTTAGAACTTTCCATAGTTTTCTAAGAACAGAAAAGACCTCTCTGGTATGAAATGAGCAGTTTTTAGGTGGGTTTGGTTAGGTATGGCGGAATTCACATCTACTCACAGGTATTAGGAATGACGTCCCCGCCTGTACAGCCATCTTAGATGGTTTAACTTCCTCTCTGAGCAGTAGTAAAACAAGTTTGTTTATACTCTCAAAACTGAGCTTTTCCCTTTCTCCGGCACCATCTTGTCATCTGTGGTTTTACGGGTGTGTGATTTGGGACAAATATATGCAGTCTTTGAAAAAGGCCCCCCAGGTGGCAGTTTGCTTGTGAATTCTCCTTGGTATTACCAAAAGAAGAAACAAGGTTCCTCTCTTTGTTGCTGCAAACTAGAGTCAATATTAGGTTGATGATCTCTTTATAGTATCTTTAAAGTTCCAAGGGGTCACTGCAGTGACAAAGCTGGTATGAAGGTGCTACGTGTCTTTCTTAGCATTTGAAAGTGTACCTTTAGCATACAGCTTCTATATCGCTGTCCATGAAGTCACAGTACAAACTTCTTGGGAAGGTAAAAGACACAAACAGCTCTGCCTATTCCTCATCAGTGTAGTGCTGGTAACATTGCAAAATTATGCAAATGTACTGTGTAATGAACTCAAAACAGACTTGACCATCTGCTTCCTGGCAGGGTGCAGGCAATTGCACAGGAGTATATTCTGTTGACAGAACTCAATACATTGGGCCTCCTGATTCAGTGTCTTGCCCCAAGTTGGGAGTCTTAGGCTCCTGTCTGTGTTGTAGTTACGGTCTGATACAAAACTTTATAAACTGCTATTTGTCATGTCTTGGCAATCCTTTGCTTTCCATCTGGGGTCCCTGTTAAGGCTGGATTCATATTGTTGCATCTATCATAGGGAGAGTCCACTGATGCTTTCCGCATAGGACCCACCAGAGAAAGGACCTCAACTTACTGTCAAACCCGAATGGCAAGATGGAAAAAACATCCCCCTTGTTTTATACAGCTTTCTTTATTCCATCCAGAAACAGGTTTAAATATAACCAAATCCATTATAAATAATCTCCCAATAGCTGATGAGACAGAGCTTATTCTTGTTAACAGGTACAAGCTTGTGTAGTCATAGAAGTGCTATTTTTTCCCAGGCTGAGACACCTTCAGCAGATATAGCATTTGAACAACTGCCAAAAAGGACATCTCTGGGGGTTACAAGAGTTGGCAGGTCTTTTATTCCCAGAAAGCCTAGAGCTGAGAGTAGCATGAGCTGCCTTTTCCATTCCTCTTCCCAGATAACTTGTACCTCTGGAGACAGTGTCATTGGATCTTGGTTTTATTGCAAAGCTGCTCACAAGTCCCTGACTCAGGTTTTGGCTCCTTCTCATAGTAGCTCATGGGGTAACTGAGGAAAAATTAAAATAAACTCACAGGTGACCTTCATACTGTCAATCATAGCAAGGTTAGTCCCCAAATAGGGGCCCATAGCCTCTCCTCAGTTGGCAGGGTATTGTTCAGACAACCCTTCTTGGCCAGCTATATTGCTCAACCATTGGAAGGGAGGGATGGCATGAGGCCACTGGCAATGACGAAAAATGAACCGGCAGACTCTACGATAAAGACTTGAACCTAGGCCAGGTGTGGTGGCTCATGCCTGTAATCCCAGCATTTTGGGAGGCTGAGGTAGGAGGATCATTTGAGCCCAGGGGCTCAAGACCAGCCTGGGCAACATAGTGAGACCCCCATCTCTATAAAAATTAAAAAAAAAAAAAAAAGCCAGGCATGGTGGCACGCACTTGTAGTCCCAGCTACTCAGGAGGCTGAGGTGGGAGGATTGCTTGAACCTAGGAGTTTAGTTTGTAGTGATCTATGACCACACTATTGCATTCCAGCCAGGGCAAAAGAGAAAAACCTTGTTAAAAAAAAAAAAAGAAGAAGAAGAAAGAAAAGATAAGAGAAAAAGAAAGAAAGAGAAAGAAGATTCAAACTTAGGTATAGCCAGTAGATGGAAACCAGTGTACTGTGTACTGTGCAGGTATGGTTCAATGTTTGACCCACTAACATGATATGGTCACCCTCTTCTTTGAAAACAACCTTTGAGATCATTGTCAAAATCTCTGAGCGGTACAAGTACAACCCGACTTCAAGACATGCTTGACCTGCTTAGAGAAAGGCTGGGACTCTCCCTGGAGATCAAAGTCATTCCGTGTCTCCTCCTTGTACCTTTTGGCTAAGTTACTCCTCTTGCCACGCATCAGGTGATCAGGGCCCTAGTATTCAGATGCAGCACGGGCCTCATGGAATTCTTATCCTGTGCGGTTTGCTTAAATATAAGAAGTATGCTGTTGTTGACTGAATTCTGTCGTCTCCACAAAAAATTCCTGTTTGAAGTCCTTAGAAAGTGACTGTATGTGGAGAGAGGAGCTTTGAAGAGGTAATTAAGGTTAAATGAGGTCCTATGGATGGGTCCTAATCCAATCCAATCTGACTGATGTCTATAAAAAGAGGGGATTGGAACATTGAGAGAGTCACCAGGGGCACATGTGCATATCAGGACCACCAGGTGAAGAGGCAGCAAGAGAAGAGTCATTTGCAAGCACAGGAGAGAGGCCTCAGAAGAACTCAACTCTGCCAGTACCCTGATCTTGGACTTTTAGCCTCCAGAACCAGGAGAAAATCAATTTCTATTTTTGAAGTCACCCAGTCTGGGCACTTTGCTATGGCAGCCTTGGCAAACTAATACGTGCAGCTTACTCTCAGAAAACTCCTGTTGCATTTAAAGGAAACTTAAAGAGGGCACACAGTAGAATTTAAAATTTGGGTACCTATATAAAATAATCAATGTGACAAGAAACAGTAGTCTCACAATGAAATAACTGTCACAACATTTTAAATCATAGGCAATGCACAAGAAGTTCACGATGCAGTGGCTGTGAGAATCCAGATACACTGAAACACATTCTGCGTCATCTAATTCTACCTCAAGACCATTTTGATTAATGATACAGCATCAGTGAAATTTGTGGTATAGAACCTTTTCTTGCATACATTTAAAGTCCTAGACTATTTATTTCTCTGTGGGTCACAATCTATGGGGTCCAGAAATGTCCACCATCTTTCAGGATTCATTCTCAACCTGCCAGAGCACAAACCACCCCATCTGGGTCTTTGAGAGGAGAAATACTTAACAAGTATAATTCTGTTTCCTTCCATGATTTCTAACTTGCCCTTAACTGCCTAGGCTTTGTCGTGAGCAATCGTTTCGTTGACTCACAAACAGTTTTACAACAGGGACATTTGCAAACTGGTAATTTTCAGTTAAAGAAAAAAATATACACAGCCATGTTCCACCACGCCCTTAAATAGCATGATGGTTTTCATACATGTAATTTATACTCCTAAACTCCTTGCATTTCTGTCACTTTGTAATAACATGAAAACAATTTGGGAGTCACATTCATCCACTAGCAGTAAAACTTCCTGTTCCCTTCATGATCTGACTTTATAGTCATCCCCATCAGTTCTCTAAAAACACAACATCTCTCAGTTAAATCTATGCATAAAATCTTAAGAACTCATATTGAAGCTGAGCTCGAGGATATAATAATGTTGCATCAAAACATAGATTCATTTCCTCAAAGTGAAGTTCAGGAGGCGTCACCCAGGAATAAGTTAGATTGTAAACACATGTAACTCACCCTCCAATTTTTTTCTCATTGTTTCTCTTAAACAGTTACTGTAACTCTTCTGAAATGAGAGCTAGGGACTAATCTTCCTTATGTTCACCAATAACGTAGCCTGCTATTTTTAACAGTTCGAAAAATTCTGATGCATATATTCCTACCACTAACCATAGTTGTACGAGATCAGGAGCTATTTTACTTGAATTTCTTCCATGAAATGTTGAATGGCAACTCTCTGGTTCCCAGGATGTGGAGAAAGGAACTCCTCCTGTCGATTTATAAACTGGAATTCAGTATCACCAACAGAGTCTGCAGCCCTGTGAATGGCCTAAGTCCTTCCTAGCTCTTTAGCATACTGAGAAGTTCCCAATTCACGGACAGAAACACCTATAACAGGTTGTCTATATTTTTAGTGTATTCCCATTTTCAAAGGTCCTAGCTGGTGAGTTTTGGGAAATACTGGGCCTTCAAACCCCCAGTGGGTCTTGATGATTTCCATCTTGTCGGACAGATGGACCACTAGTTACCATGGAAGATATAAGAGAAATCACCCATGGCTCAGGAGAATGGAGCTGATATTCCTTGAATTAGCTGTTCATTCACATATTCAGAACGATTTAGCTGTTTTGAATCAAGCTACAAGATGTTTGGTAGATTTATTTTAAACCATTCTCTTCTGGATATAATTTGCCAGGCCTTAACAGCTGCAATTTTTTCTATTTGGTGAACATTTTATTTAGCTTTCTCTTTTAAGGATGAAAATGCTAAATTTAAGCAGTGCTTACTTCTAGCATGAACAAGAAAAGTAGTAGTTGTATTAGTCTGTTTTCACACTGCTGATAAAGACATACCCAAGACTGGGCAATTTATAAGGAAAAAGAGCTTTAATGGACTCACAGTTCCACATGGCTAGGGAGGCCCCACAATCATGGTGAAGGGCAAAAGGCACATCTTACATGGCAGGCAAGAGAGAGAGATATGAGAGCCGAGTGAAAAGGGAAGCCTCCTATAAAACCATCAGCTCTCGTCAGACTTATTCACTACCATGAGAACAGTATGGGGAAACCGCCCCCATGATTTAATTAGCTCCCATCAGGTTCCTTCCATAACACATGGGAAATATGGAAGCTACAATTCGAAATGAGATTTGGGTGGGGACACAGCAAAACTGTATCAGTAGTGTATTTAATAATTGATTATTGAATGTTTCTCCCATCGGTTGCTGTCTCTGTTAGTTACCATATTCTCTCATAGGACCAACCTCAACTTCTGAATTACCCAACAGGGTACAGATAGTGTTCACTAAATCTTCAATAGCCACAATTTCTCAAAGTAGCTAATGGTTTTGACCACTCTCAGAAGCGTCTTTGAAACTCAAGTTGTTTATCACATCTAGGTGACATTCACACTTTAATATCATTAAAGAGAATACTGGTCCCAATTTGAGCTAGTACCACCTAGGTGAGTTGTAACGTGCAAATAATCTTTACTCTTGGTATAAATCCATCTTGGGTGTCCCATGATGGACTATTGTAAGTGTGCAGAGGGTTACTTTTATAGCCTGATAAAGATTTCTCCTCATCTCTGATATATTGCATTTTGGTTGCCTCGAATTTGTCTGATGCATGGTGTGAAATTAAAATGTTAGTTGACAGTGTCGTTTTACACATGCACAGATCCTCCATTCCTATTCATTTCTCAGCACAGGTCAGGATTTTCACCTCTTTTGTGAAGGAAAGCTTTTACCTCATGTTTTATAAAGTTATAAATGCTCTGAACATAAATTCTCACACAACCCCTGTGGTTTCCGAGGCAAATCACAAACTTACAGAACAACATTGCTCTGCTTGATCTTGAATAGTAAAATATTTTATAGGAAACATAGAGCTAACTAGGGGAAGTAGTCATTTCTGCTGTAAAGACATGGCTTTATGGTCACAAAGGGATGAATTTTGGAGAGGGTGGTGGCCCTTTCTCACCCCAAGTTGGCATCTGCTTCTCAAAGAGAGGGGGCTGAGGTTATAACCTGAGCAGACAGGAATACTCACTTTGAGCAACTGTCTAGAGCTTTCAGAGCCAGCCATACAAACAGTCAAAATCTGATGCAGAAAGAGTAAAAAACCCACAATGTAAAATAATGAGTAATATTTTTTAATACTGTGGTATCTGTTTCTGATTTAGGGTCAATCTTAGTTTACAAACTGAAGCGAGAAGACACGCAGGCTAGGAAACCATGGCACAGAAGATTAAGCGGTTTAACTCTGGTCAAGAAACTAGTAGCTGCTTAAGTAATTATTGTATCCAGTCTCCTTCCTTCTTCACACTGCACACTTGAATAACTGAGCTGCCGCAAGCAACCTGACCTTCAGAAGTAGATGGGTCTGCCTCTATCAAGATTGCATGCATTCAGAGCCAAAGAAAATACAAAACTGTCCAACACTTCAAGAAGGGAGAAGAAACATTAGGAGAAATATCTAATGTAGATGATATGTTGATCGGTGCAGCAAACCACCATGGCACGTGTATACCTATGTAACAAACCTGCACATTCTGCATATGTATCCCAGAACTTAAAGTATTAAAAAAACTATAATTTCTACCTTTTTGACTGTACCATCCCATCATTTTCATCAGCTTAATAAATGTCAAAACAAATTTGATTGTTTTCAAATTTTTAGCCAAACTGGAGGAAAATATTGACTAGTCCCCACCTCGGAACAGAATTATGGACTCTCACTATTTTCTCTTTTATCATCTCTACCAACAATGTAAGCTTATCTAGACCCATGTGCATGATTGAAAGAAGAAGGTACATTTTTATTGTGGTAAAACATACATTAACATGAAATTTACCATGTAAATCATTTTGAAGTGTACAATTCATTGGCATTAACTACATTCACGTTGTTACGCAATCATTATCACCACCCATTTCTAGAACTTTTTCATCATCCCAAACAGAAACTGTACTCATTAAATAATAACTCCTGATTAATCTCTCCCCCCAACCACTGGTAACTTCTATTTTCCATCTCTGTGAATGTATCTATTCTAGGTACCTCATATAGGTGGAATCACACATTATTCGTCCTTTTGTGACCTACTTATTTCACATAATGTAGCACAATGTCTTCAATACTCACCTCTGTTGTAGCATGTGTAGCAGTGCACAAAGCTTCCAAGGTCTCCACATTCTCACCAACATTTATTTTCCATTTTTCGATACTAGCCTTCCTAATGAGTGTGAGAAGAAGGTATTTTATTTATTTATTTATTTATTTTGAGACAGAATTTGACTCTTGTCACCCAGGCTGGAGTGCAATGGCACGATCTCGGCTCACTGCAACCTCCGCCTCCCAGGTTCAAGTGATTCTCCTGTCTCAGCCTCCTGAGTAGCTGGGATTACAGGCACCTGCCACCATGCCTGACTAATTTTTTTTGTATTTAGGAGAGACGGGGTTTCACCATGTTAGTCCGGCTGGTCTCAAACTCCCGACCTCAGGTGATCCACCCGCCTCATCCTCCCAAAGTGCTGGGATTACAGGCATGCACCACCACGCCCTGCCAGAAGAACCCATCTTTTAACCCATTTTTGAGGTGGCCCCAGTGCTGCAAATATATTAATAGCTTAATACATTTTTTGGAGAGCCAAACAAATATGACTTGATGAGAAGTTTGCCATCTCTATCTCTTCATTAAGCCAGAGTAGCCACCCATAAAGTATATTTTGACAGAGGTTCTGGAATAAAGCC
Organism: Homo sapiens; assembly: GCF_000001405.40. Taxonomy (NCBI): domain Eukaryota; kingdom Metazoa; phylum Chordata; class Mammalia; order Primates; family Hominidae; genus Homo; species Homo sapiens. Next base: position 6,059,830 of record NW_018654717.1, read on the forward strand.
ATGCCAGGGACAAGGGGTGAGAGGAAGCATCTGGCGGAAAGTCTCGCAAGTCCAAAATCTGTACAGCAAACCATCAGGCTGGAAATTCAGCAAGAGTTGAAGTTGAAGACCTGAATCCAAAATCTGCAGGCTGGACACCCAGGCAGTGTTTCTATATTGAAATCTTGAGGCAGAGTTTCTTCCTCTTTGGGATGCTTCAGTCTTTTCTCCTAAGACCTGATTGAATGAGGCCTACCCATATTATGAAGGGTAGTCTATTTTACTGAAAGTCTACTGATTTAAATGTTAAGTTTATTCTAAAAATACCTTCACAGCTACATCCAGTTTAGTGTTTGACCAAACATCTGGGTACCATAACCTAGTCAATTTGACATATTACATTGACCACAATAGAAGCTTCTACAATAGGAGATTTTACCCTAAGTTTACACTAAAAATGTAAAGAAGCTGAGCACAGTGGCTCACATCTGTTATCCCAGCACTTTGAGAGGCCTAAGTGGAGGTTACTTGAGTCCAGGAGTTCAAGGCCAACCTGGGCAACATAATCAGACCCCATCTCTAAAAAAAAAGAAAAAGAAAAACTAGTTAAGACTTTACATCAAGGACTCAACAGTAAAGACTAAGAACTTTATACTAATGTAAGACTTTATACTAAAAAAAAGCTTGTTTGTTTGTAATGGGGTTTTTAGATGTTACTTTTGTTCTCAATTACTGAAACCTTCAGGCATAAATTTGGGTTTTATAAATATTAGCAATTACCATGGGAGGGTCTTAACAAAATCATTTTTAAATGAATCCTTTACAAATCATTTAAAAACTTTTCTGCGAGGATTCTTGATGTTTCTATTCTTCTTCTTCAAATCAAAAAAACATCTACTGTCACAGACTTCGAACCATGCAGTATTTGCTTTGTGGATTGTTAGATCATAGAGAGTGTTTTCTAGTTTGATCAGAGGGTAGGGGGATTGGATATGCCTGGGGAAACTGAAGTTGAAAATGTGAGCTAGGTTGGGAGTTGAGTAGCAGGGCAAGAGTTTGGACTGGTTTGAAATGGGACGTTTAACTGATAGAACTGGAGATTGTTTGGCCTATAGGATTGGAGGGATAAACTTATTTGACAGCTATCGGCTTGTGGAGGACAGAATTTGAAAATCCTTCCACTAAAAGCACCTAGAAATACTGGCTAAAATATAATATATTTTTATTATCTAATGTAGACACAGTTCAGAAATGAACCTGGAACTAAAACCACAGTGAGAAGCTTTGAGCAGTGATGCTCTGGCTTCCAGAGGACAGGTTGTTAGTCTCAGCAATCTAGGAATCTGCTGATCTTCAGTTACCTGGGGCATCTCTGTTAATACGAAAAAGAAGAGGGGAGATGAATGAAGCCTTGAGTCTTTCTCAAATGGGAAGTTGGAACCAAGGGGCCTACATAAAGTCAGCACTTTCAAAGTACTGCTCCCTATTAAGAGCAAAGACTAGAAACAAATCCACTCCAACAGAAAGACAACAAAGAGACAGGTAAGTCTTGTTCCTTCTGCCATTAGGTCAGAACCAGAGTTCCCAAAGCAATGTGTTCTCTATTATTTGACAATGAATTTCCTTCTCTTGCTTCCTATGCAGAAAACCAAAATCGAGACACAATATTTATCTGATATTAGTGCTCCACATTCCTCCAATATGTATCTCTCATTATGACCAGAATGACTTCCTCATAGCCAGTTAAGCAGACTGCTCTTCCTAGATATAAACTCTCTGGGATTAGAGGACAAGAGTTTGCTCAGTGTGCTAGCCCCCATTTCAGCATCTTTGTGCCTGAACATCTTGTCCTCTGGTGGCTTTGGATAGTCAGCTCACCACTTATTAGAAATATACATTCTGCTGAGGTGATTTATATACATTATCCTTTCTAATTTTTCAATAACCTTGAAAGGTAGGTATTATCAGCTCATTTTAAAGACATTAACACTTAGATTCAAAAAACACATTGCTAAAAGCTAGAAAGCAGTGGAGCTGGATTTAAATGTGGATCTATCAAACTTTTAAGCACATGGTTTTTCTACTATGAGCTATTAGCGCTTACATATTCTTTGCAGAATATAAAATCCAGCTCAAACCTTCTCATCTTCAATCAGAGGTATGCTGGAGCCAGCTTGTGGCAGCAAATGAGCATCTTTCCCAACTCCACTTTCAGTGACTTCACGTTGGTAACTTGTAATGAGCCACTGTAGAATTATTTACACCAGAAAAGTTGGCAAATGCTACAAATCAGGCTTTTCAGAGAGCCCGGTTGTTAAACACTTACCAGCACACCACTTGCTGCCTTTAAACTATACTGATCTCTCGTCTCTCTTAGTTCTTGGTTTGCGCATATTAGAATTAATTATATGATATTCTAAATTTTATATCAATAGATCTTAGTCATTCAGATAATATAGCATAGCAGTTAGCAAATACTTTAATCTCTTAGGTCCAAGACTCTATAAAATAGAATTGGGTTTTAAAAGGCTCTGAGAATTGGAGGCAATAAAGGTGCTAAATGTACCAGCAGGGGGAGCCCAATTTCCAAACATAAGCACTTTGCCTTCTTTTTTTGGAATACAGCAGAGATCAAAATGAAAAATATAGGATAACGTTTGTCAGAAACCCACACATTAGAAATAAATAGAAATGAATAGAATGCTTCAATAAAGTTATACTGGCAGAGCAAATATTACCTGATTCTGCATTGACCATGATACTGGAAATAAGGAAACACCCCGTTTTTTAAAAATTCTAGTAAACCAAAATCTCACAAATCACCACTAAAGAACTTATTCATGTAACCAAACATCCTCTATTCCCCAAAAGTCTATTAAAGTAAAATAAAAATAAATAAAAACTAAATAAATAAATCAGGATGTGTTTCACCAGGGCTAGAAGAAAGAAAAAAATTTGGTAGAAACATAAAATGAAGAACCCAGAACTCTGAAAGATCATACCACTCTTTCTAAAAAGCAAATCAGAAGCAAGTACTGTGCATTTGGTATTCTCTTACAGAGGCCTTTTAAAATATATAAGCTATGCAATTTTCAGAAAGCTGATTCAACATTCAAGATTCCTAAAATTCCCCCAAATAATATATAAATGAAATGCAACTGTAATCTAAAACTCAGTGGGAATTTTTAAAAGCTTGATGAGATTACTCTAAGTTTTATCTGAAAGAGTAAAGGAGCAGGAAGCCATTTAAACACTGAAAAATAAGAATAACTTCTACAAGAGGAAACTTGAACTTTCAGATTTTGCATCACATTACATACCATAATAATTAACACAATATGACATGTGCTAAAATATAACATCAAATAAATTGAATAGATTGTACAGATCTGTGAGTATTTAGAATTTGATTAACACGACATATCAAATTGGTGAAATAATTGTGAATTAGTTAGTAAATGGTGCTGGGATAATTACTCGGGGAGAAAAAGCTAATATTTCTCACCATGCTCTAAAATAAAGTGCAGATGGTCTAAAGATTTAAATGCAATATTGATATTTATATATGTGAAATATATTAAATGCAATATATTTATATGTGCTTGTGTGTGTGTAGTTTTCAGTGTTTTGTTCTATGCATAGAAATATACATTTATTTACAAAAACAAATACACATTTTATGCAAAGGGATTATATGTGATCAGCTTCATTTGTATAATTAAACCACCCCTATGTATCCACCATCTTGTTTCAACACGGACAATCTTGTTTCATCGACCCACACTCTCTTGAATTATTTTTGTTATTTTGATTCAAATATGAGATTTCAAATCATTTTATTCATAAATATTCCAGTATGAACATATAAAGGACAAGGACAATATTATTGGTGAACCCAAAATATTCATTGCAATTGCCTAATGTCATTAAACATCCAGTCAGCATTTCAGTTTCCCCAATTATATTATAAATGCTTTGTTACTATTTATTTGAAGCAGACTCAATTAAGTTCAAGGATATAGTCCCTTTGGCTTGCTCTTACTTATGTGCTCATGCTTGTACAAATCACAGCAACCCATGGGCACCACATACTGTGATTGGCCACACTTGGGTCATGTGCCCACTCCCATCATCATCAGATGGAGCGAATTTTTGTTACAGGAGAAATGGAGTGCTGGGTAAACACAAGCAATGGGCAACATGACCAACACATCCAACCCTACATCGTTATGCAGTGTTGCATTTTCTAATGGACTTCTCAGCCTGCCACTGTAACATAGAGTTAAGCATCTTACGTTGTCTCAAATTGACTGATTGCTAGAAATCAGCCGCCCTCAAAGATTCTCCCAGCTCTTTCTAGAGTTTTCAGGAGCTCTTCTCCTGTGTGTTCCAGAATGAGTTTCTCTGGTTCTCACTCCCCAGCCTCCTAATCTTGACCCCGGTGTTATTGCCTCTTGTGCGGTACCCTCACCTTATACCTATGAAGGTACCACACTATATGTATCTCTGAGAGCAGTCCTCATGGGTGACCACCTTTACCCTCCCACTGCCCTTGGAAACAGACATTGCTCTTTGAAACCGACCAGGCCCTCCCACTGCTAGGAGAAGTAGTGAGTCTTCTAGTCTTGGGTCTACTGCTTACTAGCTGGTGTGTCTGTGTTTCCACACATACTGCGTCATGGTCAACCCACCAGATGTATTTAGTTAATCCCTACTGGTCCCTCCAGTGCGGCCACCATGAATCGAGCTTTCTCTGAATGGGTCTTCTGTCACTGTAATCTCTCTTTCAACCTGTGAGAGCTGTTAAAATAGACCCCCTGCTGACGGATGAAACGAACTCCCTGTGGCTAAAACAAGGCACTTCAGAGATGAAATCAAGTGGCCGTAGCAGAGAGGGGTTGGCCACAAAACCCTGTATTCCTGTCATAAGGTCTTGTTTCCTATAATTGAGCAGAAGCTAGCCCTTGCCTGCAAAACGCCTCTATGCCCTACAGTTCACCTTTTGATGGTAAAGAGCCCAATTCTGCCTCATTTTAATGTTAAAATTCTACCCTAAAATGAACAGAGAATGTATGTTACATGCATGCACACCCACTGCACATGCATTTGGGGTCTCCCTCATAAATATTTATAGATTTTCTCCAAATCTGCTAAATATGCGCCTAAGGCAGACCCCAAAGAACACAAACACCAGCTTTCCCTTTCCGCTCTTTGGTGTTTTCAGTTTCTCTGGAGGCTACGTTCTTTGATCTGCAGATCTGGTCTCTCAAAGTTTTCTTCTTTCCTTTCTCCATAGATGTCATGGTCCTTTGTTAACAAAGCGGTCTTCTTAGTCTACCTCATTTTACCAAGTGTTTCTATTTCTTCTCGTTTGCTTTCAACAGTCTCTATTGTAACGCAGCCTCAACTCCAGATTGACTTTATTTATGGAATGCTTCCTTTAATATTAATAGATGTAACAATTCACTCATTAAAGAGTCAGTGTTTCCTGAAAATATGGAAAAACTAGCAGGTATAAAATACTGAGTTATTTCATATAGAGTGAAAAAGAAGCTCAACAGCAAATTTCAGCGTTCATTTTAAGAATAAATTGTAATTTAGAATCTGATCAGAACCTAATGCAAACCTGAAAGCCTGCTTTGATTTCGATTTGGCTGCCTGTGTTAGCTGCTTAATAAAAGTCTGTAAATTTATCTTAAAGTTTACATTTCTAACACATTTATCTCTAGAAGAATCTAGTGAGATTTATAATATTCTGAATATTTGTTTCAATTTAACAGTATTTGAAGAGCTCATCATGAACTCTGATTCTCACAAAGGGATTCTGCCTCCTGCATTTTAGTTATTTGGTAAAATTGTTCAGCCTAGCTTTGTAGGGAAGAGAAAAATGTGTCTCTTGGGCCTCATAGCAGATGGCAGGCCACATGAGAAGGCAGATTCATTATTTCATTGGTGAAAAATCTGCCAAGAAAATTCCTTTTATCTCATGAAAGGCTCAACCTTCAGAACTGAGAGCATGCATTTGGAAGGTGTTATAAATACTTTATGTTACTTTGTTTTTGCTGTCAGTACATTTTGAATGCTGCACTGGGCTCTAGAGTCAAACACTGGCCTAAAGTCTCAGCACCACTTAAAACTG